>NC_000002.12:199004769-199307799 GCF_000001405.40 Homo sapiens | reverse complement strand
TGCAGTGAAACACCCCAACCTGAGGTTTCTGTCTCCTTTCCCTTCCCTCCCCCCTCACATGTTTGGGAGAGAAGCCAGAAGTTAACACATCTTTATGTCACTTTTCATCTAAATATCATTATCTCTGCCAGTGCTTTTGTGCTATGCTTTTGTGTTATCATTGGTCAGTTTCCAGGGCCAAAGTCGCAGAGTGAATTGCCCAAACTTAATAGTTTGGCAATTAGGCTTATGAATTTGTAGAGGCAGTCTCTTGCAATATCCACAGTGATCCCAGAGTTGGGGATGGGGGTGATGAGGGTACACAGCACATACTCACCCTTCAGGACCCATCCTCCCCTTTCCCTTCTTGGTGCTTTTCTGACCGAAGTCTCATCCACCACCAGGGCACCTTCTTTTAGATAATTAAACCCGTGTACTCAGCCACACAGAGCAGTGGCTTTCAGACTTGGAGATTTAATTGAAATTAAAATTAAAGAGGGGCCCAATGTAGGCTTTCCAACCTTTTATTTTAGAAAATAAATTTATTTGAAAAGTTTTAGGGAAGCTCCTATTTATTGTCAATATCATTTCATAACATACTCTTTGATATCAGACAGATTAATGAAATGGATAGCCTCAGACAAAAGATCATGTAAATGCTACAGTTCAGCCATATGAAAATCTATCACTCCCCCGGCATCTCCACTGCTTTTTTTTTTCTCATTTTGATGTGAACTGGATTAGACTTCTATCTTGAACCAACACAAGGCCAAGGACTTGCTTCAGGGAACCACTGACTTTTCATGGAATTTTTATTCAGGGCCTATCTTAGTTCAGTACAAATGAAGTAGAAATAAAACAGCAAGGAAAAAGCAATTTATTCCACATATTAATCACAGCTTATTTTAATCATAAGATGGTGATAAAGTTGGAAACTTAGAGAAATTTGAGATAAATGTAATAAAATGCATTGTTTGTTATAATTGAGGGCCTCCCTTCATCTGGATGGCAGCTCTTATACCATGCCTGTCTGTTTTTTGTCCATTAATTATCATCTCGTTGGGCCCTGTATTTAGGTAGCTAAAAATATATTCAACATAATATTTTGTCTTATAGTTGGCCAGTTTGAGTACAGTAAATCTTAGAAGCAGACAGCCAATTGATTTATGAGTTTTATTATCTTTTCTATTAGTATGTCAGAACTAGAGTATGCTGACAATATTTAATGGCTAAGCATGAATCTGTAATTTTTCTTTTCAGTTTTAAGCATCTTGTGGCTATCAACATTAACTTCTGATATCACTAAGAGAAATGCACTTATTTTATAAAAGTTTATTTCCATCACTCAGACCTTAGCTAAAGAGTTTACAAATTAGGTAATTTTCTCTAAAGTGAATTTGCCTCAGCTGTTGACCTTGAGCCCATAACTACTGTGAAACTCATCAGCACGTCACATTTCTTTAACGTTATGCCTATATCTGAGTGACACTGCTTTGCAACGTTGAATTTATGTCTGTCAGCAAAATACAAAGCTGTGGATTGTTTATTACAGTCATAATATGAAAAGTGAAGAAAAATAACTGACACTAGACAGCAGAACTCCTGAGACTAAATTTGGCACAGCCTCTGTGACTTGGGGAGGGCTGTATTTAAAAACATACCAAGCTACTATAAAAAGGTCTGTAATTGTCCAAAAGCCAAGGACTCGGGGTTGGAATTCACTTGGGCCTTTCATATCAACTAAATTTTTAGCAAGATACAGTTAATTACCTGTTTTAGAAATCTTAAAAATTCATATGTAGGGTAATATTAGTTTGGTGATGTTACATTTTTGTCTAATTAGATAGGAAATGTGCCATTATTAAATTGTTAACTATGGGTAAAATCAGTGATTATTAAGAGCTTATATATGCAGCATATTAAAAAACACGTAAGTCCTCTTCACTTGTGGTCATGGAAGCATGCCATTTAAATTTCTTTAGGTAATTAGGGTACACTATTTCCAAATTTTTCATATATGGTAAAGATATGAGGCAGTGATTTCTGTGCATAATTACCCACCAGATTAATCTGTTGTATTAGGGTACATAGATGTACTGGAATAAAAAGAGGGAGCTTTGCATCACTCCTTCTCCATTTGGTGCTTTCTGTGATATTGAGAAGTCCCTTGGAGTCACAGCCTCTCTTCTTAAGAAGAGAGGAACTTTTTCTTGCTGTTTGTGTGCAAATGGAGTTGACAAATGGATAGTTTTTTATTGTCTGCAGATGTGTTTCTGTTAAGCCCACAAAAGGTTTAGACATTTTAAGCCCTTGTTTTTTAACTTTTAAGTTCAGGGGTACATGTACAGGTTCATTACATAGGTAAACTTGTATCATGGGGGCCTGTTGTACAGATATTTCATCACCCAGGCATTAAGCCTAGTACCCATTAGTTATTTTTTCGGACCCTCCCCCTCCTCCCACCTTTTACCCCCCTATCGGCCCCTCAAGTCCACATTTAAAAATTAGAAGATATCACATAAAATCTAGAAAGTCAGAAGATGTGATCCAAGCTCAGAGTTTTATGTGGCTGGAGCCAATGTCCTTTCTGCAGGGCACACACTTACTGTCCTGCTGCCCTGGTCCCTGTCTCCCCTCCTCTGAGTGTACATGCATATATAGCTGTCATGTGATTTCTTGAGGCATCTCTCCTGTCAGGTCACCTGACCACCTCATCAAAGCCACAAGTGCCTTTGCCCCATGGCTCCAATTTCTTTGATGGTAGCTATTACATGCCATTTATTTTTATATTAATTTATTATAATTTTATAATCCCAACAAAATTTTTTGCATGCTTAAGTGCATGTTTGATGGCATTTCTCTTCAGAGATGAAGCAAGATTATAGCTGAGACCACGCTGGGCCTGAACCATTGAGGGACATTGTCAGCCCCAGAGACTCACCAGCCCTGGGAGAATGAGACGGTTCTTCCTTGGGAATTTGGATTTCTCCAGGTGTTGTGTAGCTTTGATGTCATATTGAATTATCTGGTTTATCCAGGTTTCTCTTTAGTATTCTCAGTCTCTTCAGAAACCCCGATTTAAGCTCCTGCTTTTGGAAGCTAGTTCTTCAGGATCTGAACACACTTCGTAAGCTAGATCCTGTCACATCATGAATCCACAGTTGGACCAGCATTGCCCCAGGGTGGTGAGAATTGGTTCCTGGGGAGCATAAATATCTTAGATTCACAGTGGTTTGTGGCCCTCCAAGGGAACTTGGTACATAAAGAGATAATATCTCTCTGGTATTAAAATTTCATAAAGAGGGGCCATGATTAGACAAAAATGCCCCAAAAACCTTCTGAGGGGATCAGTAGTGAAACACAAGTTGAGAAATACTAATCTACATAATGTTTCTAGTCTGTGTGTAGATAGCACAGAGGAGAGACCTTGTAAGGCAAACCAAACCAAAGCATTTCATGAAAAAGAGGAAATAAATTCCATTTTTCACCCCGAAAGGTTGGAAACAAAAGTATTTCCTGTGGTTGTAGTGATTTTTCTCCCAATAGTTATTATAACCCAAGGCCCTGTGCTGAATAGATATTCTCAGCTTAGAATAAAACACTGGTTAGGTTAGGTTCATTACTACCAACTCCGTTTTACAATTGGAAAAACTGGAAGAGAGACGTCAAGCCTTGCCTGAAGCCAGGGTTGCCAGCGGAATGAAAACACAGGCGATTTTGGCATCCAGTCTTTCCTCTGACCACACTTCCCTCATGCAGGAGAGAAGAAAGGACATTGCTCATGCTATGACTAGGTCATTGAGTGAGGGTGATTAGGGAGCACTTGCCAAATTGTTCCTCTCTGTGTCATTTGTGCTTTATTGTATTTCCACCACACTGTTTCCATGGGTTATTTTGTAAGTTCAGGAATTCTGAGCTTGCTGCTGTGTGGTTTCCTGACAAGTACTTGTTTTAAAATTCCATGCCGTACATTGAATAAGAATGTGAGACTCGGTTAGTGACAGTCAGACACCAGCATTGTCCCTTGACTTGTCTGGGTTGCTTCTCAGGCGATTTTCAACATTTTCTAAGCCACAGACTCCCTGTCATTGGTAGCAACCAATGATTCTCAACCAGGGGAGATTTTGCTTCCATGGGATATTTTGGCAATATCTGGAGTCATTTTTGGTTATTATAATTTGGGGGTGCTACTGGCATCTAGTGGATAGAGGTCAGAGATGCTGCCAAATATCCCACCATGCACAGGGCAACCCCCCAAAACAAAGACTTATGTGATCTACAATGCCAAGAATGAAAGCTTGTGCCAGTAATTGCCTAACAGTGAAAGATAAAAAATCATTAGTATCTCTGAGACTGATTCTGAGTTTTGTCTGTTAAAAAACCCAGTAATAATAATGGTGACACTGCTGCTGCTTCTCCTTCATCTTCCTTCTTCCTCCGCCCCTGCCTCCTCCTTTTCCTTCTTCTCTGGCAGTAAGTAGCCTTTTTGAGAGCCAGGCTTTCAAAATGTGAGATTTTCACATGTCTTATCTTCTTCAGTTATTGTGAACAACCAAAGGGGTGGTTGGTTTTTATCTATTAATACTTTCACAGATGAGAAATTGAAGCTTAAAGAAGTTAAAGTAACTCGCTCAAAGTGAGAACTTAAATTCACATCTGTCTACCTTCAGAGTCTGACTTTTATCATGTGCTGGAAAGCACTGCTAACGTGCGACAGCCAGCATTCCCTGAATACTTACTATTAGCTGTCTGCTGTGATGCAGAGCTGTTTATGAGATCTTCATTTTTAACCATTCACTGAGCAGATCTAGTTCTGGGAGTTTTCTTATTTACAGAACACCTAATGCACTGAAACCCACAAATCATTGGTGTGATGTCAAAGAACTGATGTGACTGAAATTTTTACTTTTCATAGCTGCTTTGGCATTTTTGAGGTGGCTTCAGAATGTGCCTCTTATCGCTAATGTTCAAGTGCACTTCAGATTTACCTCTCAGCCCTGGGAATCTGACCCTGATTTTCTACTCCAGCTGCACAGACTGTATCTTGATTTGTGAACTTGCTTCCTGAAGGACATCTTCCAGGGAAACAAATAAACTAATTAATCCATTAAGAATGTTTACAAATTCTCTTACCGGGTTACTAGAATTTTTCTTTCACCTTGGATTCATTCCAAGCTCCTATTCAAAGCCTACTGTGTGAATGTGGCTCCAGAGTTTTGAATCCCCACTCTAGTCCTGAGGAGAGATGCAAATGAACACTTGCATTTGTAATAAAATATTGTAGCAGTTGGGTAGAAGTAGGTCCTCACTTGGGAAGATGTTGGGAGTTCCTGACTGTCAGTGAGGCTGCACTAGCATTTTTCATGTTGATATTATGTTGTTCTGTATGTATTTATTCAACTTGAAGAGCATCCTTGGTTTATTATATTACTAGGTTTTCAACATGTCAAAAATTTTAAATTTGTCATTCAGGAATATAAAGAGATTTGAAAGTCATTTGTTATCAATTCTTTTTACTCTAAGAGACAGTTATTTTCATCTTGGGTTTATCTTCCAAAGTGTACTGAACAGGTTTCCTTTAGTGATAATCACAAAGCTGAAGAAGTTCATTACAGTCAGTAGATTAGACATTAGCTATGGCTTTGTTTTACCTAGAGATTTTTAAAAACTCTAAGACACTGTACAATTTAAAAAGTAGGCAGGCAAAGTAGGCCAAAGAAATGTGCAGTTTCTTAAAGTTGTTAAATTATTTTCTTTTACAAGACAAATTCCAGCTTAATAATTGGAGATGTATTAAAAGAAATTGAGGATGCTAGAACTTCATGAAAATCCAGGTGTAGGACTCTTGAGTATGGTTAGGTTTCTCTGAATCTGGAACTGGGAATTCAGCAGCTGCCATTTATGGATTCACCTTCTCCTTTGCCATCCTGAACATAGTATTACCTCTTTCTCATGTCAACTTCTTTCCACTACAAGCTTTACTTCCAAGCATCATCTGATTTACCATCTTCTGTGTATCTCTGTCTACCTTGTAACTTCTGCATACTACTCATAGTGTCTCTGCATTATAATTCTGCCTCCTCCACACCTTGGCCTGCCCACGGTTCGTGCTCTACCTCATGACTTTTTACCATGCCTTTGTCAAACTCACTTTCTCTTGCATACTCCATATTTACTACTTTAAGTTCATCTAAGAGGGAAATTGACTGGTTAACCTTATCCTCCTGAAGGCTGACTTTCTTGGCATTCAATTTCCAATCAGTCATCTGAATGCCTAATTTGGAAGGCATTGCATTTTGAAGAAAGAGCTTTGTTGGGCAAAATATTAGAATAACCTCAAGAAGATTGGGAAATAGAAAGCCACCTGGCCATAGATCACTTGTAGGTAACCTGTGAATGAGCTGTCTTTGGGCTGGAAAGTTAGGGCCTTTTAGTGGAACATGGCTTCTAGTACCCTGCAGTTACCAGGGTAGAAGAATACAGGTATGATTAACAAGTCTAGAACAAACCTTTCATTATCAAGAGAGATTCATATGACTTCTTTTTTAATGTAAAGTGCTGTGGGCATGCAAGTAGTAGGAAACCAATGCCTAAGGGAGATTTTCAGTTCCATGTGTGTCCAGAGTATTCTACCTTTTTATTCTATTGCAGCTTTTCTAACATTTATCATGTAGTCACATATGTTTAGTGACTTTCCTGTAGAAGCTGATAAATATTAAACATAAATTTTTATAGTATTCTCTTCTGGTTCTGCTAATGTATTTTTTTAAAGTCAGTTCAACATTTTACTAGGCTTATCATTTTAATTACTGAAGTTAGCTTTTCATTCATCATGGGGTGGTTCTAATATTTTTGCCAAGCAGAACTCCTCCTATGAGTGACTGGACCTCCATAACACACCGCCTTCCAAATTCAACATTCAGGGTTAGTTGCTGGTTGGAAGTGAAATGTCAAACAGCTGGGTTCCACTTCGCTCAGTCTTTTCCTGCCTTCTGGGAACATAGAGAACCCTGGTTTCTTGAGTAGCTTGTTCTTCCATTATTGCTATGTTTCTTTAAATAATAGTCTAATTTTTATATTCTGCATTTTTGAAGGGCAATGAAATTCCTGCACCTTACTCTCTTGGTTTTTAGATCCTAAAATTGAGTAGAAGGCACTTTGTCCAATGCTCCCTATAGGTAAATGGAATCACAGTCAGTTGTGTCATTTATATCGGTACAAAAAGTCTTCATGGATACAAGCCCGGTGCTCAGAAACCACTAAAATTGCTAATATATATTGTCTTTCTATTTTAATAGAATATTGAGATTTTTAAAGTTTTTTAAAAGTTTTGGGATAGCAAAGTACTCCTTAGACATGTTTTCATAGTTTTTTCCTTCTGGTGAGAGTAAATGAAGCCAGGTATAATATTAAACCTTTAGTGCCTTGACTTTTTTTTTTTTTTTGACATTTTGGTAGGAAAATAAAACTAAACAGAATGCTTTTGAACATAAAGCTTCATTGGCTTTCTTTTTTAATATTGCTTTGGAATTTGTTAGGTGCTGGTTTTGCTGTTGTCCTATTGGTCAACTCAATGTTGCTATTTATCCCCTTCTCCTTCCCCTTCCGCTTCCTTCCTTCTCCCTCCCTCCCTGCCTCCCTCCCTCCTTCCCTCTCTCCTTTTACTTACTTAAAAATAAAATATGAAACACTCTTTACACCTAAAAGAAGGCAGTGACTAGTACATTTTGTGAAAGGGCAAACTGATTAAATTGAGCAGCATAGAGCAATGAGAAAGACAGAGGCAAAATAAATAGAGACTACGGTAGAAAGTGCATTAAAATGCATCCTTCTTTCCCTTCCCACCCACAAAAAACAACAACAATAAATCTAAACTAAAATTGAGGTACTTGTAGATATTGATGTGTCATTGTTCTAGTCAAGTGCCTTGTCACATTTCATCTGTGAGAGGGCAAACCACATTCCTTTATACTTGTATAGATAGCTAGCAAAGTCTGGCTTTTGGAAAAAAATGATTAAATTTCATCGATAAGCCTGCTGTTAGGCTTCAAGTTATAGACCTGATTGAGAAGATGGGCCATTTTTATTCTCGCGTTTTTACTTATTCATTCAACAAATATTTGTGGAGTTTCTTGAATATGCCAAGTGTTATTCCAGGCACCACATATATAACAGTGAAAAAAAACAAAATTTCACATGTACATTGAGCAGTTTTCTCCTTTATTCAGAATGTATTTTTAAATAGACCTCCATTTTCCCTCTGGCTACCTTGCATTATTCTAAAATTCAGACTGTAAATTAGTGGAATCCATAGGTTCTATTTCTTCCTCTGTTCCTGACCCTGGGTGACATCTTTCTGCTTCTGTTTTTCTAGCTGTTTCTAGAATGGACAGGTAATATCTCTGAAACACGTTAAGCCTCTCAGTGATGAGATTACCTTAAAAGAACAAAGTGTGGCTATTTGAAGGTATCAAACCAAACAGACCTTCTGAATCTATTCTATAGAGTCTAAAGTGATTTACATAGCTCTACAAAGAATGGCATCTGTTGATTAATGATCAAGTGGCATTTTAAAAAATAGTTTTGATGGAAAACAGATAGATAATAAGTGTGTCCACTCCAACCCTAATTTCTCCCTGACCACACAGATAAACACTTCTCTTTTTATGTCCTGCTCATATTTATTCTCTCCAGCCAGAATGACTTCTCCAAGTTAGCAACCTTATTTACTTGGTACTGAGGTATGGGCTAATTCATCGTTAGTACATGAACCAAACCACCTGGCTCATTTGGTGTGCCTTTAATAAAGCTGTGGTCCTTGGAAGGTTAGGTGTGTGAACTAGTCCCTCTTAATAATGAGCTCTTATGGCAGAAAGTCACATGCTGTTCTAGGAAGATGGGAGCCTTCTTCACATTTTCTGTTTCAATTTTCTACCAGAGTGCTTCTCATTGATAATTGTTGATTTCAAAGATAGTCATCGTCATTGCAGAAGAAACAGAAAAGAACATCTGCAGAAAAGGGCTTCCCCACCTGGGTAGATGAAATTCTCATTATTTCACTCTGTTTGGTCAGTGCACTTGTTTCACATACTTTGATTTGGGCCCAATCACTCACACAAGGTCATAAATCTAGGAGGTAATTAACAGTTGAAATAGGGGATGAAGGTAGCTTAAGAAGCTCAATCCCAGTTGCGTTTCTGAGAATACAAGCCTACCTGCTGGGGATCTGGACTTAACAAACTCGATCTACAAATACATACTAATACAGTCATTGTTAAAGCATTTTGGACTGTCTTACTTAAAAAATATTTCAGTACAATGTAAAACGTCCAAATGGAAATATAATTTATTTTAACCTCCATTTCTTCTTTTTTAAAAAATACTTAAGTAGTATAAGTTGTCAAAGAGCTTATACAAGTAGACTGAAACATTATCTCTGCTGGAAGCATGGCGAGGTGTTTGGATAGAGAGGAAAGGCCACTGGACCTTCAGAAGATCTGGGTTTGAATTCTAGGACCATCACTGGAATTGGAGCTCTGACGTTGTAGAGGCTGCTTAAAATTTCTGAAACTAGTTTGCGAGAATAATCCCAAATTGATGGGGTTATTTGAAGTTTATATGAGATGGTGATTGCATAGAAGGCACCTGAGAAATGTTAGTAGCTTCTGAGCGTTATTAGTATTAATCTTAAGGATAAAGGGGATAATTCTTACTGAAAAGAGCACAGAATTGAATCAAGGATGGTGTCAGCATAGAATTTTATATTCAGCAAGATAACGGGAGCATGCCTGGCCTCTATTGTTTGCATGTAGTACAGTTGTTTTAAGACAGATTTAGAGACTCAGCTGTCTGGTTTCATATGGCCTTCCTACATTTTAAGCTTTTTTTAAAAGTTATTATAACTTATTTAAAAGATAAGTGAGAACTTTTCTTCTCAGCTGTGAATGAAATCCTTCTGTAGAGCATAATAAAATGCCATTGGGTATGACAAAAGTTGGTTAGTGCTTTGTTTTTTTTTTTTTAAGCTTAAAAAGCAAAAAGGCTACTTCAGCCTCTGTATCATCTCTGAGACTTCTGCTGTCCTTGCTACCCATTAGCATCCACAAAGTTGTGAAAGAACCATGTAGTGATGATGCTTGAGACTCTTTGGTGCAGTATTAAATAGGCATCTCCCCCATTAGCAGATCTGTGCTGGCCTTGGTGGACTCAAACAAGGGAAAATAAATATTCTCTGGTGTTGAGTTCCTCAGAGACTACCAGGAAGATGAATTCAGGCTACCAGAAGATGAATTAGGATATGAAGTGACAAGTAGAGTGAAGATGCAGAACTTGCTGTGATCCCAGGACTCCCTTCAGTGGAACCTCTGTGCTGAGAATACTAATGGCCTATTTTCACATGTATGACTCTTCCGGGAATGACCACCTGGAATTCTACCTCTTTCCCTCCCATGTATGCAGGTAAACAGGAGTGGACTTACATACACTAGTGTCATTGTAGAAGGAATATAGGATGAGCTCTAATTTACTCAAACCAAACAAAAACAAAAAAGTAAAACATTTGCAAATTTTACTATTTTAACTATTGATGGCAACAAATTATTTGAAGTGTAGTTCACAACAAATACGTAACAAGTCATGGCTTTATAAATGAAAGCCACAGGGCAATGTATATAACCATTTAATTTTAATTTTAAAAAATCGTATCTTTCTTATATAATAGAAACAAACACAAATGCTTCCTTTGAAATTAGAGTTTTCTGATTATAAACTTTGAAGTGCATTTAAAATAGATGACTGGGATTTAAGTCTAAGTGTAGTATGGCTTTAAGGTTAAAAAGTTTCCAAATATTTAAAATTTTTCTATATGATTATTGCCCCCACACTGAGGATTTCTGGGTGTTGTTTCAGAGGCCAGAGCATCTTATAAAGAATAAATATTACTCTCTATTTCTAGTTTCAATGAACCTTTGACCCAATAAGAGAAAAGATGACATGGTAAAGAAAAGGGCACTGTAAGTGACATAGAGTCTAGTCCTAGGGCTGAGTGTGTGACCTTGGATGAGGCATTTCACTCTGAATTTCCATCTACTGTTTTGTTTTCTTTTGTTTGTTAGTTTGTTTGAGACAGGGTCTTACTCTGGTTGCTCAGGCTGGAGTGAAGTGGCACAATCATGGCTCATAGCAGCCTTTACCTCCTGGGCTCAGGGGATTCTCTCTTCTTCTACCTCAGCCTCCAAGGTAGCTGGGACTACAGGAGCACACTACCATCCCTAGCTAATTTCTTGTATTTTTAGTAGAGATGTGGTTTCACCATGTTGCCCAGGCTAGTCTCGAACTCCTGGACTCAAGCAGTCTACCTGCCTCGGCCTCCCAAAGTGCTGGGATTACAGGTGTGAGCCACTGCGCCTGGACTCCATCTACTGTTTTCTAAATTATTACAACATGAATTAGGTGATTGCAGAGACCCCTTTTATCTAAAACACTCATACTGTGAGTTGGCTCATCCATTTCTAATTTCCATTTGAGTATTTTAATGAGGGTGCAAAATATAAACAACAACAACAAAACAAAACAAAAACACATTGCTCCTGGGAGGTTCAAATGCATTTTGGAAAAACAAATTAGCAACACTATAACAGATTATGAACATCTTATATTGGACTCAGAGACCCAGTTGATTTTCTTATGACTGATAGTTTTGGCAATTGCAAGAGAAAGCCAGCCACTGAGTTTTAAACTGTCGTAACCAAACCTACCTACTGTGGCTTCTCAGCTGTTTCTGTTTAGTGTGGAAATCTAATGTAGCTGCAAACTACTGCTGATTTTTATTAAGTTGAAGTCTGGAACTTCCCCTTGTAATGATAGAAAAGCACACTTTCAATTAAAGGAAAACTGCCAAAGTTCTGAAATTCATTTATTTTATTATTACTTGGTTTGACCCTAGAAATGGGAGATCAAGCAAACTAGATAGGTTTGACAGTTCTAAGGTCACAAGTTCAATTTCCTCACAAGTTGTTTCCAGATCAAATTCACTGCAAATCATATAACCCTTCACCTTTTGATATAGAATATTTTATGGAATTGTGGATCACATTGGGGTCATCCTAATAATCACTTTGGGGCTGGGAAAATGACAGGTAAGTCAGGCCAGGCAAAGGGATTCAGTGAGCAAGTCTGGGAAGCAGTATGTGGCTTGTCAGAGGAGGAACATGGTCTTGCTTCTCTATAGTAGAGTCAGAGTATGCTGGAGAAAGCCTACTCTGGCTTGCAGAAGCCAATTGTTAAATTTTTAGAATTTCAAAAGCTGGTTGTTATACCATTGGCAGCGTGAAACTGGCCATGGTGGGATTATTCACACTACAAAAACTGGTGGATTATCCAATTGGGGCTTTTTTTTTTTCTTTAGAGACCCAGTTGTTAAATATTTGCCAGCGAAACACTGAGTAGACTCCAGTTAACTTTTTTATTTCAAGCTCTTTGGCCATCCGTGTATTATTTATTTTTTATAAACAAAACTTGCTGAAAACAATTGTATGAAAGAAAAGTCAGGTGTTTCCAGAACTGATTGTCTGATTGGTAATACAGCTCATTTGATCATCCAGATAACAAAAATGTTTATTTAAATAGCAGTTGTTCCTACTCTTTCCTTGTCATGCTTTTCTTTAGTTTAAATTTATTTCTTCATGTTCAAACATGTTTATCTTTGTATTTCTTTCTTATGCAGCGTACAAAGCTCACTTGAGTATCTGGTTGGATCAACTTTATAGAATCTGTAGCATAATGAGTCCATAATTTGTGATTTCCTAGTGCCAAACACCCAAGATATTTGAGGAGTCTAGGTAGAAAACAGGAACAAATTAACAGTTATTTTTTAGATATGATAAACTCAAACAGTGCACCTCAAAAATTAAGAGTCAATTTTTTTAAAAAAAGTAAATTAGGGAGCTAAAATCTATGATGTGAACTCTTAAAGATGAATATATGTGAATATGGAAAGGTATTCCTGTTTCTGTTATGATCAAAATGAGCAGAAGGTGCTAAAGTGAGCATGTACTGCATAAGTGCAGTATTCACATGCAATGATTTTTTTTAAGTATAGTGTTTTGCATTTCATGTTTTTTTGACAATGCAGGTCAATAGTTGTACTCAAAAGTGTGGTAAGAGAAGACTGGCAAGGAATTGTGGTGGGCCAATGTCAAATATTTCCATGTGGTGTAATTTAGGGCTACACTTTTGAGAGGAACTCTTATTTGGGTGCATCATGGGAAATGAAAGCCTCCCAAGGAGACAGGGGCTAAAATAGTTAAACAGCATGCCTAGTAAGTTAACATAGTAATGAAAGGAAAGAACCAAATTAACTGATTCTTTGGTTGTATAACATAACCTGGATCAAATGCATCAGGATGGTCTGTCAGTTGACAATTCTTCAATAGATCTTCATATTAGAACTACTGATTTACCAGGAGAGAAGAAATTTTCTTGTCATTTTGTTGAAAAGAAATCAACCAGTTTGAGTTCCTAATACAGATGTAGTAGAGGTGGCATGCTGTACTTTGATGATCTCTATATATTTGTATATATGAAGCAGAGTAGTACTTTATACCATATGAACATGTAACTGTCATCTGTGTTCTGTGTTGCCATTCCTCACATATAGAACGTGTATGTAATCAGTTTCTATTTCATGTCATATTCATCTACATTTGCAGCATTTCAAAGATTAGTCGGAAACATCTTGGCAGAAATGGGAAATGCAGAGTTACTTATAAATTCCAGAACTACAAAGACACAGATCAAACATATGATATTAATAACTAGTTGGGGGGGAGCATTAAAAATTAGATTATTTAGAAAGTTGAAAGTATTTGTGATCATTTTTCTCTTCTTGAAAGGAAATAGATGCTGAGTTTTGTGTTTTGTTTTGTTTTTTTTCTCCCACCCTCACATTTCCTTTCTCCCCCTTTTTCATGTTTTGAATTAAAAGCTAAAGACAGGCTGAAAGGGTGTATATATAACTGCAAGAAGGATGTGGTAAATCATGGCAGTGGTTTGTGATCTCACAGACATGGTGGTGTCAGAGACTGAATACCAAAAGCGAATCCTCAGCTTCCAATGGATTTACTTGAAATCCTTCACCCTTGTAGCATATCATGGGTAATAGCATATCATGGATAATTACATTTTTACAAACGGTAGAGAAAATCATTTTGACACACACATAGTATTTTCCAGCCAGACCAGCTTTTCAATCTTTTATAGCTTTCATGCATTAAGGCTCATATTTTCTTTGTTTATTTAAAAAATATTATTAATAATAGGTTTGTTCTGTGGTCAACTTCTGAATAGAAAATACTAAGAAAGACCCCTTTTTTTCCTGTTGCCCCCAAGTCAAACATTCGATACCTTTTCCTTTGTAGAAGTTTGGGCTACTCGAGTTTTTGATTAAGGAAAGTTATGACAACCAAATTTTCATGGAGATTTTTAAGAGCTTTGGTCATTTTTCAGCTTATTGCTATGTATAATGGAATGAATTATGTTTGGTGGCAAATCACTAGAAAAAAAGAAAACAGGAGAAAAACTCACAGGAGAAATACTGTCATTGATTTCTTTGCTACCATACTACTGTCCAATAAAGTGAATTCTGGCTGCATGAACCTAGAAAAGGCTGTTCCCACTAGCCATTCACCTGCATCAAAATTCCAGGGAACAGAAAAAAATTAGGGGACAATATTCTCTTTTCTTAACCCTTTCTGATCAAATGTGGTATTTCATTTTGAAAATGAGATTAATTCCCCTAAGGCTTTTGAAACTTTAATAATACACAATAAATAAAATCATATCTAATAATAACTCAACAGTTTCATTTGGCACCATCATCTAGATGTACTGCAACTGCGGAAACATAAATACTTGCAGGCTTCAAAAGCCCCATTTCTATTTGCTAAATAAACTTGGCTGGCTTAAAATTCCTCTGTGTACCATCATTAATACAATCTACTTTGACAGCATTTAATTAAAGTGCTTTTTCTCTATTAAATTCATTAAAAGTTCTCCCCCACTCCCCAATGTATAACTGCTTTCCAGATGCTGAGTGGCAAGGACCTATAAGCCTCACTTTAAATAACTTCTCATTTCTCTTTATAAAGTGTTTATTACATTCAATTTAGAAACTGTTAAATATGGCTTAGAAAGGAAGTCAGATTCCAAGACATGTTCTCTATCCCTTTAGCCATCTCTTTAAAAACAAATGTTAGTTTAACTCATCTGAATAAGCATTTATTATCTGCATATTTTTCTTATACTCTGTCAACACTACTAGACATTTAAACTGGGAGGTAATAAAGATATGATTTCCACATCAGGGTTGGGGAATTTGCATTAGTTCTAAGCAGGTACATGGCTTGAATACATTTGCCTGCCCAGATTCGGGGAGAGTAAGCATAGCAGTCTAGTATTAATAGGTTATTGACAGTTTAATGTCTTGGCACCTACTTAGCCCATGCAGTATAATAACCAGGAAGCTGTCTGATATGAAAGCCATCAATAGCATTTTCAATCAAAACCTTTCAGTTAATTGCTGGTTGACCTTAGAGATTTCCTTTAGGCAATAGCATTCTTAGTTTAGACCAAAAGGACCATATTGATTTGTAGAGTTTATTCAGAGATGATTATTTAATACCCATTGCTCCACTATGTGTGGTAAATTTTGCCTTTTCTCTTTCTGCCCTATGAAGTGTTTTTTTTTTAGCATTGCTTTTCACAAATATTCTTTTTACCAGCTCTACTTTCAAAATATCTCATTAAATCTGTTCTCTTCTCAGAAATAGAAAGTTTGGAATCTTGAGGGTACCCTTAATCAAGTGGTTTTTGTTTGTTTGTTTTTGTTTTTATTTTTATTTATTTTTTTTTTGAGACAGAGTCTTGCTGTGTCCCCCAGGCTGGAGTGCAGTGGCGTGATCTTGGCTCATTGCAACCTCCGCCTCCCAGTTTAAGCGATTCTCCTGCCTCAGCCTCCCTAGTAGCTGGGATTTAGGTGTGTGCCACCATGCCTGGCTAATTTTTGTATTTTTAGTGGTGACTAGGTTTCGCCACGCTGGCCAGGCTGGTCTCAAACTCCTGACCTCAGGTGATCCACCCGCCTCGGCCTCCCAAAGTGCTGGGATTACAGATGTGAGCTACTGCACCTGGCCTACTCAAGTGTTTTAATATGATAATAGAGGTTTGATAGAACTCGTTGCTCAGCATGGAATTATAATTCCAATAGAGACCCTGACAAAGCTAAAAACTGTACTCTCAGTAAGGGTAATTATATAATGTCTTAAAAGCACTGTACCCTAAAAAAATGTTGTTTAATGCCAAAATGCTTTTTGATTTCTGCAAGTATAAATGAAATGGCTCATATTTGGCCTCTAGAGTTTCTTAACTTCCATTATTTATTCAGTTTCAGATGCATATTTTTAGAAGTAAATTTTGATAAAGTCTAAGTAAGCTACGAAGACAGGCAAAAAGCAGTAAAGACAGTTTGTGGCTCTAACTTGAAACCATTCTCTTTGCTTACTTTGGAATATGTGGTGTTGGAACTATAGAGGTTAAATCAAAGTGGGGGCAAAAAAATATATACATTGAATTAATTTTGTTACTTTTTTTCTTTGTTGTTTCTTCACAAAGTCTCTCTTTGTTCATTCTGTTCCAAAGAAAATCATTCTGGCATTTAATATTTGTTTTGGACAAGACATTCAGTGTTTTCTATAGTATTTTGTATATAGGCAATATTCTTTCATATTTTGCTCAGTTGGGAGCCATTGACAATTCAGAATTTTATTGTGATACATATGATCCATTTTTTAACAAATACTTCTGGCTTTTATAAATTCTGCATTGTTTTTAAAGGTTTCCTTTGTTTGTCTTATATGGATTCTCTCATTTTTATTTGTTGTTTTGCTGTTTTGCCTCCAGCAACTTTTCTTGTCATGGAAGCTGTCTGCTGCAGGCCCTTTAAGTTCTAGTGATAGTAGAAATATTTCTGCAGATTGGGGAGGGAGAGAGAGAAGCAAACTGATGAATATGTCAGTTTTTATCCCTGAGAATAGGAATATCCTATATATTTCTTGAGTGTTAATAATTTTCAATCAGATTTTTTTGGGAATTAAAGAACTGTGTGAGTCAGTATGGTATTTATTAACCTATGGTATTTATTAACCTGTATACAAAGTGTATGTGTGCATGTATCAAATTATTATAAACTATGATAACTCAGCTCTTTTCGGTAATAAGTGTATTTTTAGTGAGTGCCTACATAGATTTAATACTTTATTTCCCCTTAGGACTATTAGATGTGTTCTAAATTTAAGGATGACTTTCAGTCTGTGTAATATGGCTATTGCCTGTGTAGACGTATATATTCATTCAAAGCACAGTGCCTTGACATTGTGCTAAGTTTAGAGTATGTGGAGGTGAATATAACACAGAATCTACCCTTAAGGAGCCCAGAGATCAGTGGAGAGGCAGATATGAGAGCAGATAGCTATAATACAGCGTATAAGTAAGAGAAAGAAAAGCACAAAAGGGGCATGCCTGCCCCAAACCTGGTGAGTTGGAGAACTCAGAAGGCTTCCAAGGCGTAGTGCTGCTCATGGCTCTTACAGATTCATCATCAGAGGTTTCCAAGAAAGGGTGACACAGCATGAGTCTGGGGGCTCCAGTGTAGAGTTGTTGGAGCACAGCCTGCAAGGCAGGGGCTGGGGAGCAAGGACCAGCAGGGGCTCAGGCTGCAGTGAGGTTACGGGGCCTTCTTGTACACAGAAGAGGCCTAGACCACCTGAAGGCCACTGAGGGCCTTTAGCAAGATGTTCGGTTGGCTGTGACAGGGAGGCCTGTTGGGAGGAAGTCAGAGTAATTCAGGCAAGAGATTATAAGAGTCTGAATTACAGCAATGGGAGTACACCTGGAGAAGGGAAAATTAATCCAAGAACTGTTTAAAAGGAATAATCAGCAACACGTGGGATCAACTAGATGTGGAGTTTTAGTTGAGGGGAAGGAGTCAGTGAGAACTCTCAGATGTTGGCTGGAGCAACCTGGGGGGTTGGTCTTGGAGCACCAATCAAGAGCGTTAACGATTAATTCCCTGCTAATGTCATTTGTAAGTATGTTTGTTTTGTACTGAGTTCTCAGCTATTAAATTAAATCCACCCCGAAGCGTATTCACATTTGAAAGTATAATAACTTGACAGTTCCAGTTTCTGAAGACGACCTACACAGGGTAAGCAAATATGCTCAGAAAAGCCAAGGCAACGTTGTGTGGAGACACAATTGGACTTGTTTTGTGAATCTGAGTAGATAAGGATGCTGAATGGCCTTGTGGGAGTAGCATGGTCCTCTGCTGCTCGGAGACTGGAATCTTGCTTGTGAGAAAAGGAGTTACTAGTCCAGTTACTTTGCCCCAGGGAATTAGGAACTGAGATTTCTCTTCCCAGTGACCATCCTTGGACCCCTGGGAAAAGGAGACTCATTTTCTTGAGAAAGCCTTGATCTAAACAAGAGTGCCTGTCCTTGTTGGCTTTTCACTTCTCACCCGATATACCTGCCACAAAGTTGAGAAGCAAAAGTCTGTCCATACCTGGTTTCAGGTAGTAAGATCATTAATGTGGAGGATACAAAACCAATATTCCCATAATGAATTAAAAGTGGTTTAGAATGGAAAAGCCTACCCTAGAATTAAGAGCCCAAACTTTTGGGAAGTTTCTACCTCACATATTTAATTTTTCCATATTATTTTTCTCTTGCAAGAAAATAATACCAAGAAAGCCAGTCTCTGATGAAATTAAATGAAGTTGAAAACTAAAGGCTATGTCTGATAAGCTCTCACTTGATACCTTTTAAGAGCTAAGCCACCAGGAATCTTTGCTGCCTCTCCCTAGAGATCAATGGCCTCTGCCTCATGGTTTGAGGCGAAAACCCTTCTTTGATCATTTGACTTTGTTTACCCAGTTTGGACTTCTGGGTATAATAAACTATAATATGTCAGTGGTGTGGTAATGCTAGATTTTTTTTTTCTTTTACCAGAGTGGTTGATTATAATGCACTCCTTAAGATTTACTTTCTATAAAAGGAATATTTGTACTTTTATGTGTTTGATTCACACAGTGCAGTTTTCTCAAGTCCTGTTATTAAGTGGTTACATTCAGAAAGCAAAAAATATGCTGAGGTAGTATTTTCTTGGTGAACATCTAATATTTTCACTAACCATAACTGTCAGATTGTTCTGACTTCTGAGTACCCCAACTGTAAAAATTATACAGAAAATGTGGCCTAATGTGGGATTCTAAATAGCCTCATGTGAGGCTTCAAACACATGGATTACCTTCTTTCATCTCTTTCCCCTGAAGTAAAGCATCTCTTCCAAACATGCTTTCTCCTTAAATAATTGAAGCCCTGTCTTTTAAGAAGCTGTAAAACACTTCAGTTGTGATGTCACTAGTGCCATTGTAGTTATGGGGATTTTAAATCCTAAACTGGTTCTTGGCTGAGGTTTGTCAGGAAGGGTCTCTCTTTATGTGCTAGCAAATTTTGATGAAACTGGGTATCTGCTTTGTAAAAATGGTACACAGAGATAGAAATGTAAAAATCTCTTTATAACCCACTCTAAATGGACATTTGGGAGAGAAACTTCCCCATAAAGTATTCTAATTTTTCCTAACATTTGTGTTGTTTTCACTTTTAATTCCAAACTTGAAATATTGAATAATAGCCTCTGTCATTTATAGTGTTATTCTTAGAGTCTAGTAGATTTTAGTTGAAGGTGTTTATTCACACTAAAAGAAATTTGTGCTAAAAACTTAAATTGAAACAGAATATAATTTTGTATTTTTCTCCATTAGCTAGCTAAACAGCAGTAAGCATATATTTGTTACATGTTAGACTCGGGGGTATGTGATTTTGGAGTCAGAGCTCAATTTTGTGTATTTGTTTCTTCCTCTGAAGAATAAATGCAGTAGTACCTGCCAATATTGTGAGATTATTTCATTCTTTTTAAGAAGTAAGAAAAACAAAAGATGATAAAGAGCTTTGAAAATAATTACAGGATTTAAATAATTACAGAAATTTGATATACGACCATGGAGTCATATTAAATAATCTATGTGTAAATCAGTAATAGTAATGCTTTATTTCAGTGAAGCTTACATAATTTATTGAGATCCTATGACTGAAAGTATACATAGATAATCTCCCCCCCCACCACACCCCTCCATATTATCCTTGTTTCTAAATCATCCTATTCTAAATAGGTGTTTTCAATTTATATTTTTCATCACTAGATTTATAAATACTATGAAGGGATTTGGAAATGGTTTGAATTCTGACTCTTTGGTGCTTTACCTTAGGAATCATTATTTAAGTCTTCATTGACAATTCTTGGCTGACTGAGTGATGTCTCTTCTTATTAAATGTATCTATTCTTTTCCTTCATATATCTTAAAACATTTTCATTTAAAAGGAATTAAAACTCTGCTCTGGTTAAATTTACTGGGTGAAATGTATTTATCTGAAGTGGTCTCTATTCTATTATTTTAAGCTTACCTTGAATCTGTTTTAAAACAAGTTTCAAAGCTCACAAATCATGTGTCACTGGCATTGATGAAGTTATTTTCATTTGGGTCACATTTTTACTTCACTTGAGAATTATAGAGCCAGCTGGATTAACTATTTAAGCATTCTGAGGGATCATGCTTAATCTGAACCCTTTGCACATCTTTCTTTCTTAGCCTTTTGCCATTGCTGAAGTATTAGAAATTTCCAGGTTGGTTCTTTTAATATCATTGGGATCGTGTGGTACCAAGTCATCCTAACCTTTCATCTTCCTCATTTAGTTACCTGGTTATGTTTAACTTAAGAGTATCTTCTTTCATGTATGCTGGTGCAAAAGCCACTTTTTTTTGCAATTATACCCATGAAGCAAGTCACACATTTATTTAAAAATCAGAATCCTAGAGGTAACTGTTACCCTGCTCATTTCCATCTTACTCTTTATTCGTTTTAACCAGATGTAAGGTCTTTAAAGACACTTTAATCTGTGCCTTGAATTGGGTCTTCAAGAGATAGGCCTTTCCTGTGAATTTTTAGGCTAGGTTTTGTGTTCTGAGAATACTTTGTGAAGAGTGGTGGAGGAGTGTCGGAACAGGGAGAAATTAGTGCTTATGGATGTCAGGCAAGTGAGCGTGTGGTGGGTGGGCTGGGGATGGTATCTCCCAGGCATAAGGACACATGGTCATAGCCCGGACTGTCCTAAAGGGTCCGGTCTTCCCAAGTCTTCTCATGGATTGTGTTTGTTGTTTTTGTGGAATGGTTTTGGTCATTCTTCCCAAGTCTTCTCATGGATTGTGTTTGTTGTTTTTGTGGAATGGTTTTGGTCATGTTAGCCCTAGATGATCAAATAAATCTGTTTCTCAGATGGTGCTGATTAAGGGAAAGGTATAATTGCCACTAGGTACATCATGTGTCCATGCTTTTCCTCAGGTTCTAACTGGAGAGTGGATTGTTTTCTATACTCTCTTCATAGCTATTTGATATAGTTCCTCATCTCCTTATATTGAAGAAGCATTTCACTCAGCCACCTACCTCTTCAGTATTTGCAGATTCTGGCCACTCCCAGCAATCAGATTAATGACTGTGATACTTTTTTTTTTTTCCCCAAACTATACCAAAGCTGTTGGTATAGTTGTTCTCAATTTATAACCAAAGAGGAAATGATATAAGCCAAAGGCTGTTTTAAGAACCATGCTTCCTCCAAAACCCAAGTTTAACAGCCTATTGTGTCACAATATTTTTATGCTTTTATCTTTGACCAAAGTGTTTATTTTGAGAAACAATTATTAAACTGCATTAAAAACATACACAGTGTTCCAGTAGTATCTTGGTTACAATATTTAAAAAAAAAAAAAAAAAACAGACTAAGGCTGGATGAAATTGAACACATATTTCCATGTCAGACTTCCTACCATTTTGCTTGTTTGTATTGATTTCTCTTGACATGGTCTTCTTTTGTTGACTGCCACTTTTTTTTTCTTATTCTCTTTCTCTCTCTCTCTCTTTTTTTTTTTAAATCCCTCTCCTATAGCTGTATGTGCTAAGAGCAATTGTAAAAGAGAACCAACTTATATTAAATCCGCCTGGAGTCAAAATGTAATCTAACACCTGTAGTCTGCAATTTGTCATCACTTCATGGATACTTTTTTTTTTAATAACAGATTTCCTGAGTTTTGACCTTAGGATACTGTGTAATCCAAATAAAGCAACAAAGCTAAACCATGGTTTTTTAATAAGTCCTATAATGTTAGGATGTGAAATTACAATCATAAGAGCCAACTTAAGTAACATCATTTGAAGTTAGAAATAGTGCTGAGTTGTGTATCTAGGAGAATATGTTTTGCCTGTGAAAATGTCTTTGTGTGATAAAGTCAGGAGACAAATCATAATGCATGTGTAATTTCTCCTACACTCTTTCCCTAAGGCTTTCCTAAGTGATTTTCTCCTACACTCTTTCTCTAAGGCTTTCCTAAGTGATTTGACTCAAGTAAGGATGTTTTTACTATTGAGTGTGATTCATGTCATCCAAAGTTTTCAAACTTTTTGGTCTCAGAATCTCTTTTCACTGTTACTATTGAGGACCCCAATAATGTGTTATATTTATGAATATTACCATATTAGAAATTCTGAGGAATTTTTTAAATGCTTACTAATTTAAAAATAATTATAGATAATACACAGTCATCCCCTTGTATCCACGGGGGATTGATTCCAGAACTTCTTGCAGATAACAAAATTCATGGATGCTCAAGCCCCTTATGTAAAATGGTGTAGTATTTGCATGTAATGTACATACATCCTTCCATATACTTTGAATTATCTCTAGTTTACTTATGATACCTCATACAGTGTAAATGCTATGTAAATAGTTATTATACTATATTGTTTGGGGAATAATGACAAAAAATAGTTGATACATGTTAGGTACAGATATAACCATTCTTTTTTTTTTCTAAATATTTTTGATTGTGGTTTGTTGAATCCATAGGTATGGAACCCATGGATATGGTGGGCCAACTATAAATGCATATATGTAAATGATATATTTATTTCACAATAAATATATTTTCAAAACAGAAAAATAATAGAATGCCAATGTTTTATATACTTTTGCAAATATTTTAAAGTCTGACTTAATGAAAGACAACTGGATTTTCATAATTGCTTCAGCATTTAATCTAATACAATATGTGGTTTTGGTTGACGCTGGTGAGGCAAATCCAGCCTCAGGTAGATGTGTAATTACAATAGGAAAAAATATTTTAATCTGCATTTCAGATAATTGTGATATTCTTCTTTGATACTAGAGCAACATTCTACAAGTGGTAGTTTCTTAATGGTTAGTTGCAAAGTGGAATTGAATCTAAAACTATATTGATGAACTTTTCATACTTTTTCTTTTACCTATTCATAACTTTATAACATCATGCATGCATTTGGAAAATACTGGTTTACTGTATTTTGTAAGGTTATGCAGCCCTTACAAATGTTGGCACATTTTATTATATGACATATTTAAAAGCAAAACCAAACATATTTGTTAAATCACCACTGATATCAAAAAAGTTAAGTATTGGGAAACTATTAAGCATATGGTGGCCACTACAAGTTTTTCAAAACTCTAATTTTTGCTTGAAAGGTTAAAAGGTATAATTGGCAACAAATGCTGTCAGATATTTTTCCTGGAGTGATAGGCTCACTTTAGTTTTAAAACAATGTCAAATATGCAGATCCGAATAACCATAGTTTGTCTTTAGTTGTTCTTTCAAGTCAAATTGATACTCCATGACAAAGATGGGTGGCTCAGCTTTCAAGTCCAACAATGACACAAGTGCTGTTTCTCAAGACAACCATCTTCCCTCAGTATGCTACAGAAGTACTTCATATGCGCTTCCCATTTCTTCACACAGTACATTAAAAAGACGTATACTCAAGGATTGAGACTTAAGTAATACAATTTTACTGCTTCATCAAAGATGCTCTTAAATGAAAGTGGCATCATTTTTGCCATGAGCGTGTGGCAGTGAAAAATACAACTGCCTGGACCATTTGGTGCTGCTGCTTTGATTGTTGCAGGCCAGCATTTCCCACCAGTGCTTTTGTACCATTGGCAAATTTTGAAGTGTGGTCTATGCAATAGGCCCACAACATTGAAACTATTTTCATAGCAAATCCAAGGCATTATTTACCTTTTTGACTTTGCTGAAATTTGCAGATGGTACAAAAGCACTGGTGGGAAATGCTGGCTTGCAACAATCAAGGCAGCAGCACCAAATGGTCCAGGCAGTTGTATTTTTCACAGCCATGAGCTCACGGCGAATTTCAGCAAGGTCAAAAAGTTTATGTTTGGCTGGGCGTGGTAGCTCACGCCTGTAATCCCAGCACTTTGGGAGGCAGAGGTGGGTGGATCACAAGGTCAGGAGATAGAGACCGTCCTGGCTAATACGATGAAACCCCGTCCCTACAAAAAATACAAAAAAAAAAAAAATAGCTAGGCATGGTGGCGGGCGCCTGTATTCCCAGCTACTCAAGAGGCTGAGGCAGGAGAATGGCGTGAACCCAGGAGGCGGAGCTTGCAGTGAGCCGAGATCGCACCATTGCACTCCAGCCTGGGCGACAGAGTGAGATTCCATCTCAAAAAAAAAAAAAAAAAGTTTATGTTTATGTTGTAAATAATGTCTTGGATTTGCTATGAAAATAGTTTTGATGGCATGGGCCTATTGCATGGACCACACTTTGAGAATCATTGATAAAGAATGTCTTCCTAAGAGGATGTCAGGCTGTATGTATAGAAGGTGTCACCTTAAACAGACTGTAACTTGAGGCTCAATTTCATGTAACATATGCTTCAGAGGCAACTTTTCTGTGCCAGGTGCCATTTTAAGTACAAAGATGTATGTAGTATTTGAGTGAAAGAAATAAGAAAAGTTATCAGTAGATGTGCCTATTTGTAGATCTGTGGGGTGAAAAAGGTTTCTGAATTTGTTGCTTTTATAATAAGCATGTTGATAGAAAAAATGAGTGACTCATTATACTCCTGATTCTTAAATACTCCTCACGTTTTGTAATAACTACTACTAATTGAAACCCTACTTATGACTTCAGAACTTTGCTGCTACATACTTAGCATATATTATCTCACTTTCCCTCCTAACACTACCAGCACTACAAGGAAGATTTTACAGATTAACAAGCACTGTGGCTCAGAGAGAGTAAGTAACGTGCTCAGAATTACAAGGCTAGTAACTAAGCAGTTGTGGTTTTGCAGTAGAAACTGGATTTGAAACCAGAACTTTGTGACCTCAAAACTTCTCCTTACCACGTGTATACAATGCCATCTTATAGGTTATACAGTGCCCTAGGAATTTTTTTTTACACAGAAAAGAATTATATCCCTACTCTCAGATACACACTAGATATAAATTCCTGTAATTAGTGATAGCTTCTTTATTTTTTAAACATTCTTTTGCTAAAAAGGAATAATAGCAAGAAAAGTAATAACTAGTTTTGCTGAACAAGAATAGTAACTGATCTGAAAGTAAAGAAGAGAGAATATGGGCCGGGCGCAGTGGTTTACGCCTGTAATCCCAGCACTTTGGGAGGCCAAGGTGGGCGGATCACGAGGTCAGGAGATCGAGACCATCCTGGCTAACATGGTGAAACACTGTTTCTACTAAAAATACAAAAAATTAGCTGGGTGTGGCGGTGGGCACCTGTAGTCCCAGCTACTCGGGAGGCTGAGGCAGGAGAATGGCATGAACCCAGGAGGCGGAGCTTGCAGTGAGCTGAGATCACGCCACTGCACTCCAGCCTGGGCGACAGAGCAAGACCCTGTCTCAAAAAAAAAAAAAAAAAGAGAGAGAATATGGAATGCAGCGCCACAGAACAAAGATACTGAGCACTAATTGTGTCCCAGGCATATGGTATGCCAATATGTAGCTCACAGTCCAACAGTGACGGAGACATAAAATAATTACATTGATATTTACATTAGTTATTAATCATTAAAGTTCTCCTTACTGAATGTTTGGGCCAAAATTAATTGTCCTTAATGCTGATTTTGAAAAAAGGGGAATATTAGAGGGTAGAGCTAGGTTTTTGAAACTTTCAATTACATGATATTTTATATATAGTCCATTTAAAAAATAATAGCATGTATTCAATCATCTATTCAACAAATTCTAATTGAGTTATGCATAAGGACTTTCAACCAATTGTTGTTACTTTTAAGTAAAAAAAAATTGTGTGTGTGTGTATATATCTCATATCATCTTGTTTGTGTTCTCATCTCCTATTAATGTACCTTAGCCTACAGGACCTGAAGCTTTGGGTGAGGCTTGTCATAGAGGGACAGACGTGACCACCTGGGAAACTGTTTTAACCTATTACTACACTGGATCAACCACCTTATACAGTCACCTCCTTAATGATTTCTCATATATATGTATATATACACACACACACACACACACATACATACATACACACATGCTTTTTTTTTTTTGAGACAGGGTCTTGCTCTGTCACCCAGGCTGGAGTGCAGTGGTGTGATC
This sequence comes from Homo sapiens, assembly GCF_000001405.40. NCBI lineage: Eukaryota > Metazoa > Chordata > Mammalia > Primates > Hominidae > Homo > Homo sapiens. The sequence goes on along the minus strand of NC_000002.12, from coordinate 199,281,184 downwards.
TCAGCTCACTGCAACCTCCCGCTCCTGGGTTCAAGCAATTCTCCTGTCTCAGCCTCCCAAGTATCGGGGGAACCTGCCCTTGATAGTCAAGTAGGTTCTTTTCTATTTTCCCTAAGTGTCGGCCAGTCTGAGAAATAAAGGGACAGAGTACAAAGAGAGAAATTTTAAAGCTGGGTGTCTGGGGGAGACATCACATGTCAGCAGGTTCCCTGATGCCCCACAAGCCGCAAAACCAGCAAGTTTTTATTAGTGATTTTCAAAAGGCAAGGGAATGTACGAATAGGGTGTGTGTCACAGAGAGCACATGCTTCACAAGGTAATAAGATATCACAAGGTAAATGGAGGCAGGGCGAGATCACAGGACCACAGGACAGGGGCGAAATTAAAATTGCTAATGAAGTTTTGGGCACGCATTTTCATTGATAACATCTTATCAGGAGACAGGGTTTGAGAGCAGACAACTGGTCTGACCAAAATTTATTAGGCGGGAATTTCCTCGTCCTAATAAGCCTGGGAGTGCTACGGGAGACTGGGGCTTATTTCATCCCTACAGCTGTGATCGTAAAAGACAGCCACCCCCAAAGCGGCCATTTCAGAGGCCTACCCTCAGGGACACATTCTCTTTCTCAGATATGTTCCTTGCTGAGAAAAAGAATTCAGCAATATTTCTCCCATTTGCTTTTGAAAGACGAGAAATATGGCTCTGTTCCGCCCGGCTCACCAGCAGTCAGAGTTTAAGGTTATCTCTCTTGTTCCCTGAACATTGCTGTTATCCTGTTCTTTTTTTAAGGTGCCCAAATTTCATATTGTTCAAACACACATGCTCTACAAACAATTTGTGCAGTTAACACAATCATCACAGGGTCCTGAGGCGACATACATCCTCCTCAGCTTACGAAGATGATGGGATTAAGAGATTAAAGTAAAGACAGGCATAGGAAATCACAAGGGTATTGATCGGGGAAGTGATAAGTGTCCATGCAATCTTCACAATTTATGTTCAGAGATTGCAGTAAAGATCGGCGTAAGAAATTATAAAAGTATCAATTTGGGGAACTAATAAATGTCCATGAAATCTTCACAATCCACGTTCTTCTGCCATGGCTTCAGCCAGTCCCTCCGTTTGGGGTCCCTGACTTCCCGCAACACCCAAGTAGCTGGGATTACAGGCGCGTGCCACCACGCCTGGCTAATTTTTGTATTTTTAGTAGAGACAGGGTTTTACCATGTTGTCCAGGCTGGTCTTGAACTCCTGAACTCAAGTGATCCGCCCGCCTTGGCCTCCCAAAGTGTTGGGATTATAGGCATCATCTACCGTGCCTGACCTTAAGTATATTTTTCTTGGAACTTTTAGTAGGATAATGCTTTCCTTTTTTGGATCACAGTTTATGTTCTGTTCTAAAAAATGAGGTAAAATTGGACAACAAGTCAAAATAATTCTAATATTAACCCAAAATAAACGTGGATAAAAGTCATTTTGTTTGTGTTCTCATCTCCTATGAATATACCTTACCCTACAGGACCTGAAGCTTTGGGTGAGGCTTGTCATAGAGAGACAGACGTGACCACCTGGGAAACTGTTTTAACCTATTACTACACTGGATCAACCACCTTATACAGTCACCTCTTTAATAATTTCTCATTTTCTCTATAAAAGAAGACCACAAAGTGTTGGCATATTATAAGTAATCCAGCTCACCCCATAATGATACAGTGAATTACATACTTTCCTAAACTTAATCATTCAAGATCTCACTTCCTTCCCTACAGGCAAAAAGCATTATATTTTACACTTGGCTCCCAGCTGGTTTTCATTGAGGCCTTCAGAATCCATTTGAACACTGAGAGCTTTAAGAAGAGCTGCTTTATCTTTCTTAGTCAACTTTGGTCATGGTACCATTAGGTCTTTTTGTTTTCAAATTTTGAAAGCAGAGAAACAACATGTGTCCATATTATAATTGTGCTTTATGACTGGGCAAGGAACTTTGGGTTTCATTTGCAGTTAATGTCTCTTTTGAGTATATTTACAACTTCTCATTCTTCATTGCCATCTTCATGCCCATTTATAGACATATGTGTCACATTTCAGCCCAGAGAGATTACAGCAAATAAATAAGAAACTTACTAGACTTTTAACTTTCTATTTGTTTATTCCTACCCATAACTTATTCATCAGACCTTAATTGTTGGAAATAGGACTTCTTATTAAAAAGCTGTGTAAATTAATAGGTCCAATTATTGTAGATACTCCATAAATGTTTGATATATGGATATACTTTTTAAAAAATTCTTTTAACCCAGGGCTGTTTTTAATATCATTTCTTTTAGATATGATGAACACCTCTGATGAAGAAGACAACAATCAGTTAAATGTAAATTAACCATTCTTTTGAGGGTAGAAGTGCCAGTGCATACTTCTGGCTGTGTTTATGACAATGTTGCTATTTGTAATACTCCGATAAAAATCCAGTGCTATATTACAAACTGAATTTTTCTTACTAAGTAATTATTTAAATATTTTCCCATCTCTCTGGTAATAGTAGCAGTTTTCAGGTCTTAGTATATTTTTGGCTATCTCAGATTTTATGATTGAAGTTCATTGTGAGGGCTTTCCATTACCCTGATGGTGGAATGCCAAGCACTCCATGCTCTGGCCGTGTGGCTCTCTCAGGTGTCATTTTGCTGGAGCATGGTACTATCCAACAGTACTTTCTGTGCTAAGGGAAATGCTCTGTATTGTGCTATCCATCATGGCATCGCACAAGTGACACAATGGGGCACTTAAAATGTGGCTGATGTGACTGAGTGAACGTTTGTTTGTTTGTTTAATTAGTTTAAATGTAAATACCCACATGTGGCTAGTGGCTACTGTATTGGGCGGCACAGCTCTAACGTGCTGACTTTCTTGCGGTTTTGCAATTGTACCAAGTATATTCTTGCCTGGCAGCCTTTTTGTTTGCCTTTCTGTTATCTGGAATGTTCTTCCACATGGCTGGGCTTCACATCTTCATGCCTGGGCTCCAATGCTGCCTCTGTAGGGAGCCTTCTCTGAGTCACCTTATCTCAAATAACTTCCCCTCCCCACAATCTTCCTCCTTATGCATTGCTCTATGTATTTATTACTAGCTGATATTTTATTTACGATCTATCTCCTCTACTCTAAAGACTTTGTTCAATTTTTCTCTATATTTTACTCATAGAAGTCAGGAGACCATAATGTTTAAGGGCATGGGCTTTAACATATGCTTGAATAAGATATGCTTGACAAGCCCAGTTCTGCTGCTTGCAAACTCTGCACCTTAAACAAATTATCTACACTTTTGGAACTCCAGTTTTCCCATCATAAAGTGGGGGTAAAAATGCCTGCCTCTAAGAGTACTGTGAAAATTAATAACATAAAATATATTTATAGCATTTAGGTCAATGTGTGTCTCATGAGTAAGCTTTATATGAATGGTAGCACCTATTACTACTATTATTATTGTTATTAAAGCTACTTAGATATTTCATTACTGTGAACCTTGCCTGTCATACTGAAAAATCAACAGCAGAAGCTATGAAAAAGAAAGGCTTTTAAATAAACCATTTAGGACTCTCTTTACAGAAATGAATTTGTTGTCTAGATTAACCTTAATTTTGATGGAGAAAAATCCAAACCAAAAAAAGAAATAGGATGAGTTGATAGGCTTCAGTGTGCAAAGATCAAGAGTAAAAAGGAGTGGATAGTTACCCTTACAGAATTAAATATTCCATTATTTGGGAAAATCACATGAAGAGAGGTGTTTGCCTTAGGGATAAATAAAGGTCAACTACTAAGCCCATTTTTTTAAACTTTTATATCGAAATATGTTATAGTTTGCATACAGTAAAATGCACAGATTTTAATTGTACAGTTTGATAATCTTTTAGACATACACACATCCTTTTAACAAACACACAGGTCAATATAGAGAATATTTGCAACATCCCAGAAGGCTATCTTCCACCCGCTTCCACTCAGTAAACCTCAGTGGAAACCCATTATGCTGGGATCTGTCAATGCAGGCTTTTCCTATTTTTTTCTACTCTTTTATATTAATTTGTTTTTCCTATTCTTTCACATAAGTGGAATCATACAGTTTTTGGTCTTTCATATCTGACTTCTTTCACTCGACAGTAAGTCTGTTTTTATCTATGTTTGTGTATATAGCAATAGTTCATTTTTCCTACTGCTCGGTTATATAAGTATACTACAATTTATTTATCGATCTTATTATTGGTAGACACTTGGGTTGTTTCTGGTGATGACTAAAACTGCTATGAGCATGCGTTTTAGAGGACATAGGCATTCATTTCTGGTTTTATACAGTGTTTGTATGCATGGCGTTAGTAGGTACTATCAATGGGGATTTTTTTTTGCCCCTCCACTGGGCCCATTTTGAAAAAAGGGAAAAAGGTAATGCTGGAAAGACCTTGGTCCTGCCAGCTTTTTCATAAATTGTTGGAAAGATGCTCGATTAATATAAAGAAAATCTCAGAAAATTATAATCTGACTGCATAAAGGACTAGTTTGGAAAGAGAATTTTATTCATTTTGCAGGGCATTCTCTTAGTTGGAGTAATTGTGAATTTTGTGACTTAAAATATTAATTAACAAAAAAATTATGCCCAAACTGTCAAATGAGCCTAGGAATGAAACCGCTTATAGGTCTCTCCATCAGCAATCAATGGCATGACTCTCAGGGCACTTGCTTGGGACAGAGACCAAATTTGATTCGTTCTAGTTCACTAACAGGGAATTTAGAAGATGTTCTGAGAGATTCAGACAAAAAACAAAACAAAACAAAACACCAAATCGAAATATCAGTTAAGTGAGAGTTCAGAAACTTTTCCTGTGAAGAAATGGCTAAAAGAGTTGACATTATTTAGTCAAGATGTGAGAAAGTGAAGAAAAGATGACTTGATTCTGTCCTTTAGATGGGAGGATTTTAGAAGAGGATTTGGATTGGTTTTCATGCCTAGAGAAGACCATCTTATAGGCATTAGGTACTGCTCTCCTTTCACTCAGAGTACGTATACCACTAGAATAAAGTACTACATGGTATTAGGAAGGATTCTTAGCAATTGGCTAGAGAGCAAATTATGTTGTTCTTTTGCTAGGAATTGTCTAGAGACAGTAACTCTCTGCCTGGAGTAATTAGAACATTTTAGGGGAATACAGATAGTTAGGACAGATAACTTTGGGAATCTTTTAATCTCAGATATTATGTATATTGCGGTTGAAAGGGACTTATAGCCAAAGAAAAGTGTCAGTATAATAGAAAAAGCTCAGCTCCTTTGCTAACTTGTAAGACAGTTTCACTTTAGAGATGCCCATTTGGACATTCACTGTTTTGACTGCTCTTTCCTTACCTGTTAGAAGATGCTAGAAGATATAACTTAACCATCTTCATGTAGATGTCATCATGGTGCCCAACCCACTATGGTACATTGTCTGACCAGAAACTATATATTTCACTTTGTAGATAATTTCTCTGACTATTACTTCTCTTGAGAAACATCTTCCTAGTCTGTCATGGGCAGTTGCCTTGTCATTGTCCCCTGGAAACCTTCTTTATCAGACTGACAACTCCCCATGTTTGTAATTTCCAATTCGGAGGAGAATCCTCCGAATTGGAATTAAGAGGAGATGCTACATGTTTCCAGTTCAATCTTGAATCCAAATAGCACCTTTGTGAGGAACTTGTCAGGATTCAGTTAATTAATCCATGTGAAGTTCTTAGAACTGCCTGGCACAGAATAAACATTCAGTGAGGGGTAGCTATTCTTACTGTTCTTTCTCTGTTTCATGTTTGGCTTCTCTGTACATATGTATTACTAGTGCTCAGTTCTAGGAAACAAAGGGGAGTGAAGCAGGCTAGTTGGTTGGACCTAAGGAGAAGAACAAATGCAATCATGCAGAAAGATTATAGTAACTTCAAAGTATAGTTTTGGAAAATCTCTTTAAATCTAACCAGTGCACAGTGGAAAATCCCTGAAGAACCAATCTAATTATTCAATTAAATGGAACCGTTATGCTGACTTTTACTACAGAAGGCAAGCATAATTTAGAAAATGGGGCATTTTAATTCTCTTTTGTTTTCCAATTAGCGCAATTGCTCTAATGGGGAGTACTCATGCTTGAGTCTATGTTCTTCCAGTATATACTTTGCACATAATTTCAGTCTCTCTCTCCCCCAAAATTGGAATCCTCACCTGTTGACATAGAGGTTTACTTATTGCAGTGCTCATACTGCCCAGATCATGGCCTCAGAGCAAATATCCTTCTGCCATGAAAGTGGACCTGACCAGCACCAGTCCCCCCACCCCCCATCCCTGGAGCTCTGCTTTTCCTGCCGGGTATAATTAGGATGCTAAAGTAACGGAGCTCTCACTTTTTTTGCTGATGCCAGCTTACCACAACAGACCACATGAGTTTACTCTTAGTTGAAAGTGGTAAGGAAAATGCTAAGAACATTCATTTTAATTGGTCAACATTATGCAGACTTTAGTGCCACTGTTTTATAGTCCTGTGCTTAGGATTTCTTTCTGCCACTAGCCGTCAGCTTATTATAGCAGATAGTCTTATTTGCTTCTGATTATCCTTTTTATTATTATTTGATTATTGATTATTACTTGAAAAATTTAAACTTCTTTTGTTTATTGCTACCTTATTTAGGTAACAGTTTCATCCGCCCTAATATTTGTTAAGTTCTACATAAAAGACTGACAGTTTCACATTGGTGGGAAAGTATTTTTTCATCATATGGCCTTCAAGACCAGGATGAATGACAGATTTTTTTTTTTCTTAAATGCTTGCTTTGATGCTGATGTTTCATAGCTAAAAGACATGGATCATATGGGTAGTGTGTGGTGGTGGCAGGAAAGGTGGCAGGGATGGTAGTGTGAATGGTCCTTTAATGTAACTAGACGTGTTTTCTTTGCATTGGTTGGATTTATTCCTCCTGAACTCTGGAAAATGTTTAATTTGTTATTCTAAAATGAAAAAGATCCATAAAATATGAGAGAATAGTAAAAGGAGAATTGTGTTTTTTAAAAAGTGAACTCACTCTTCTTAAAAGTTTTGGGAGGATTTAGGAAGTTAGGCACTGACCTAAGTATAGGAAATGTGGTCTTTGCCTTTGGAGCCAACATGACACATTTTAGTGGGGAAGAGCACAGTAACCTTGTAATTCTGTCATCCAGCTGAAGCTGTAAGGTGTGGGCGATGGCTGCAGTTCCTCATCAGGACTTCATGTTCCATCTCCCCCTCCACAAAGTCCTTCTCACATAGGCCTGTGGGGAGAGCCGGGACTGAGTTCCTTTGAGTAAGCTTACCTAAGATTTTGCTTTTTTATTAAATGAGTGGGGAATAGGTAGAAATAAAAGAAAAATTATTTAAATTACAACTAGAAAACTTTAACATTAGGAGAAAAAAAACCCAGAAATTACAAAGTATATGCAAAACAGAGGATTAATTAGTTTATAGTGATTTTGAGAAGGTCTATCTATGTTAAGTATAAAATGGTCGTTTAAATTCATAATTTAAGAAACAGTTATGTCTTTAAATTAGTTTGAATATTTTCTCATTCTAAAAAATACATTTAAAATCAAAAGACTCAAAACTAGAACTAAAAGAATATAAAGTCATTTCTAATTTTACAAAGGATTGATTTTCTGGCTTAAGTACCAATTATTCCTCTATAACACTGTAAGAGTCATTATGAAGCTGATAATAATTACTGTCATTTATTGGATGTTTGCTCTAAGCCAGAGATGAGGCAAACTATGACTCATGGGCCAAATTTAGTCTTATTGGAACATAGCCATGTTCATTTGTTTTTGCAATAGAATAGAATTGAGTAGTTGTGGCAAAGATCGACCCTCCAGAGCCTCAAATATTTACTATCTTGCCCTTTCCTGACAAAGTTTGCCAATCCCTGATTTAAGACAAGCACTGTTTTTTGTAACAATTATGTCATTTAATCCTTACAACATCTCTAGGAGGTTGGTTTCTTATCCTACTTTTATGGATGATGAAATAGAGGCTGAAAGATATTAAGTGATTTGCCCAGGGTTACTCAGCTAAGTGGAAGAATATGAACTTGAAGCCATGATGATAGAGTCCATACTTTCCCCTTTGTGCCCAATTTCTTTGTCGTTAGCCTTCAGAGAGGTGGCATATCTTGGTGGTTACAGGTATAGAAGACTCTGAAGCCAGGTTGCCTAAAGTGAGATGACCTTAGGCAATAAATGACTTGACTTTGCATCTCAGAATATAAATGATGGCAAATACTACTGTTATGAACCTCCTGTTTTGTAGGTGAGATACTAAATGTCCAGAAATGCTTTTAAGCTTTCCAAAGACCTGACTTTACAAATGACTATAGCTTACCTCCAGTGCTAGATAGATAACACATATTTCAGAGGGCTGATGGTTTTGGAAAGGTAAAATCATGAGTCCAGTGTTCATTTTTTTCTCTCTTAATTATCAGGTACTTCATAGACAGCAGTCTCAGCCAGCCAAGGAGAGTTCCCCTCCCAGAGAAGAAGCGCCTCCCCCACCTCCTCCGACTGAAGACAGTTGTGCCAAAAAGCCCCGGTCTCGCACAAAGATCTCCTTAGAAGCCCTGGGGATCCTCCAAAGCTTTATTCATGATGTAGGCCTGTACCCAGACCAGGAAGCCATCCACACTCTTTCGGCTCAGCTGGATCTCCCCAAACACACCATCATCAAGTTCTTCCAGAACCAGCGGTACCACGTGAAGCACCACGGGAAGCTGAAAGAGCACCTGGGCTCCGCGGTGGACGTGGCTGAATATAAGGACGAGGAGCTGCTGACCGAGTCAGAGGAGAACGACAGCGAGGAAGGCTCCGAGGAGATGTACAAAGTGGAGGCTGAGGAGGAAAATGCTGACAAAAGCAAGGCAGCACCTGCCGAAATTGACCAGAGATAATGTGAACTTCTACTAGGCAAAGCAATACATCGGTCCAAGGATTTTCTGCTTTCATTTCTTTAAAAGTTTTTTGTTAGTTTGTTTTTTGTTTTTGTTTTTGGGTTTTTTTGGCTTTATTTTTGTCTTTTTATGTCTGTTTTGTTTTTCTTACCCTTTTGGACATTTCTTTGTTGCACAGGATACACCTATAGACTGAATAAGTTCAGTATTTCCGAATCAGACATCGCCTTGGCAAAGACACTAAAGCGTTACACTTTATCCCGTCTCTATGACTGGATCATAGTCATTATAATCACAGGAGACTCTGCCTTCATTATCCTTGCACTTAACGGAAGTTACATCAGGCAAGTACCAGGATGAAAAGAACTATGAAATAAATGAAGGAAGCTACAAGTGTGTGTGTATATGTATATGTATATATCTCTATATTTACATATATATATTAAAATTGCATGGGACAGAGACTTTGCAATCCGAAAGAATAGACTGTGAAATGAGTTCTTAAAGAAAAGACTTGTTTATGTATTAAAAAAACCACTTCACAGTGAGTCGCTTTGGCTTTTTGATAAACTGCGGCCTGCTCTCAGGGTGGGGTGACTATTTTTGAATTCCTATTTATTTTTTGTGTTTGTCCCTGATTTTTTTTTTTTAATTCTATGGCTTCCTATCTGGCAGCTTAATGGGTAATTTTTGAGGTATGTATTTAACAAAATAAACGACACTGCCGAAAAAAAAAAAAGTGAAGTGAAAACAATCAGGGCACATTAAAATGATACAAGTCAAATAAATCTTAAAGACACAATGCACACTTAAAATGACTCAATAAAATGACTTGCTACGTTCCGTTATTCAATTTGTCATTACTGTAGTGAACAGATGCATTTCTGTGGAATTCCAAATAAGTAAAACTGAAATTCAGTGCAGAGAAAACTTTGTCCACTAGTGCAAGTCTTGATCAAATGACATTTTGACATTGGACATATGGAATTCATAGTATGAGCCACATTTTGTTGTGAAATTTATTTACCTGCTTGTGGCTTCAAATCTGAAAATTAATAAGCCTGCTCGTTTAAAAGTTGTTTGTTGTTGCTGTTTTTTTGTCTTTTTGTTTTTTACTAGAAAATAGTTCAGTGTAATATTAAGTTAGAAAAGAAGTTGCTGCCCAGTTAAAGGGGCTCCCTCTCAAATAAATCTCCATCCTTCCCTCTCCCAAAAGACATTTCTGATTTCTGCTTCACTTTGGGCTTCCTCTTCTTCGTACACATTCCATCTACCTAATCAAACATTTTCAGTCCCTGATCTCTCCTGTCCCTTTTCCTGGGATGACAGCCCTAACAAGAACTGTTTTTGAATCGTTGTGCAGCTCCAGGCAATAGAGTATGTGAAGCGATTTCAGTAGAATCACTTACTCATCCTAAAAGAAAACATTATCCCAGTTACCTACATCGCAATTACCTTATGTAAAGCAGAACTAATGCTGACTGGATGTTTAATGGGATGAGCATTAAAGCTGCAATCTACTATAGTACTCCAGATCTCTTTCGGCTTCCTATGAGAAACACCAGAAGCATTACTTTCCACTTCTACTTACAGTAATTGCAAGAGGAGACCTCACATTCAGGACTGGCCTAGTGAACGTAATCCATGCTTTAAACTGGCCATTAAACAGTCCCACATGGTTGGATTTTTTTTTTTTTTTTGAGTTGTGCTTTCACAAAACCTTGTCAAAGACCTCATGCAATATCACTTTGAAAGTTATTTTCTGTTTACTACACAAACATTGTAATATAACTGTTAATACTATTTATATATTTGAAAGGTATAAAAGGTAGGAGTTAAAAAAAAAACCTCTATGTGTAGATATTAACTCAGAACTTACAATATACAGGGAGAAGACATGTTGCAATACAAGCTAATTCTAGCTGCTCAGTAACCTCTGGAGTTTTTAAAGGGACATTTTCCTGTACTTTTTCAAATAATGATGTTTAAAAATTATCTTGACATAAGCGTCATATACCTTTGCAAAAGGATGGTTGTTTGCAGTTAGCCCTGGCCCCATCCTTCCTATTTCTGTAGTATGCTGCAGCTTTAATCAGAAAGTCCATGGTTGCTGCTTCCTGATCTCCGAGTTACTCTTTCCAAATTGTCTTCTTACACTGTTGCTGAAGGTCACTCTGTACACGTAATGGAAACTGATTTTGCCAAGCTCTTACAAGGTGGTTCATCTATCGATGGCATCCGCATTTGGTATCTTTTACACTTCAACCAAAAATTTATTAGGTATTTTTCAATGCTAAGTCTTGCCTTTTATTTTTTAATTTCACTGCCAAGTTTGCAGTGGTTCTAAGTGAATCTGTGGGCATTTTAGCCTGTGGTCTTGCCAGATCTTTGCGAATTACAATGCATATATGTCTATTTATTCAATATCTGTCATATAATATCTATTTGGAAGAAGAAACTTTCTCTTGTAGTGCCTCTTGACAAAGCACAATTTCCCGCCTTTTTTTTTTTTTGTGAAATGAAAAAAACAAATTGTGTTTTATTGCGGTATCAACAATGTGAATAAGGATTAACATATTGTAAATGTTCTTTTTTCCATGTAAATCAACTATCTTTGTTATCACTAAGTGATAATTAATTTTTAACTTATGTGCATTGTTAGGCTGTTAGAATTTTTTGGTTGTTAAAATAAACGCATTCAATAAATATGACTTTGTTTGTCAGTTATTTTACTGGGCATTATCTGCTTTCCCACTTAATTTTTCATGCAGAGAGAGACCTGGTGAGTCTTAGGAAAATTTGTACCCTTATTTTAGAAACAAGACAGTGGTACCTGCAATTACAGATATATGAGTCCTGTACAGTGCATGGATTTAATAGCACATGTGAATGTATGTGTGTCTCTGTGTGTATATAAACACATGCATGCTCACTTCCTTTATCCAATCTTTTGTCATATACAAACAAAACTCAAATGTATAAAGATATATTTATAGGCTGCTGTTTTATTTTTCTAGTGAATATTTTCTGTTTATAATTAAAAAACCACAAATGACTGCGTGTCAGGAAACTTTTGGAGCACATATGTCCATGGTTAATGGACATAATAAAAGTCTTTTATATTTAGAGCTGGGGTACCATAATGTGTGCATGGAGGAATGCTGAAAGGATTGATGTATCTGAGAAATGTGTGAAAATGATTTTTTAGAAAGTACTTACAATGGAAAAAACTGCTCAAAAGACTAATGTTAATAAGGAAAGAGCAAGTGCTTCGCTTCAGAACTGGCAAAGAAAAAGTAAATTAAAAAGTGATTTTGTTTTCTTTTGATATTGTAAATGTTTTTCCTGTTTATTTTTTTTTCCATTTTTCTGCATTTGATTGACATACAGATGTAACTTCTCTTTCTTCCTCGGTTTCCCTTACCTTTTTTAACAGCCCATGAACCATGTAGATATGTTTTAATGATAATTTGTGAAAACCGAGTGTTTGCAGAAAGGCAGACAGCTTCAGGGTGCTGAAGGTTTTTAAAAACAGCTAGAGGCTCAACACAGGGTGAAACGTTATTTATGCAAATGTAAATGAACTCTGCATTTAGACTAAAGACAAAGAAGAAAAGCATTTGTGAAATAATGACTTTTAGCACAAGCAGCTTCCACATTCATGAGATTGTGTTTTAGGGGTCAAACTTCATCAGTGGGAGGCTCTACACACACATGAATTGGTGTGCCTAGAAGGTGTCTCTCTGCTAGTGACTTCTATTTTCAAGAAAGCAAAGTAGGAATTTCTCAAGTAAAGTCATAGCATCTCAGAGCGATCACTTCATGGGTTGAGTTTTGTCGTGTGTGTGTGTGTCTAGAGGACATATGTTTCTTTACACTGTTATTTCCCTTTGTGAAGAGTCTCAAATAAAGACTTTAAATTCCCCACATTCTTTCTAAAGGACAATCATGCTGTAATCAGACAGTAAACATTTATTAAACATGTACTCTATGCCGGACAATTTGCTAGAAATTGCGGTGACAAAGAATGTACGACTTTGTGCTTTCTCCTCAGGAAGCTTATAACTTGTTAGAAAGGCAAAATATAAATCCAGGAAAAATGAAATAATCACACAAAAGTTGTCTTCAGACAGAAATGTATTTGTTTAATGGGTGGTACAAACACATGCTATGAATTAAACAATTATTGCTTATAAGCTAGAATGGTCTTAGAAGGTGGAACATTTATGATTAGGTTTAGCTGCATACAATAGAAAAAAAAAAGCACAAAATAATTATGACCCAACAAGTGTTTCTTACATGAAAGAAATTGCTGAGATAAGCTGGCTTCATGAAGTCAGAGACTCACACTTTTTCCAGCTCACAGCTCCATTTTTTCCTGTGTTCATTCCTGTGTTCCCTCTTCATAGTCCAGGATGATCGCTAGAGCTCTTGCTCTCACACCTAACTTCCAGGCCCCAGGAGGAACAAATGAGTAAAGAATGACACACAGTCTTCCCTTGGTACTGTAGGGGATCGGTTCCAGGACGCCCCCACACACACATCCCCAACCCATGGATACCAAAATTCACTAATGCTCAAGTGCCTTATATAACAGTGCATAGTATTTGCATATAACCTTTGCATATCCTCTCATATTTTAAATCATCTTTAGATTATTTATAATATCTAATACTATTAGAATACATAGTAATACAATTAGTATAATGTAAGTGCTATGTTAATAGTTGTATTGTTTAGGGAAGAATGACAAAAAAAAGTCTGTACATGTTCAGTATAGACACAACCATTCATTTTTAAAAACAAATATTTTTGATTTGCAGTTAGTTGAATCCACAGATACAAAGGAGCGACGATATTCTCTTTCTTCAAGCCCTATACTTGAATGCAAGGGAGACTAGTAAATGCTTCTAGCTGTTCCGTGAATTCCAGAGAAAGGGGGAGAGTGGATATTTGGTAGGCAGCTAACAGCCTCTGCCATAGACGGTATTAAGAAGAATGTTGAAAATAGTAGATAAGAGAAGGATAAGTGAAGAGGCACATTTGCCCTGCTGCTACTTCCTGCACCTTACATCTGTTCCTTCTCCTGAGTTCAAGTTCATTCCTGGCTAACTTTAAGGATCAGTCCAAGCAGCACTTCTTCCAGGAAGCCCTTCCCCATCTGCTTTGCCAGTGTGATACAAATTCTTCCATGCTCATGCCGCTTCCAGGGTATTCCACTGCACAGAGTTTGTAGCATGTTGTGGTTACTGTGCTAAATGTTTATTTCCCATGAACCCTTGAGACCTACAGCTGAATCCCAGACATGGAGCTCCTCAGCTAGAAGAGTGCACTCAAAAATGTTGATTGAATGATTGTGTATTAAATATGTGAAAAAACAGTGCATTCAAAGACATAGAGTCAGAAAAGAAGACACACTGTGGGAGAGCGAGCAGAGGAGCAGGAGAAAGGAACCTGACACTGGCAGAACTCTCCCAGGCTAGTTGTTGCTTTACGCTCTCACAGCGACTCCTCACAAATACTATTATCCTCAGTTAACAGGGGAAAGGAGGCTGTGCCTAACACAAGGTCTCAAAGTGGGTTTATGGCTATTTTTCATCTATGTCTAGTCAATTATTCAAGACACACACTTTAGGGTTTATGTAATCTTTTTTGATTTCTAGATCTTTCCAAATTGTAAAAGTTGGGAAATTGATAAAAAATGATGGAACAGGATAACAAATATTGGCAGAAGTTAAGGATGTTCATTCAAATTTTTTCCAAACTCTCATGTTCTTAATAGACTTGTAAAATGAAGCAGAAAAAGCCAAACCTATTCCTAAAATGATCTGCCTTTAAGACCATTATAACTCACAGGTAACAGTTATTTTCTCTTCCAAATTCATGGCACTTGTCTGTACCACTCATTAAAAATAATAGAGCAGTGTTTGAAGGCAGCTTTCGTGAGGTTATTTCACATCTTCTGGGTTTATGTTACGGACTGTGGTGGGTGAACGTGGCAGATGATATTAATAAGGAAAAGCCCTAAACTTCGAAGGGAATTGGGATCCAGAATATCTGAGTTCTGATGGTGGCTCCACCATTCCCTGGCTGTGTAATGTTGGGCAAATTACGACTTTGAGCCTAATGTTCCTCAACTAAAAATTGGGCATAGTGACGCTCACAGGGTTATGGAGAATCCAGTGGCATAAGATGCTTTGAAAGTGGTAAAGTTTATGAAAATATTACGTTTGTCATCAGAAAGTGCCAAGTAGTGATCTAACTTTGATTAATTGTATTTATTAACTTTCAGAGGTCCTGATGAAATAAAGCAACATTTAAGCTTTTATATAGTTATTACAGACATATTTAATTAAGGCTTGTGGTACGACCACAAGAATGCATGACCAACTCAATCTATTCAGCAAATATATTTATTGAACACCATTAGTGGCCTTGATTTGTAATGCAGAATCAAAGCAGTTCTGGATACATTTAAATTGATTAGTATATAAGATTTTTGTTTTCTATCACCCCAAAGAATGCCACTTCAAGGATCCCTGAGAGTGAAGTTAAATACATTAATTTGTGTCTGAAATGCTTACCATGGAAAAGTGGACATTTATGAATTGGGTACATTTTGCTTTATTTCTACCTTCCACCCATCTTTTCAAAGTGAGTGGAGAAGGATAAATTCTAGGGGACTACATCAAAAGTAATTAAGAGAGATTTGGGCAATAGCTCAGCAAGTTTGGGGATGGGTGTGATTCTTTAAAGAGAACAGCAAGGCCTGAGGTCTTTGCATTTGGCCATGCAGAGAACAGGGGTGGGTAGGCAGGTGGAGGAGACATGGGGCTGTGTGGGGATAGGTATGACAATGTGTCTTCTGAATGAGCATGTCTAGGACTGGCATATTGAGTCGGAGACAGGAACAATGAATGAAGGGTGCAATGAAGGGAGGTGATTTGGAATCCTGCAAATTCAGTATTGCTGGGAAATAATAGAGCCAGGTTCTAAAGCAAGGTCTGCATTTTCTCCCCAGTATCACACCACCTCTCTTTTTGTATCCTAGAATGTCCTAGAAAGAATGTATAAACTGAGCATTAATTCGCTGACCAGCATGGTTTATATGTCATGATGATTTGACATCTCTTAACACACTTTTTCATAATCTTGTTCAAGTATGACATTTCTGATTGAGTTTTGTTCTGAGGGAAAGCTTATTTTTAGAAAACACCATGATCTGCTAGTACAACTGTCCCAAAGAATCTAGAAGTAGCTTCTTTGGTGACATTTAAAAAGGCTTAAAGTGTTACCTTCACATATGGGGAAATAATTACAAAAATATTCCATTAGCCATGTAATAAATAGTGCAGAGCAATGATTAATTAAAGAGATAACTATAATTTATTCACTATCCATTAACAAGCATAATCCCATGTAAACACAAAATAACACAGGTTGAGGGAATCAGGGGAGACTCAGTGTCAACTTTGAACTGAGCAATCCTAGGAATCTACCCTTAAGGAAAAGGTAAGGAAAAAATAAAATCTTTACAACTTTAATTTGTTTCTAGTTGATTGTGTGGAGGCAATGAGTTGTTCTAGTTTCTATTTTTTACTAATATTGCAGCTTGAAAAAGTTACTTTTCAATCCCTAGTTTCTGCATCCATAAAACAGGCCCAGGAACAGTGGCTCACACCTATAATCCCAGCAGTTTGGGAGGCCAAGGCAAGAGGATCACTTGAGGCCAGGAGTTCAAGACCAGCCTGGGCAACATAGTGAGACCCTGTCTCTTCCAAAACAAACAAAAGTATAAAATAGGGCTAATGACTTATATATTTCAAGGTTGTCATAATTAAACAAAATAACTATGTGGAAGCATCTAGCGTAATTCCTTCCTTCCCTTCCTCCCTCTTTCTCAGGGAGAAAAAAAGCAGGATATAATCAAATGTTACAGAGGACTTAAAAATAGTTCAGATGAGTTTCAGAGTAGGATTAAGTCTTACATTTAAATTTTTTTGTGTGATTTAAAATCTTTAAGGATAAAGGGCTGTTATGCTACACTTTCTCCTTTTCTCCTTCTCCCACTTTTTCTTTGATTCTCTTTCATTACAGTCCCTTTCTCTCCATCTCTCCCTTCCTCCTGTTCCTTCTTCCTGGCAAGAGCTATAATATAATTTTCTTTCTTAATTGCAAACAAAATGAATGAGGTGTTTTAGTAGCCTTCTGAGGTCTTCAAAATTAGATATTTAAACATTAATGACACCACACTTGCTTGTTTTTCTGCTGCCTCATTCTTGTTCTTTTTTAATGTATTTTGCTGATTCTCTTCTCTCCAAGCCTTTATGCCCAAGACGATCCAGGGTTCTTCCCTTCATCCTCCTTTTCCCAAATCTACTCTCCTTCCTCATCCAGCATCATGACACTAAATGCATCCAAATGCTGACCACACTACAATTTCTGTCTGTAGCCTAGACCTTTCCTACATCTCCAAACCAGTAGGTTCCACTGCCGATTCAACTCCTCCACATGCCTGGCATGCTTCACATGGCCCCAGACAACCTCCTCTTCTTCCCTGAACTGTTCCTCCCACCTGTTGGCAACTCCAGCTTTCCAGTGGCTTAGGCCTAAAGCCTTGGATTTGCCCTTTATTTTTTTTCTTTAACACAATGGCATTTAATCTGTCAGGAAAGTCCTATTGGGGGAACCCACCCCCAATATTTCAATATAGGTTCTTTCTATTTTCCATAAGTGTCGGCCGGCTGAGAAATAAAGAGAAAGAGTACAAAGAGAGGAATTTTACAGCTGGGCCTCTGGGGGTGACATCACATATCGGTAGGTCTGTGATGCCTACTTGAGCTGCAAAGCCAGCAAGTTTTTATTAGGGATTTCAAAAGCGGGGGGTGGTGTACGAACAGGGAGTAGGTCACAAAGATCACATGCTTCAAGGGGCAAAAAGGAGAACAAAGATCACATGCTCCTGAGGAAACAGGACCAGGGCAAAACCAGAAACTCCTGATAGGGGTCTATGTTCAGCGGTGCACATATTGTCTTGATAAACATCTTAAACAACAGAAAACAGGGTTCGAGAGCAGAGAACGTGTGTGACCTCAAATTTACCAGGGCTGGGGTTTCCCAATCCTAGTAAGCCTGAGGGTACTGCAGGAGACCAGGGCGTATTTCAGTCCTTATCTCAATCGCATAAGACAGACACTCCCAGAGTGGCCATTTATAGACCTCCCCCGAGGAATGCAATTCTTTTCCTAGGGTCTTAATATTCCTTGCTAGGAAAAGAATTTAGTGATATCTCTCCTACTTGCATGTCTGTTTATAGGCTCTCTGCAAGAAGAAAAATATGGCTCTATTCTGCCTGACCCCGCAGGCAGTCAGACCTTATGGTTGTCTTCCCTTCTTCCCTAAAATCACTGTTATTCTGTTCTTTTTCAAGGTGCACTGATTTCATATTGTTCGAACACACATGTTTTACAATCAATTTGTATGGTTAACACAATAGTGGTCCTAAGGTGACGTACATCCTCAGCTTAGGAAGATAACAGGATTAAGAGATTAAAGTAAGACAGGCATAAGAAATTATAAAAGTATTAATTTTGGGAACTGATAGATGTCCATATTAAAATGAAATCTTCACAATTTATGTTCAGAGACTGAAGTAAAGACAGGCATAAGAAATTATAAAAGTATTAATTGGGAACTGATATATGTCCATATTAAAATGAAATCTTCACAATTTATGTTCCTCTGCCGCGGCTCCAGCTGGTCCCTCCGTTCGGGGTCCTTGACTTCCCACAACAAAGTCCTGTTAGCTTTCCTTTTAAATATATTCACAATCTCACAACCTCTCACCGCCACCATTACTACCAGCTTGATCACAGCCACCATCACTGTTTACCTGGAGTGTAGCAACAGCCCCCACACAAGTCTCCTGCTTGACCCTGTCACCTCTTCAGGATTAAATCAATGTCCTTACAATGACCTGCAAGGCCCTACATGATCTGACCCTTCTCTGACCTCCTCTCCTTAATTCTCTCTCCTCTGTTTACTGGGCTCCAGATACACTGGCTCCCTGCTGTCCCTGGAATACACTAGGCCCACTCTTGCCTCAGGCCTTTGTTCTAGCTCTTCTCTCTGCCAGGAAAGCTCTTTTCCCAGACAGCCCCATGGCTGGCTTCTTCAATTCCCTCCAGTCTGCCCAAAAATCATCTTCTCAATGAGAACTAGGCTGATCACTCATGTAAAATTGCAAACTCACCTGCCTTCTGGATTCTTTTTATTCTGTCCTGCATTTTCTTTTTCATAGCTTCTGACATACTCTATAATTTACTTATGTTTCATGTTTTTATTTATTGTCAGCTTCCTCACCCCATTGAAAACACCAATAGGGCACAAAGCTCTTCCCTCCCTTTTAACAAATATTTGATGAATGGGGTACATTTCATAGCAGTTTCTCTTTGTTGGATTTTGAAATTTTCCCAACTTCAGCCAGGATTAAATATTTAAATTGCCTTATAGGGATAAACTTCATCTGAATATTTCTGTAATGCATAATCAAGGTATTTGAGTTACAAGTGCCTTGACCTCAAGAACCTCCACAACTGACATTTGTAAGCCCCACATTCAGGTAATTCATAGTCTGTGATTCTGTGTTGTCTTGGAAGACAGAATCACAGAACCATGGGCTTTATTATCCTGCACATCCTCTTATTCAAAGCAGAAATTCCTTTTCAGGCATCCTTGGCTGGAGGCCATGCAGTCTTTGTTCTTTCATGACTAGGAACTTATGAGTTTGGAACTCAGCCCATTCTGCTTTTGGTTAGTTCTCTTTTCCCCTGTTATTGGCGCCATCTAAAGCTGAATTGACTCTTCTAGTAACCACCTCACATATTTAGGCTCATACTGAATATTGATTACTAAATCCTATAAGTTCTCAGGCTTTCTTTCTTAATCATGTGATACAGCTACTAAGAGAGCTTATGCTTATGTCATTTCAGACTGCATGAATAGAGATATACAGCTTAAACCAAGAAAGGTGATCACCCTATACTCTTCAATACTAATCAGGCCACATTGCAACATTGTTTTTAGTTCTGGATGACATATTTTGGAAGGATGTTGATAAATTGAGATATATTCAAAAAACAGAGGGTGACAAGGATGTATAAGAGCCTAGAAAGTTTATCTTCTATTAATTTATTCTGTTAAATCATTTTTTTCATTTGTCAACCAACAAAGTAGATTTATGAAATGTCTATTATATTGAAGCCATTGTGAGGGAAATAAAGTCACGACCTTTAGTTGACAACAATAGAACTAAATTTAACTAGTTAAGCAGAAAAAAAAATTTACTAAAAGTTATTAGAAGGCCCAGAGAATTTCCAGGTAAGTCAGAAAATCTGGGTTAGACATTAGGATCTATATCTAAGATGACTCCAGGGGAGACAGCTGCTGCAGCACGGAGCACAAGCACCAGATCTTGGTCCCACGCTCCTGGGCACTGAATGCCATCTCAAAACCTCTGCCCCTGCTGCCTCTGAAACCCGGATGGCTCTGCCACTGCCCTTAGTGAAATGGAATTCACATGGTGCATTTTTTTTTCCATTCCCTTCCAAATAAAAGTCCTGATTGAAGGAGCCTAAGTCATATGTAAGGAAGGCTGGGAAAGTGCGTTTCTGTCTTCTGTCTTGGACTCATAGGTAGGAAATTCTCTAAACATAGAAAAAACAGACAGAGGTGCTCAGGGCCCAAAAAGTATGCCAAATGCACTAGACTTCGAACTCTTTGAGGAAAGATACTATGCCTTATTAGAACAACATAGTGTTGCTTTGAAATCAGAAAGGGCTGGTATCTATCTAGAAATAGATCTACTCTACTTCCTAGTTTTCGGTAATTTGGAGCTATATATGTATATATATACAAAAGGAAAATAATACCTCCCTTGCAATGTGTGTGTGTGTGTGTGTGTGTGTGTGCCCATATAAAGCAGAGTGCCTGCCTATTAAATGATAGTTTTCCTGCAATATCTTTGTATTCCCATTACCAAGGATGATTCCTGGTACAAAGCATTCATTTTTTAAAAATATGAGACTGTTCGTCGAAGTCATGGTATTTGCCTTTGAGAAAAATATCAGTAGGTAGGTAATTTGTAAACCAAAAAATTCTAAAATCCAAGGTGAAATAATGTCGATCCACCGTGGATGGGGAAGTAAGTGTCCTCTGAGGTACTGATGCCTGCTTTTACCAGGAGAAACTAGAAGTAGCATCAAATAATACTTAGTCTTATTTGACTAAGAGTGACTGTAAGAGTGACTCAGTATGAACTTGATCAAGGGTAAATCACCTCCATCAATCATTCTTCTATATTCAGTTGGACACTACTAAATATTTCCAGATGGCAGACCAACTCATTAGATTATGTGGGAGAATACATTTTGTAACTAATTCCACCATGGACCAGCATCAAGTTGGGGTGTTTAATATCAGAAAGATTGTCAAGCCTTAAGTGAAACTTGTTTACATCACAGACAGTTTACACATAACATTGCTTTGAAAACCTCTGCACTCAGATAGTAGAACAATGGGGTTTTAACCAGTATATATCTGCAAGCTTGCACACCTGAAGTTGATTCATGCAGATATCCTTGAGACCCATTCTGGTGGCATTCAGGAAGCTTACTGTACTGGGAATATTGGGGAGGCCTTGGCATCTTCAGCACCCTAATAGGATAAGGGTACTCCTGCCAAGGTCCCATCTGCAAGTATGACACTTACCTCTATTACTTTGTGAAATGCTATTTTGGGAATATAGTCCATGGCTGTCATTACCAGATTTTGGGACTTCTTGGACCAGTAATAGCCACTCCTCAGGCTTGGGGGCCAATAAGGACTTGTCAAGTTCATACTGGCAAATAAAGACACTCAACAAGCAATACAAAATATAAAACTACCATATTTTCTACCATTATCACATCAAACAAAGCACTTTTAACTCCTCCCAAAGTTGGAAGGACATCATCTTAAAATAAACTATAGTTGGGCTGGGCAGGGTGGTTCATGCCTGTAAGGAATCCCAGCACCTTGGGGAGGCTGAATCTGGGAGGATTGCTTGAGACCAGGAGTTCAAAGTTACCATGAGCTATGATTGTGCCACTGGACTCCAGCCTGGGTGACCAAGCAAGGCCCTGTCTTTAAAAAAATACAACAAAATAAAGCATAATCCTATTCAAGTGAGGAAAGTGAACCAATTTGCTGTGAAATATGTATGTCTTACCCTTTTTTCCCCTCCTTTTTCTGGGGAGCAGAAAAAACTCTGTCACCACCTAGAAGCTGACTGCAGATGACATCTAGAAACTGCCAGTCTGAGGACTAGGCTGAGTATTTACTTTCCCAGAAGTTCTGTCCTTTAAGTCAGGCACCAAAAGATCCCCAAATTTGCTCGGCCTTCTCAGAATTAGCTCAATTGGGCTTTGCTTTTTCTAAAGGATTTTGCAGGAAAGTGCTGCCATGTATTGCCATTACATTTACTATAAACTATTGATGCAATGGTTGTCTATGATGCCTCAGTGGCTCCCAGGTGAAATTTCATACAAGAAATTTCCTTTTGATTTTAAAGTAAAAAAGATGATCATTGTTTCCCCAGTGGAATTTGGGTATGCTACTTTCTTTATCTGATAGTGAGAACAACTGAATTTCTTGAGTTTCCCTTTCTTGCCCTGGCCAGTAGGAGGCTCAGCATCATCTCTGATGTCTACTCATAACTACTGAATTAATCCTGTACTTCTAAATGAGAAAAAGGTGACAACCTCAAATTACCCAGAAAGCTACATTTGGAGAGTATAGGAATTTTAGTAGCAAGTCATTAAAAATTAAACTGAATACAATTTCTTCACACAGACAAATACATCCTTCTGGAGAAATCAAAGATTTCCCCAAGTTCATATTTGGGACCACATCATCTGATTATGTAGATTGTTCACAGCATGGGTATCTAGGTAAAGAGAAAAGTGGCAGCTCTGGTATAGGGTCTGTTTTTACCCAGAGGAAGTGACCTTTTTTTCTGATTAGTACCAAAGCGCAGAACGGGCAAGGAGAGGCTCGGCCCACACTTGTGCACAAGTTCATTTGCATGTACATCTCCCATTTCAGCATCTGCTCCTCTGATGTCACAATGCCACACCTAAGGATCTCATGATTTGTGAGCATGGAGCTCTCTGTGGCTACTTGGAGCCTTGCATGTGGGTAGGGCTGAGCTACATGGCTGCTTCAGTGAACTTTGGCCAAACATAGCTTTCCCTGAGTAAAATTACCATCTCCCCACTACCCCCCACCCCAACACATCTAGGCTTTAATACAGAGCCCAAGACAAGAAACAAGAGAACTACCAGAAGCAATGAAAAATTGTTAGTCAGAACTTTTGACTGATTGGTGCCTCCAGTCTCCCCCAACATGCCAGATGTACAGCTTTTTACTGTACATAGTTACATATGTGTCCTTTGCATAAAGCCTCTCTGGCTAAACTTCAATCCCTAACTATTATATATTCTGAATAAAAGTGAAACATCTCAGCATTTGCAAAAATTCAAGATTTATCAACATATTGAGCTTTTACTAAGTCATGAATTCTTGATTTGTATTCACAGAGCTTTTACATATTCATAGCCCTCTTTAGCCAAAGATCTTCAATATTCATTTACTATGGAGTGGTAAGTATATATTATTCAACTCCATTTACCAATGGGTAAACTGATGCCCAACTAAAGGCCTCATCAGAGAAACCGAATAAAGAGCAAGATGCTCTTAGCCCCGCAGAGAGAGCTTGCTCCAGCTGTCTCCCTCCAGAAATAAAGGCCCGTTGCCTGCTTGTGAGTCTCACTTCTCAAGCATTAGGGGAATCAGGATTTTTCCTTCTGGATTTGTTGAAATGTCTTGAATCGAGTTTCCTCTTAAAGCACAGGGGACAGGGGACAAAAGAATAGCCCAGGGGAAAAAAAAACACAAAAAACTAGCCCTCTTCCAAATTGCTTCAAACCCGTGATGCCAAAGGTTAATTGACCAGATTAGTTCCTCCTAAACTTGGAGGAGAACAGGTAGAAAGAATCATTCATTTGCTCCAATAACCAATTAATGACACTGATTGGGATGGAAGGGTCCTGCCTCTCCCACTTTTATTAGAGAAACAGAGGTCAATTTTCTTTATACCTTTTTAAATACAATCTATTCCTTTAGTTTCTAAGTAATTTACTGAGGATTCCAGCTATATATTTACCAGGTGCTGACTGATGGGGTGTTTAAACATAAAAACAAAATATTTCTGGCCAGACCTAGAAAATTACAAGAGACGAACTCTGAATGATCCCATGAGAGCAACCAGTCTGTAACACATATCACAAAGGAATGTCAAGCCTTATGGTTATTTTAGAAACTGTACAAATATATATTAAGCATATTTCTGCATGGAGATTACATTTTGCAATAAATGTAATTCTTTTTTTTAAAGAATGTCATTATGGGGTATTCAAAGGAAGACTGTCTCAAAGGGTTAATTATTGGGAAAATGACTATCTAGTTCCCTAAAGTGTTCATTTGAAAGCTGGTGGTCAGAAGTCAGTCTCTATTTCATCTCCAAAGTAAATAAAATAAATGTAATTTTTCAGGATTTTAACTACACAAATGTCTGTTTTTGTCAAAATGTGTTGCTCCTTAGATAGTGAGATGATGATACATGGCATTTTTTTTTATTAACACCAAGCACTAATATAAACTGAGCTCATGATATGATAAAACAGAGCTCTCCAATAGAATTTTCTGCAATAATGAAAATGTTGTACATCTATGTTGCTCAATCTGGTAGACATTCACACATGTATAGGGTTGCCTTATTTAGCAAAACAAAACAAAACAAAATTTTAAAAAGCAGGACACCTAAATTTGAATTTCTGATAAACAACATATCATTTTTAGTATACATGTGCCCTGTGCAATATTTGGCTCAATAAATGTTAGCTAATATTATTGTTATTGATAATTATTAACTCATTTTGTCAGTGTTTTACTGGAAAGGAACCTACAAAGATGTAAGATGGAAAGGGCAACAAAATAGAACTCTTTGACATGTTAATGCAAAACTGTGTAATCAGCTTCCTATAACTTGGAATAGAATGGATTGTATTTTCTTCTGAACTCTGCCTGCTTTCAATATTTAATAGTCAAAACCTTGATTACAGATCAAGATGCATCTTTAAACAGGTATTTTCTTCAGCATTAAACTGCAAACTGCATTTCCAGGATACTTCAATGTATGCAACAGGTGTGTTGCCTGAAAAGTTGCTTTAATTCAGTTTTACCTGAATCGAATAAATAAGGACTTACTCTCTGTTTAAAGGAATATGGAGAGGGGAAAATATATAGCTACACATATATATATGACAAGTTACCATATGTAACAAATAATATATAACATTTAGAACATTTTTGATATCTGTATTTAACTTATTTGGAGAATGATGTTTCAGTGAATGTCCTGGTAGGGGATAGAAGGCCCAGGATAAGTGTGTAGCCAAAGTGAGTTTAACAAAGGCCCTGTTTATAGAGGTGTAGTCAAAATTAAGGGAACCAAGAGGGATGATGGGCACATGCTGTTACCATGGGCCTGAAAGGGCCAGGGAGTGGAAGGGTAAGAGGGACTGCATGGCAGGATCCATGGCCTTAGAATATTGGTGGCAATGTAAAATCCTTGTTCCATTTCTTAATGTTTCAAACTCCTGCCAGTTTCTCCTATTGGCCCAAACCAACCTGAAGCCAGAGTGCAAAGGGGCCTGGGGGCTTAAAATTATAGAAGTCACCCTTCTGGGTGCAGAACAGGGCAGTGGAGGGTGAGAAATAATTGTGAGAGGCAGAGAATAAGCAGCACACAGGATACATACACTTTACCTTTTTAAAAAAGTCAAATCACATGTTCATGTGTGTTATGGAAATGGTCACACTAACTCCCCATTCTTCTTGTGTATGGGTTTTCATCATTGAGTTAGTTTGGGAAATTTTATGGAGAATTAAGTCAGTCTTAGAATGTCTAGTCAGCCTTGTACATATAAGGAGAGTTGAATGTTGGAGTCAAATTATTTATATGGAACACAGACAAGAATTTTGCCCTACAGTTGTATTGTGTGTGATACGAGTATTAGCCACACTAAAAGCAATTATTTTCACATGTTGCAATGTATCAAGATAACAACAGTTCTCTGTCTTATGTCTCAGGCTCATGTACAAACACTCTTTCTGTTCAGAAGGACCAGATGGTTAAAATGAAGATAATTCTCACAATAATTGGTGGTTTCTTATAAGATTTTATTGGGGGGTAATGGAATATCTAATTTGTTTATGGAAATTTGTGTTACTGAATGCTGCTATCCTTCTCATTGTATAGTACGGGAGTATTTTTCAAAATTAATAAAGAATTCTTTCCTTGGTCAGGAACTACTGCAGATATTAGATAGCAAAGGAAGTGGCCATGAATCATGGTCACAAAACTTTTAAAATTTGAGCCACTTAAAAAAAATCTACCCTGGAAACATTAAGGAAATTTCTTTGGCTTATCTACTCCCTGATACACACTTCTTATTTCGTCAGATTTTCCTTTAGAAATCATAACTCTATATAGTCCTAAAAATGTCCCCTACATAATGAAAATGTTATGGTTTATTTATTTACAGTGCCATGATTAAGTGCACAGAGGCCAGGGTGTGAGACCTTTAGTAATTTATTTAACTTCTCTCTGCATTCATGTACTCATTGTTGAAATGGTTATAATCATAGCATCAATCTCATAGAGTTGTGCAGATTTAATAAGTTAAGATTCCTGGCACTGGTACATCCTCAATAAATGTTACCTGTTATTGTTATTGAAAAATTATTATTAGTTCATTTCATTTGTGTTTGAGCAGAAAGAAAACTGTAAGTGCAAAGGGCAACAGAATCCAGTTATTTGAGGTGGTATTGGAAGATTGTGAAAATCACAGAATCCTTGAAGAGGATTGTTCTTTCTTTCTTTCTTTCTTTTTTGAGACGGAGTCTCTCTCTGTCGCCCAGGCTGGAGTGCAGTGGCGCAATCTCGGCTCACTGCAAGCTCCGCCTCCCGGCTTCACGCCACTCTCCTGTGTCAGCCTCCTGAGTAGCTGGGACTACAGGTGCCTGCCACCACGCCTGGCTAATTTTTTTGTATTTTTAGTAGAGATGGGGTTTCACTGTGTTAGCCAGGATGGTCTCAATCTCCTGACCTCGTGATCCGCCTGCCTCGGCCTCCCAAAGTGCTGGGATTACAGGCTTGAGCCACCGTGCCTGGCCTGAAGAGGATGGTTCTTAAGAGATTGCCTACTCTTGCCTCTAAAGCCAGAAAACTTCAGTAGGTCACCTATGGTCTCTTAGCTAAAATCCGGGGCCTTTCTTGCTACGATGCTGTTTCCATTCTTCCACCATGCTTCCTTTTAAGAGTGTGCTAGTTCTCACTCAAACCAGCTTGCTGATTGTTAAATTTTTAGGAATGTTGTGAGGTAATTGCTAAATACAGCCACTATTAAACATTAAATTATACAAATTTACAATTAAATAAATTTCCAACTCCACGTTTGGTGGTATCATCTTGGCAGCCTAACATTGGCTATGGTGGCGGTATTTATACTGCTGAAATTGGCAAATGCTACATTTTTTTTGAGAGATGATTGTTAAACATTTACCAGTACAGCATTGGTTGAACATTGATCCCTTTTTTTATTGCAGAAGTGAGATATTAAGTATTAAATTAAGCCGAAAACCGTTAGAAAGCTGTGCTGAACAGATGATTTCAGGGCAGTAAAATACACAGAATGGGAAATTGATTTTAACCCCTAATGAATTCTAATGAACAGCAATGCTAGAGTACTGATCTCCTGATGTTCATTGATCCCTCATGAAGGGCTGTTTAGATCAATGGGTGAGATGCTGATGGGAAATCAAGGTTTTTGTTTTGTTTTTGACCAGTGCTCTTGCTGAAAACAGCAAGCACTAGAGAGAAGTAACAAGGAAGATTTGGACTGACCACAAAAGGAGTTTATTTTCTTGTGGATCCCATGAAAGAATAATTCACAGAAGGCACACGCCATCTACAAGGAGAAAAGCAAGAGAAAAAATTATTTTTGCTGAAGCCATGAGGTCTACACGCCCAGAGCAGCAAGACTCAGGAGAGGCCTTGCAGTGTCTCTCAACCTCACTGGGTGCTTCTCTCTGGATATGAGTGTCTTCTCCTTCATTGTGGAGAGGATAGCAGGCTTTAAATAGCCAGGAACATTGAGACCTTTAATTTAATGCTACATCAAATTAATATCAAATTAATTGCCTTGTTTATCTTTATTCACATTCTACCATTTGTTCCCAAAAAAGCTGTGGTTGGACAATCTCCACAAATACTCCCCTAGGAAGGGCAGGATATCTCAGAACCATTCACAGGTGATCAAGAGTGTGTGTGTGTGTGTGTGTGTGTGTGTGCGTGCATGCACGTGCACACATGTGTACAAGTGCATTTCTTTTTTTTTTTTTTTTTGTGAGCAACATGGCTGTTTATTTCACCTGGGTGCAGGCAGGCTGAGTCCAAAAAGAGAGTCAGCGAAGGGAGATAAGGGTGGGGCCGTTTTATAGGATTTGGGTAGGTAAAGGAAAATTACAGTCAAAGGGGGTTTGTTCTCTGGCCGGCAGGAGTGGGGGTCGCAAGGTGCTCAGTGGGGGTGCTTTTTGAGCCTGGATGAGCCAGGAAAAGGACTTTCACAAGGTAATGTCATCAGTTAAGGCAAGGACTGGCCATTTACACTTCTTGTGTGGTGGAATGTCATCAGTTAAGGTGGGGCAGGGCATATTCACTTCTTTTGTGATTCTTCAGTTACGTCAGGCCATCTGGGCATATACATGCAAGTCACAGGGGATGCGATGGCTTGGCTTGGGCTCAGAGGCCTGACATTCCTGCCTTCTTATATTAACAAGAAAAATAAAACAAAATAGTGTTGAAGTGTTGGGGCGGCGAAAATTTTTGGGGGGGTGGTATGGAGAGAGAGTGGACGATGTTTCTCAGGGCTGCTTCAAGCGGGATTAGGGGCAGTGTGGGAACCTAGAGTGGGAGAGATTAAGCTGAAGGGAGGTCTTGTGGTAAGGGGTGATATTGTGGGGATGTTAGAAGAAACGTTTGTCGTATAGAATGATTGGTGATGGCCTGGATACGGTTTTGTATGAATTGAAAAACTAAATGGAATAACAGAAGGAGAAAAACAGGTATAAAAGGTCTAAGAATTGGGACGACTCAGGATATCTGATTAGAGAGTGCTTAAGGAGATTCGGCAGAGTCCTGCCAGCAAAGATTATTCATTTACTTCAAGAGTTAAGAGTGGCAGTTTGGAGATAGCACCAGGAGATATCAGCTGTGATGACTTGGAAAAACAGTGTAAACTGGCAGTGTAAACAAGAGCAGGGCATGTATGAGTAGTTGAGAATGGTGAATAGGGTGACTAGACAGAAGATAGTAAGGATGACAAGTTTTTTTTGGGGGGGGCACAGTCTAAGTTGGTCTGTTGTCTGGAATGAGACTGGGGCCTAATAAAAAGGAGCATCTATACAGGAGCTTAAGTGGGCTGTACCCTGTAGCATTCCGAGAACAGGCCTGAATTCTGAGAAGGGAAAGTGGTAGAAGTATTGTCCAGTCTTTTTTAAGTTGGTGGCTGAGCTTGGTGAGGTGTGTTTTTAAAAGACCTTTAGTCCATTCTACTTTTCTTGAAGACAGAGGACCATAAGGGATATAAAGGTTTCACTGAATACTAAGAGCTTGAAAAACTGCTTGGCTGATTTGACTAATAAAGGCTGGTCTGTTATCAGACTGTATTGAGGTGGGAAGGCTAAACTGAGGAATTGTGTCTGGCAGAAGGGAAGAAATGACTGCGGTGGCCTTCTCAGACCCTGTAGGAAAGGCCTTTACTTATTCAGTGAAAGTGTCTATTTAGACTAAGAGGTATTTTAGTTTCCTGACTCGGGCATGTTGAGTAAAGCTAATTTGCCAGTCCTGGGTGGGGGCAAATCCTCGAGCTTGATGTGTAGGGAAGGGAGGGGGCCAGAATAATCCCTGAGGAGGAGTAGAATAGCAGATGGAACACTGAGAAGTTATTTCCTTGAGGATAGATTTCCATGACGGAAAGGAAATGAGAGGTTCTAAGAGGCGGGCTAGTGGCTTGTACTATGGCATAACCTGCCTTTGCTGGTGTGTGGCGATTAGGCCTGGTGGAACCGCCATCAATAAATCAAGCGTGATCAGGGTGAGGAACAGGAAAGAAGGAAATTTGGGGAAATGGGGTGAATGTCAGGTGGATCAGAGAGATACAGTCATGGGGGTCAGGTGCGGTATCAGGAATAATGTGGGAGGCCGGATTGAAGTCCGGGCCAGGAACAACGGTAATTGTGGGAGACTCAACGAAGAGTGAGTACGGCTGAAGGAGCCGGGAAGCAGAAATTATATGCGTCAGGTATGAGGAAGAAAATAGATTTTGGAAGTTATGAGAACTGTAGAGAGTGAGTTGAGCATAGTTTGTGATTTTGAGGGCCTCTAAAACTATTAAAGCAGCGGCAGCTGCTGCACGCAGACATGAGTGCTAGGCTAAAACGGTAAGGTCAAGTTGTTTGCACAGAAAGGCTACAGGGTGCGGTCCTGGCTCTTGTGTAAGAATTCTGACTGCACTAACTATGCCTAGGAAGGAAAGGAGTTGCTGTTTTGTAAGGGATTGAGGTTTGGGAGATTAATCAGACATGATCAGCAGGGAAAGCACGTATGTTTTTACGAGAATTATGCCGAGATAGGTAACAGATGAGGATAAAATTTGGGCTTGACAGAACTAATGGGGGCTATCTATGAAGGCTTGCGGCAGTACAGCCTAGGTAATTTGCTGAGCCTAATGGGTCTCAGGGTCAGTCTAAGTGAAAGCAAAGAGAGGCTGGGATGAGGGGTGCAGGGGAATAGTGAAAAAAGCATCTTTAAGATCAAGCACGGCATAGTGAGTTGTGGAGGAAGGTATTGAGGACAAAAGAGGGTACGGGTTGGGCACCACAGGGTGGATAGGCAAAACAATTTGGTTGATAAGGCACAGCTCCTGAACTAACTTGTAAGGCTTGTCTGGTTTTAGGACAGGTAAAATGGGGGAATTGTAAGGAGAGTTTATAGGTTTTAAAAGGCCATGATGTAGCAGGCGAGTGATAACAGGCTTTAATCTTTTTAAAGCGTGCTGCGGGATGGGATATTGGCATTGAGTGGGGTAAGGGTGATTAGGTTTTAATGAGATGGTAAGGGGTGCATGATCGGTCACCAAGGAGGGAGTAGAGGTATCTTATACTTGTGGGTTAAGGTGGGGGGATACAAGAGGAGGACGCAAAGAAGGCTTTGGATTGGGCAGAAGGGCGGCAATGAGATATAACTGTAGTCCAGGAATAGTCAGGGAAGCAGATAATTTAGTTAAAGTGTCTCAGCCTAATAAGGGAACTGGGCAGGTGGGGATAACTAAAAAGGAGTGCTTAGAAGAGTATTGTCTAAGTTGGCACCAGAGTTGGGGAGTTTTAAGAGGTTTAGAAGCCTGGCTGTCAATACCCACAACAGTTATGGAGGCAAGGGAAACAGGCCCTTGAAAAGAAGGTAATGTGGAGTGGGTAGCCTCCGTATTGATTAAGAAGGGGACGGCTTTACCTTCCACTGTGAGAGTTACGTGAAGCTCGGTGTCTGTGATGGTCTAGGGGGCTTCTGAGGCAATCAGGCAGTGTCAGTCTTCAGCCGCTAAGCCGAGAAGATCTGGGAAGGAGTCAGTCAGAGAGCCTTGGGCCAGAGTTCCAGGGGCTCTGGGAGTGGCTGCCAGGTGAGTTGAACAGTCCAATTTTCAGTGGGGTCCCACACAGATGGGACGCGGCTTAGGAGGAATCCAGGGCTGCGGGCATTCCTTGGCCCAGTGGCCAGATTTCCAGCACGTGTAGCCAGCTCCTGGGGGAGGAGGTTCTGGAGGAATGCCTGGCCGTTGCGGTTCAGGCGTTTGGAAGTTCTTGTGTGCTGGAGATGTGGCTGGGGTTTGTCTCACAGTGGAGGCAAAGAATTGCAACTTTTTTCTGTTATTGTACACCTTGAAGGTGAGGTTAATTAAGTCCTGTTGTGGGGTTTGAGGGCCAGATTCCAGTTTTTGGAGTTTTATTTAATGTCGGGAGCAGATTGGGTAATAAAATGTATATTGAGAATAAGACGGCCTTTTGACCTTTTAGGGTCTAGGGCTGTAAAGCGTCTCAGGGTTGCTGCCAAAGGAGTCATGAACTGGGCTGGATTTTTATATTTGATGAAAAAGAGCCTAAACGCTTCTGATTTGGGATAAAGAAAAAGGAGCATTAACCTTGACTATGCCTTTGGCTCCAGCCACCTTTTTAAGAGTAAATTGCTGGGCAGGTGGGGGAGGGCTAGTCATGGAATGAAACTGTAAGCCGGACCAGGTGTGAGGAGGGGAGGTGATAAAAGGATTATAGGGTGGAGGAGCAGAGGCTGAGGAAGAATTGGGACCTAGCTCGGCCTTGCAAGGAGCAGCCTGGGGAGGAAGGGAGAGGTCAGATGGGTCTGTAGAAAAGGAAGATTAGAAAGACTCAGCGATGCTTGGGGTTGGTACTGAGGGGACAGGCGGGAGGGAAAGAAGGAAGATTTGGGACGAGTTGCACTGGGCACAGAGACTAGGAAGGGACTGATGTGTAAAAGAATGCCTGGACGTCAGGCACCTCAGACCATTTGCCCATTTTATGACAAGAATTATTTAGATCTTGTAGGATGGAAAAATTGAAAGTGCCGTTTTCCGGCTATTTGGAACCACTGTTGAGTTTGTACTGGGGTCAAGTGGCATTGCAGAAGAAAATAAGGCATTTAGGCTTTAGGTCAGGTGTGAGTTGAAGAGATTTTAAGTTTTTGAGAACACAGGCCAAGGGAGTAGAAGGAGGAATGGAGGGTGGAAGGTTGCCCATAGTGAAGGAAGCAAGCCTAGAGAAAGAGAGAGTAGAGAAACGGAGGGAAGGGGTTCGTGGGTTCTTACCTTCTAGAAAAGTGGGAAAAGGGGTTGGGGCGCAGAGATAAGAGGCCGGGGTGTGGAAATAAGGGATTGGGGTGCAGAGATAAGAGGTTGGGGCACAGAAATAAGGGACTGGGGTGCAGAGATAAGAGGTTGGGGCATGGAAATAAGGGATTGGGGGTTCTTGCCCCATAGAAAAGCAGGACTTGCCACTAAGGGTGAAGGAGAAGGGGTTGAGGGGTACTGCCCCTCTCCCAGAAAAGCAGAGAAAGAGTAGAGACAAGGAGAGAAGGGGTTGGGGTACTTGCCCCTTCCCCAGAAAAGCGGGACTTCCTGCTAAGGGTGAAGGACCAAGGCAGGCGTCCCTGCGTGGTCTGACACCCTTGAAACATGGGTGTATAATCAGAAAGGCATCCCTGCAATGATTAAACACCAAGGGAAGGCTGCCTTCCCAGTCCGTGACCGGCACCGGAGTTTTGGGTCCACGGATAAAACATGTCTCCTTTGTCTCTCCCAGAAAATGAAAGGAATTGAAATTAAGAGAAGGGAGAGATTGAAGAGTGGAAAGGAGAAAGTGATTGAGGTTGGAGTGGTGAGTGAGAGAGGTTGGAGAAGAGAGTAAGAAGAGGCCACTTACCTGATTTAAAATTGGTGAGATGTTCCTTGGGCTGGTTGGTCTGAGGACCTGAGGTCATAGGTGGATCTTTCTCACAGAGCAAAGAACAGGAGTACAGGGGATTGATCTCCCAAGGGAGGTCCCCCGATCCGAGTCACGGCACCAAATTTCATGCGTGTCCATGTGAAGAGACCACCAAACAGGCTTTGTGTGAGCAACATGGCTGTTTATTTCACCTGGGTGCAGGCGGGCTGAGTCCGAAAACAGAGTCAGCACAAGTGCATTTCTATTAAGATTCATTTTTTGTTAGTCCTCATCCTTTAAATATCTTTTTTCAAATTTTCTGTCTATAATCTGAGTGAAGTTAGAATGGGAACTACAGAGAATCAGTCAAGAGTGTGAGGCAGACCAAGGAACAGATGTTCCTGGTGGATGGATCTAGAAAGACTTGTGACTCAAAACAATTGAACGGCCCCAGAGCCAGTGTATCACTGAAGGGATACACAGAGCCAGGGAGATCTGGCTGTAGCAGCAGGACTTCAGCCATGAGATGGGTGCAGAGGCAGGATTCCAGTCCCTGGGAGAACTGGTCAGGAGAAGGCAGGTTCTGGTATTGGTGGGATGGGATTGGGGTGATTCATTATGACAGCCTGTGCCCTGAAATCTGACTCTCCAGTTAGAATCCTCTATTAGGCATAACAGCTCTCTGTACCTCAGTTTCCACATATGTAAAATGGGAATAATAATTTGTACCTACATTATAGTTTTTTTGTGAGAATTAATACATGTAAATTTCTTCTGAAAGTGATTGGCTATTATAATTATTATTACTTGCTATTTGATGAGCACCGTGCCAGGTATTTTACATGCATTATGGCCTCTAGTTTTCCAAAAATTTTATGAATTTAGAAATGTGTTCAACTCTGAAATAGAAAAAGCTCGAAAGTCATCAGACCAATGTTTCAGAGCCAGAAAAAAGCTAAACGCGCTAAAGTATTAATTACTTTTCTTAGATCCACCAGAAAATTGAGGTCACAGGGCAAACCTGGGAAGTGCAAAGGGCAACAGAATCCAGTTATTTTAGGTGGTATTGGAAGATTGTGAAATCACAGAATCCTTGAAGAGGATGGATCATAACTGGGAAGAGGAGAATACAGAGAATCACAGCCCAGATGAAGTTACTGAGAGCAGAAGGCACTGGAGCCAGTAGCTAGGAGGGACACTTTAATAATGTGACCAATTGCTGAAGGCTGAGTATAGACTAGCCTGAGAGTTACACACTCCTGGAGGCCCAGCCTTGGGGTGGGGGTGAGGAGTTTGGGTGTGGGGAGAGGATCCACTTTTGTGAGTTTTACTTTTAAGAGCTTCAGGAGGTTCTCATAATGAAGATGGGGAAAATTTTCCCTCATACTTCCAGCAGAAAGAGAGGGCAAGTAACTGTTTGAAATATGCCCAGAGCATTCTTCATAACACAGGCCTGCCCTTCCAGGGATTATTTTACTAGAGCCTTATCTGACCTGCATAAGGGCAATTAGACAACTCCAGCCCACTATAGCCTTTCTGTCTCACATAACTGCAGAAAAAAAATAAAGCGAAAAAATGCTTATGAATATCACAGCTCAGGAACTCAAGATCACTAAGATAATTGAGATTTAAACAAAAAACTATAGGATGTTTCCCCTCTCCAACAACTTGCAATTATATCACTGGGACACTGGTATAATAACAGTAGTTTACAACTGAGAATGCTGTAAGACATAGGCTCTATTTAAGAAGGAGTTCTTCGGGACTGTTCCAAGATGGCCAAATAGGAACAGTTCCGGTCTGCAGCTCCCAGCGTGACCAATGCAGAAAGCAGATGATTTCTGCATTTCCAATTGAGGTACCTGGTTCATCTCATTGGGACTGGTCAGAAAGTGGGTGCAGCCCACGGAGGGTGAGTCAAAGCAGGGTTTGGCATCACCTCACCTGGGAAGTGCAAGGGGTTGGGGATTTCCCTTCCCTAGCCAAGGGAAGCCTTGACAGACTGTACCGGGAAAATCAGGACCCTGCCACCTAAATACTGCACTTTTCCAACAGTCTTAGCAAATGGCACACCAGGAGATTATATCCCGCTCCTGGTTCAGTGGGTTCCACACCCACGGAGCCTTGCTCACTGCTAATCCGAGATCGAACTGTGAGATAGCAAGCCTGGCTGGGGAAGGGGCGTCTGCCATTGCTGAGGCTTGAGTAGGTAAACAAAAGTGGCCAGGAAGCTCGAACTGGGTGGAGTACACCGCAGCTCAATGAGGCCCACCTGCCTCTGTGGACTCCACCTCTGGGGGCAGGGCATAGCTGAATAAAAGGCAGCAGAAACTTCTGCAGACTTAAACATCCCTGTCTGACAGCTATAAAGAGAGCAGTGGTTCTCCCAGTATGGTGTTTGAGTGCTGAGAATGGACAGACTGCCCCTCAAGTGTGTCCCTGACCCCCGTGTAGCCTAACTTGGAGACACTTCCCAGTAAAGGCTGACTGACATCTTATACAGCCAGGTGCTCCTCTGAGACAAAGCTTCCAGAGGAAGGATCAGGCAGCAATATTTGCTGTTCTAAAGCCTCCGCTGGTGACACTCAGGCAAATAGGGTCTGGACTGCACCTCCAGCAAACTCCAACAGACCTGCAGTTGAGGGACCTGACTGTTAGAAAGAAAACTAACAAACAGAAAGGAATAGCATCAACATCAACAAAAAGGACATCCACACCACAACCCCATCTGTAGGTCACCATCATCAAAGACCAAAGGTAGATAAAACCACAAGATGGGGAGAAACCAGAGCAGAAAACCTGAAAATTCTAAAAACCAGAGTGCCCCTTCTCCTCCAAAGGATTACAGCTCCTCACCAGCAATGGAACAAAGCAGGACAGAGAATGATGTTGACAAGTTGACAGAAGTAGGCTTCAGAAAGTTGGTAATAACAAAATTCTCCAAGCTAGAGGAGGATGTTTGAATCCATCACAAGGAATCTAAAAACCTGGAAAAAAGATTAGACGAACAGCTAACTAGAATAAACAGTGTAGAGAGGACCTTAAATGACCTGATGGAGCTGAAAACCATGGCACGAGAACTACGTGATGCACGCACAAGCTTCAGTAGCCAATTCAATCAAGTGGAAGAAAGGGTATCAGTGATTGAAGATCAAATTAACGAAATAAAGTGAGAAGAGAAGTTTAGAGAAAAAAGAGTAAAAAGAAATGAACAAAGCCACCAAGAAATATGGGTCTATGTGAAAAGACCAAATCTACATTTGACTGGTGTACCTGAAAGTGACAGGGAGAATGGAACCAAGCTGGAAAACACTCTTCAGAATATTAACCAGGAGAACTTCCCCAACCTAGCAAAGCAGGCCAACATTCAAATTCAGGAAATACAGAGAACACCACAAAGATACTCCTCAAGAAGAGCCACCCCAAGACACATAATTGTCAGATTCACCAAGGTTGAAATGAAGGAAAAAATGCTAAGGGCAGCCAGAGAGAAAGGTCGGGTTACCAACAAAGGGAAGCCCATCAGACTAACAGCTGATCTCTTGGCAGAAACTCTACAAGCCAGAAGAAAGTGGGGGCCAATATTCAACATTCTTAAAGAAAAGAATTTTCAATCCAGAATTTCATATCCAGCCAAATTAAGCTTCATAAGTGAAGGAGAAATAAAATCCTTTACAGACAAGCAAATGCTGAGAGATTTTGTCACCACCAAGCCTGCCTTACAAGAGCTCCTGAAGGAAGCACTAAACTTGGAAAGGAACAACTGGTACCAGCCACTGAAAAAACATGCCAAATTGTAAAGACTGTAGATGCTAGGAAGATACTGCACCAACTAACGGACAAAATAACCAGCTAACATCATAATGAGAGGATCAAATTCACACATAACAATATTAACCTTAAATGTAAATGGGCTAAATGCTCCAATTAAAAGACACAGACTGGCAAATTGGATAAAGAGTCAAGACCCATCAGCGTGCTGTATTCAGGAGACCCATCTCACGTGCAGACACACACATAGGCTCAAAATACAGGGATGGAGGAAGATCTACCATGCAAATGGAAAGAAAAAAAAAGCAGGGGTTGCAGTCCTAGTCTCTGATAAAACAGACTTTAAACCAACAAAGATCAAAAGAGACAAAGAGGGCCATTACATAATGGTAAAGGGATCAATTCAACAAGAAGAGCTAACTATCCTAAATATATATGCACCAATACAGGAGCACCCAGATTGATAAAGCAAGTCATGCGAGACCTAAAAAGAGACTTAGACTCCCATACAATGATAATGGGAGACTTTAACACCCCACTGTCAATATTAGAGAGATCAATGAGACAGAAGGTTAACAAGGATATCCAGGACTTGAACTCAGCTCTGCACCAAGCAGACCTAATTGACATCTACAGAACTCTCCACCCCAAATCAACAGAATATACATTCTTCTCAGCACCACATTGCACTTATTCCAAAATTGACCACATAGTTGGAAGTAAAGCACTCCTCAGCAAATGTAAAAGAACAGAAATCACAACAAACTGTCTCTCAGACCACAGTGCAATCAAATTAGAACTCAGGATTAAGAAACTCACTCAAAACTGCACAACTACATGGTAACTGAACAACCTGCTCCTGAATGACTACTGGGTAAATAAGGAAATGAAGGCAGAAATAAAGATGTTCTTTGAAACCAATGAGAACAAAGACACAACGTACCAGAATCTCTGGAACACATTTAAAGCAGTGTGTAGAGGGAAATTTATAGCACTAAATGCCCACGAGAGAAAGCAGGAAAGATCTAAAATTGACACCCTAACATCACAATTAAAAGAACTAGAGAAGCAAGAGCAAACAAATTCAAAAGCTAGCAGAAGGCAAGAAATAACTAAGATTAGAGCAGAACTGAAGGAGATAGAGACACAAAAAAACCCTTCAAAAAATTAATGAATCCAGGAACTGGCTTTTTTTTAAAAGGTCAACAAAATTGATAGACCACTAGCAAGACTAATAAAGAAGAAAAGAGAGAAGAATCAAATAGACACAATAAAAAAATGATAAAGGGGATATTACCACCAATCCCACAGAAATACAAACGACCATCAGAGAACACTATAAACACCTCTACACAAATAAACTAGAAAATATAGATGAAATGGATAAATTCCTGGACACATACAGCCTCC
This sequence comes from Homo sapiens, assembly GCF_000001405.40. Classification (NCBI taxonomy): domain Eukaryota; kingdom Metazoa; phylum Chordata; class Mammalia; order Primates; family Hominidae; genus Homo; species Homo sapiens. The sequence continues at coordinate 199,242,315 of NC_000002.12, read as the reverse complement.
CAAGACTAAACCAGGAAGAAGCTGAATCTCTGAATAGACCATTAACAGGCTCTGAAATTGAGGCAATAATTAATAGCCTACCAACCAAAAAAAGTCTAGGACCAGAAGGATTCACAGCCGAATTCTACCAGAGGTACAAAGAAGAGCTGGTACCATTCCTTCTGAAACTATTCCAATCAACAGGAAAAGAGGGAATCCTCCCTAACTCATTTTATGAGGCCAGCATCATCCTGATACCAAAACCTGGCAGAGACACAACAACAAAAAAATTTTAGACCAATATCCCTGATGAACATCAATGCAAAAATCCTCAATAAAATACTGGCAAACCGAATCCAGCAGCACATCAAAAACCTTATCCACCAAGATCAAGTTGGCTTCATCCCTGGGACGCAAGGCTGGTTCAACATATGCAAATCAATAAACGTAATCCATCACATAAACAGAACCAAAGACAAAAACCACATGATTATCTCAACAGATGCAGAAAAGGCCTTTGACAAAATTCAACAGCGCTTCATGCTAAAAACTCTCAGTAAACTAGGTATTGATGGGATGTATCTCAAAATACTAAGAGCTATTTATGACAAACCCACAGCCAATATCATACTGAATGGGCAAAAACTGGAAGCATTCCCTTTGAAAACTGGCACAAGACAGGGATGCCCTCTCTCACCACTCCTATTCAACATAGTGTTCGACAATCTGGCCAGGGAAATCAGGCAATAGAAAGAAACGGTATTCAGTTAGTAAAAGAGGAAGTCAAATTGTCCCTGTTTGCAGATGACATGATTGTATATTTAGAAAACCCCTTCATCTCAGCCTAAAATCTCCTTAAGCTTATAAGCAACTTCAGGAGTCTCAGGATACAAAATCAATGTGCAAAAATCACAAGCATTCTTATACACCAATAACAGACAGAGAGCCAAATCATGAGTGAACTCCTATTCACAATTGCTACAAAGAGAATAAAATACCTAGGAATCCGACTTACAAGAGATGTGAAGGACCTCTTCAAGGAGAACTACAAACCACTGCTCAATGAAATAAAAGAGGATACAAACAAATGGAAGAACATTCCATGCTCATGGGTGGGAAGAATCAATATCATGAAAATGGCCATACTGCCCAAGATAATTTATAGATTTAATGCCACCCCCAACAAGCTACCAATGACTTTCTTCACAGAATTGGAAAAAACTACTTTAAAGTTCATATGGAACCAAAAAAGAGCCCACGTTGCGAAGACAAACCTAAGCCAAAAGAACAAAGCTGGAGGCATCATGCTACCTGACTTCAAACTATACTACAAGCCTACAGTAACCAAAACAGCATGGTACTGGTACCAAAACAGAGATATAGACCAATGGAACAGCACAGAGGCCTCAGAAATAACACCACATATCTACAACCATCTGATCTTTGACAAACCTGACAAAAACAAGAAATGGGGAAAGGATTCCCTATTTAATAAATGGTGCTGGGAAAACTGGCTAGCCATATGTAGAAAGCTGAAACTGGATCCCTTCCTTACACCTTATACAAAAATTAACTCAAGATGGATTAAAGACTTAAATGTTAGACCTAAAACCATCAAAACCCAAAAGAAAACCTAGGCAATACCATTCAGGACATAGGCATGGGCAAGGACTTCACGACTAAAAGCAATGGCAACAAAAGCTAAAATAGACAAATGGGATCTAATCAAACTAAAGAGCTTCTGCACAGCAAAAGAAACTACCATCAGAGTGAACAGGCGACCTGCAGAATGGGAGAAAATTTTTGCAATCTGCCCATCTGACAAAGGGCTAATATCCAGAATCTACAAAGAACTTAAACTAATTTCCAAGAAAAAATCAAACAACCCCATCAAAAAGTGGGCAAAGGATTTGAACAGATGCTTCTCAAAAGAAGACATTCATGCAGCCAATAGACACATGAAAAAATGCTCATTATCACTGGCCATCAGAGAAATGCAAATCAAAACCACAATGAGAGACCATCTCACACCAGTTAGAATGGCAATCATTAAAAAGTCAGGAAACAACAGGTGCTGAAGAGGTTGTGGAGAAATAGGAACACTTTTACACTGTTGGTGGGACTGTAAACTAGTTCAACCATGTGGAAGACAGTGTGGCGATTCCTCAAGGATCTAGAACTAGAAATACCATTTGACCCAGCGATCCCATTACTGACTATATACCCAAAGGATTATAAGTCATGCTACTATAAAGACACATGCACACATATGTTTATTGCGGCATATTCACAATAGTGAAGAGTTGGAACCAACCCAAATAGCCATCAGTGATAGACTGGATTAAGAAAATGTGGCACATGTACACCATGGAATACTTTGCAGCCATAAGAAAGGATGAGTTCATGTCCTTTGTAGGACATGGATAAAGCTGGAAACCATCATTCTGAGCAAACTATCACAAGGACAGAAAACCAAACACTACATGTTCTCACTCATAGGTGGGAATTGAGCAATGAGAACACTTGGACACAGAGCGCGGAACATCACACATTGGGGCCTGTCATGGGGTGGAGGAATGGGGGAGGGATAGAATTAGGGGAAATACCTAATGTAAATGACCAGTTAATGGGTGCAGCAAACCAACATGGCACATGTATACATATGTAACAAACCTGCACATTGTGCACATGTACCCTAGAACTTAAAGTATAATAATTAAAAAAAAAAGTAGTTCTTAGGGAAACCCAAGGTATAATAGGTAAGAGGAGGAAAAAACTAAAAACTAGAGGAAACCAAACCCTCTGGGAACCTATAGCTACAGAAAACATTAAACACAGCCCAGTTGGTAGCTAGATTGCATAAAAACTCATACTGAAAGCCTGTTGCTTTGATGCCTATTGTCAGATACATCATGTCCTGCTTTCAACAAAAAAAATCACAAGACATGCCAAACTACAAGAAGAAATACAACCTAAAGAAAAAAAGTTAATATTGAAACTAGGCTCACATGTGACACAGATTTTGGAATGTTTAGATAAAAAATTTAAAATATTTACGACTAATACATTAGGAGTTCTAGTGGAAAAAGTGGACAGCATGCAAAAGCAGATAGGTGAGATAAACAGAGATGGAAACTCAAAGAAAGAATCAAGGGAAATCTAGAAATCAAAAACACTGCAACAGAAATGAAGAATGCCTCTCCTGAGCTTATCAGTAGACTATATATGACCTAAGGAAAAGACTCAGCAAACATGAAGATTTGTCCATAATAACTTTGCAAACTAAAATGCAAAGAGAAAAAAAGAATTTAAAAAAGAACAGAATATCCAAGAATGTGAGACGATTACAAAAAGCGTAACATAAGCCTAGTGGGAATTTCAGAAGGAGACAAAAGGGGTAAAGAATGAGAAAAAAATAATAGCTGAGAATTTTCCAAAATTTTTGACAGAGACCAAACCACAGATCCAGAAAATCAGAGAACACCTAGCAAGATAAATACCAAAATTCTATACCTAGGCATATTATATTTAAACTGCAGAAATCCAAAGACATATAGAAAGTCTTAAGAACAGCCAGAAAAAAGTTTAAAATCCTATCTATAGAGGAATGGTAAAAATTATATTAGACTTTTCACCAAGTCATGCAAACAAAAACAGAATGGAGTGAAATGTTTAGTGTTAAAAGCAAAAACAAAACAACAACAACAACAACTACAAAAACCAGCCTAGAATTCTGTCTAGTGAAATCATCCTTCAAAGGTGAATGAGAAATAAAGACTTTTTCTGATAAAAACTGAAAAAAGTTGTCAGCAGTAGACTCATCTTGCAAGAAATACTTGAATTATTCAGGGAGAACTAAAACAGTCTGGAGCAGAAATTCATATCTGCAGAAAGGAAAGCATATTATCAGAGAATAAATAAATGAAAGTGAAATAAAATCTTATTATTATCACTCTAGTAGATACTTTTTTGTTCAAACTAATAATAGCAACAATGTGTTGGGGGATTACAGCTTATAGATAAAGGAAACAAATTACAGTGATGTTATGGTGAATGAGAGGAGGGAATTGGGAATCCTCTGTTATAAGGTACCTATAATAACTGTGAAGTCATACAGTGTTACTTGAAAGTGGACTTAGATTAGTTGTAAATTATTTGACAAACTCTAGGGTAGCCACTAACATTTTTTAAAAAAGAAGTGTAATTGATACACAAAAAAAGAGAGAGGTTGAAATTATATAAAATGTTCAATTAAAAACAAAAAAGACAGAAAAAGAAAGGCATATTTTAAAAAGAAATGAACAAGTGTAACAAACAGATAAAAGTTACAAATGTGGTAGATATTAATTGAATGTATTAGTTCATTTTCACACTGCTGATAAAGACATAGCTGAAACTGGGAACAAAAACAGGTTTAATTGGACTCATAGTTCCACATGGCTGGGAAGGCCTCAGAATAATGGCAGGAGGTGAAAGGCACTTCTTACATGGCGGCAGCAAGAGAAAAACGAAGAGGAAGCAAAAGCAGAAACCCCTGATAAACACATAAGGTCTCATGAGACTTATTCACTATCATGAAAATAGCATGAGATTCAATTACCTCCCCCTGGGTCACTCCCACAACACATGAGAATTCTGAGAGACATAATTCAAGTTGATATTTGATGGGAACACAGCCATACCATATCATCCAAGTACAATTATTTGTCACGTGATGGGAAGACATGTTGAGAAATGCATCATTAGGTAATTTTATTTTGTACAAACTTCATAGAGTGTATTTACATAAACTTAGTTGCTATGGCCTACTAAACACATAGGCTGTATGGTATAGCCTATTGCTCCTAAGCTACAAACCTGCACAGTGTGTTATTATGCTGAATAATGTAGGCTATTTTAACACAATGCATGTGGGGCTTAATACCTAGTTGGTGGGTTGATAGGTGCAGCAAATCACTGTAGCAGCACATATTTACCTGTGTAACAAAACTGCACTTCCTGCACATGTATCCCAGAACTTAAAATAAAATAAAATTTTAAAAAATACTTAAATATAGAAAAAGTACAGTAAAAATATGATATAAAAGATAAAAAAGTTGTACATCTGTATATGGCAGCCCCATTACAATTATATGGAACCATTGTCATGTATGGGGTCCATAGTATATATCAATAATCCTCTTAAATATGAATGGTCTAAATATACCAAGGGACAGACTGTCAAAGTAGATAGATAAATAGACTCAACTATATATTGTCTACAAGAAACTCATGTAAAATAGACAGATTCAAAGTAAAGGAATGAAGAAAGATATATCATGCTAACACCAGTCAAAAAAAAAAGTGGGAGTCACTACATTTCAGGCAAAGCAGACTTTAAAACAAATAAGATATTCAGGGATCAAGAGAAATATAATTATAAAAGTGGCAATTCTCCAAGAAGACATAACAATCCTTAATGTAGATGCATCTAACAAGAGAACAAAAACAGTTTTGAGACCAAAAACTGATAGAATAGCAAGGATCAATAGACAGATCTAATGTCACAGCTGAAGATTTCAATACCGTTCTATCAGTAAATAATAGATCCACTAGGTAGAAAATCAGTAAGGACATAATTGAACTCAACAATACTATAAGTCAACTGGATATAATGAACATTTATAGACTTAATCCAACAACGGCAGAATACACATTCTTCTCATGCTCACATGGAACATTCCCCAAAATAGACCACATTCTGGGCCATAAAACACATCTTAACAACTTAAAGAATAGAAATCATACAAAGTATGTTCTCAAAACACAATGAAATTAAACAAAAATCAACAACAGAAAGATAGCTGGAAACTCCCACGATATTTTGAAATTAAACAATACATTTCTAAATAACAAATGAATCAGAAGAAGTCTCAAAATAAATTTTAAAACATTGAACTAAATGAAAATGAAAACACAACTTATCAAAATGTGTGGAATGCAGTGGACGTACTGCTTAAAGGGAAATTTATAGCACGTGACTGAATATTTTAGAAAAGAATAAAGATATAAATCTAAGCTTCCACTTTAGGAAACCAGAGAAAGAAGAACAATATAAACTTAAAGCAGCAGAAGAAAAAAATAATAACAATTAGAACAGAAATCAATGAAGTTGAAAACAGGAAATCAATAGAGAAAACCAACCAAACCAAAAGCTGGTTGTTTTAAAAGATCAGTAAAGTTAATAGATTTCTTGCCAGGGTGGCCACGATAAAAAGAAGATGCAAGTTACTAAAGTTAAGATGAAAGAGGCGTAATTACCATTGATCCCATATAGATTAAAAGTATAATAAAAGAATATTATGCACAACTGTATGTCCACAAATTTGGTAACTTACATGAAATGGACCAATTCCTCAAAAGATGCAAACTACCAAAACACACAGAAAAAATAGATAATCTCAATAGCCTAATATCTACTAAACATACTAAGTCAATAATCAATAACCTTCCAAAAAAGAAAGCACCCAGATGGTTTCATAGGTAAGCTCTTCTAAACTAGGAAAAAATGATACACATTCTATATAATCTCTTCCAGGAAACAGAAACAGAGGGAATACTTTCTAACTCAGCTATGAAGTCAGCATTACCTTTATACCCAAACCAGATACAGACATTACAAGTAAGGAAAGCTCCAGAGCAATATCTCTCATATGCATAGATGTGAAAATACTCAACAAAACAGTACCAAATCAAATCCAATGATATATACAAAGAATTATACACTATGCCTACATAGAATTATTTCAGGTATACAAGGCTGGTTCAATATTTAAAAATCAATTAATGTAAGTCATCATATCCACAGGCTAAGAAAGAAAAATCATATAATATCAATAGATGCAAGAAAGGTGCTTAACAAAATTCAACACCCAGTCATGATTAAAAAAAAAAAAAAAAAACCTCTCAGCAAATTAGGAATAGAGAGGGGTTTATTCAACTTGATAAAGACCATCTACAAAAAACCTGTATTTAACATAATTGTAAGAAACTAGATGCTTTCCCCCTAAGATCTGGAACAACACAAGAATGTCCCTTCTCACTACTCCTGTTCAAATTCATACCAGAAGTCCTAGCAATAAGAAAAGAAAAGGTATACAGATTGGGGAGGAAGACATAAAACCTCCTTCGCAGATGAGAGACACAATTGTCTATGTGGAAAATTCCAACAAATGGGCCAAAAAACTCCTGGAACTACTAAGCCATTAAAGAAAGGTTGCAAGATACAAGGTCAATTTTCAAAAATCAATTCTTTTCCATATACTGTACAAGGAATGAACAACTGGAATAGGAAATTAAAACACAGTATCATTCTCATTAGCCTCCTCCATCCCATGAACCCCCTCCCTCTGTAAAATCTGACAAAATATTTACAGAAGCAATATAAGGAAAAAGACAAAACTCTGATAAAGAAGTCAAAGATTTAAATAAACGGAGAGCTGTTTCCTGTTTATGCACAGGAAGACACAATATTGTTAAGATGTCAACTCTTCCCAACTAGATTTATAGATTCAGTGTAATCCAAATAAAATTCCATTGTTATTTCGCAGAAACTGAAACACTGATTTTAAAGTTTATGTGGAAGACAGAAGATCCATTATAGCCAATACAATATTGAAAGAGAAAAATAATCTGGAAGACTGACACTACTTAACTTCAATACTTATTATAAACCTACAGCAATCAAGATGGTATGATAATGGCAAAAGAATAGACAAATAGATCAACGGAACAGGATAGAAAAGCTTATAATTTGACCCGCACAAATATAGTTAACTGATATTTCACAAAGGAGCAAAGTCAAGTCAATGGAAAAATAGTGTTTTCAATTTGATACAGGAACAATTGGACATCACATGCAAACAAACAAACAAAAAACAATCTAGACAGAGGGCTTTTACCTTCCACAAAATCAACTCAAATGTATAATAGGCCTAAGTATAAAACACAAAACTATAAAACCAACATATAACATATAACTGAAGATACCATAGGAAAATATCTAGGTAATCTTGGTTTTGATGATGAGTTTTTAGATGTAACACCAAAAGTATGATTCATGGAAGAAAAAATTGATAAGTTGGACTTTATTTAAATTAAAAGCTTGTGCTCTGCTAAAGACACTGTTAAGAGAATAAAGCAACAAGTCATAGACTGGGAGAAAGTATCTTAAAATCAAATATAAATAAAGACTTTTACCAAAATATTAAAATAACTCTTAAAACTCACAATAAGAAAAGAACCCAACTGGAAACTAGATAAAAGAGCTGAACAGATACATCATCAAAGAAGATACACAGATGGAAAGTAACATATAAGAAATGCACCACATCATATGTGACTAAGGAATTGCAAATTAAAGCAGCAATGAGATGCTACTACACACCTACTAGAATGCCCAAAATCTAAAGCACTCACAATACCAATTGTTGGAGAGAATGAGTGGCAGTAAGAGCTTCCATTCATTGCTGGGAGGAGTGCAAAATGGTAGAGCCACTTAGGAAGGCAGTTTGGCAGTTTCTTATAAATGTAAACATAATCTTACCATATACCTGCTCCTAGGTATTTACCCAGTTGAGTTGAAAACTTATTTCCACATAAAACCTACACATGTGTATTTTAGCAGCCTTATTCATAATTGCCCAAACTTGGAAGCAATTGAGATGTCCTTCAATAGATAAATGGATAAACAAACTGTGGGACATCCCTACGATGGAATCTTATTCAGTGATTAAGAGAAATGAGTTATCAAGTCACAAAAAGATATGAAGAAACTTTAAATGAATATTGCTAAGTGAAAGAAATCAGTCTGAAAGGCTACTTCCTGTATTATTCCAACTACGTGACACTCTGAAAAAGGCAAAACTATAAAGAGAATAAAAAGACCAGTAGTGAGTGAACCTTAATGTAAACTATGAACTTCACTTTATAATATATATTAATATTATTTTATTAATTGTCACAAATGCACCACACTAATGCAAGATGTTACTAATGGAAGAATGTGAGTACAGGGGAGAAGTATATAAGAGCATTCTGTATTTTCTGCTACATTTTTCTGTAAATCTAAAACTATTTTAAAACCAAAGTTTATTATATTTTTAAAAGAAATATGTTAATTTCACAGATGAGAATCTAAGGCTTGGGGCTCAAAAAGATAAAGTAGCTTGATGAAAGCCACTCTGGGAACAATTGCTGTGGAAGTAGATTACTGAGGTGAGAACTCAGGACAGAGGCTCAAAATAGAGACTAGTTTTCTTCAGACTTAAACCAACAAAGATCAGAAAAGACAAAGAAGGGCATTACATAATGGTAAAAGGTTCAATTCAACAAGAAGAGTTAACTATCTTAAATATATATGCATCCAATACAGGAGCAACCAGATTCATAAAGCAAGTTCTTAGAGACATTTAAAGACACTTAGACTCCCACGAAATAATAGTGGGAGACTTTAACACCCATTAACAATAATAGACAGATCATTGAGAAAGAAAATTAAAAAAGATATTCAGGACCTGAGCTCAGCTCTGGATCGAATGGACCCGATAAATATCTACAGAACTCTCTACCCCAAAACAACCAAATATATATTATTCTCACCACATAGCACTTACTCTAAAATCAATCACATAAACGGAAATAAAACACTCCTCAGCAAATGCAAAAGAACTGAAATCATAACAAACAGTCTCTCAGACCATGGCACAATCAAATAAGAATTCAAGATGAAGAAATTCACTCAAAACCATACCATTACATGGGAACTTAATAACCTACACCTGAATGACTTTGGGGTAAATGATGAAATTAGGGCAGAAATGAAGAAGTTCTTCGAAACGAATAAGAGCAAAGATACAATGTACCAGAATCTTTGAGACACAGCTAAGGCAGTATTGGGAAAGAAATTTATAGCAAGATATGCCCACATCAAAAAGCTAGAAAGATCTCAAGTTAACAACCTAATGTCACAACTGAAAAAAACTAGAAAACCAAGAGCAAACAAATCCCAAACCTAGCAGAAGACAAGAAATAACTAAAATCAGAGTTTAACTGAAGGAGATAGAGACACAAAAAACCATTCTAAAGATCAACAAATCCAGGAGCTGGTTTTTTGAAAAAAAAAAAAACATAATAATAATAATAAAATAGATGGACCACTAGTTAGATGAATAAAGAAGAAAAAAAAAGATTCCAATAATCACAATAAAAAATCATAAGGGGGATATTACCACTGACCCCACAGAAATACACACAACCATCAGAGAATATTATAAACACCTCTGTGCACATAAACTAGAAAATCTAGAAGAAATGGATAAATTCCTGGATGCATACACCCTCCCAAGACTGAACCAGGAAGAAACTGAATCCCTCAATAGACCAATAATGAGATCTGAAATTGAGGCAATAATAGTCTACCAGCCATAAAAAGGCCAGGACCAGATGGGTTCATAGCTGAATTCTACCATATATACAAAGAAGAGCTGGTACCATTCCTACTGAAACTGTTCAGAAAAATCCCTAAGTCATTCTGTGAGGCCAGCATCACCCTGTTACCAAAACCTGGTAGGGATACAACAAAAAAAGAAAAACTTCAGGCCAATATCCTTGAAGAATATAGATAAAAAATCCTCAACAAAATACTTGCAAATTAAATCCAACAGCACGTTAAAAAATGTATTCACCACGATCAAGTAGGCTTCATCCCTGGGGTGCAAGGTTGGTACCACACACACAAATCAGTAAGTGTGATTCATCACATAAACATAACTAAAGACAAAAACCATGTAGTTATCTCAATAGATGCAGAAACGTCTTTCAACAAAATTCAACATCCCTCATGTTAAAAACTCTCAATAAACTAGGTATTGAAGGAACACACCTCAAAATAATAAGAGCCATATGTGACAAACCCACAGCCAACGTCATACTGAATGGGCAAAAGCTGGAAGCATTCTCCTTGAAAACTGGCACAAGACAAGGATGCCCCCTCTCACCACTCCTATTCAACAAAGTATTAGAAATTCTGGCCAGAGCAATCAGGCAAGAGAAAGAAATAAAGGGCATTCTAATAGGAAGAGAGGAAATCGAACTATGCCTGTTTGCATATGACATGATTCTATATCTAGAAAACTGAATAGTCTTAGCCCAAAAGCTTCTCTTTTTTTCTTTTTTGAGGCAGAGTCTTGCTCTGTCACCCAGGCTGCAGTGCAGTGACGTGATCTCAGCTAACTTCAACCCTTACCTCCCAAGTTCAAATGATGCTCATGCCTCAGCCTCCGGAGTAGCTGGAATTACAGGCGTATGCCACCATGCCCGGCTAATTTTTTTTTTTTTTTGTATTTTTAGTAGAGACAGTGTTTTGCCATGTTGGCCAGGCTGATCTTAAATTCCTGGTCTCAAGTGATCCACCCATCTTGGCCTCCTAAATTGCTCATATTACACGTATGAGCCACTGTGCCTGGCCCAAAAGCTTCTTAAGCTGATAAACAACTTTAGCAAAGTTTTGGGATACAAAATCAGTGTTCAAAAATCACTACATTCCTATACATCAACAACAGGCAAGCCAAAAGCCAAATCAGGAACAAACTCCCATTCACAATTGCCACAAAAAGAATAAAATACCTAGAAATAACAGCTAACAAGGGAAGTGAAAGACCTTTACAAGGAGAACTACAAAGCACTGCTCAAAGATACTGGTGATGACACAAACAAATGGAAAAACATCCTATGCTCATGGATAGGAAGAATCAATATCATTAAAATGGCCATACTGCCCAAAACAATTTATAGATTCAATGCTATTACCATTAAACTACCATTGACATTCTGCACAGAACTGGAAAAAACTATTTTAAAATTCGTATGAAACCAAAGGAGATGGCTGTGCCTTAGTCAGGAGTAGGCCTAGGTGGCCTTCTGGCACAGCATGACTCAGTGGGTTTGGAGCACAGGCACACAATTGTGCACATTATGTAACCACACCACATAAGGCACATGTAACCACTCATGAGAGCTTGTGCTTGGATCAGAGCCACTATTGTCTGTAAAAGGTGTAACTATCCTGCTGATGCTGTACCTACAGCTTGCACCCAGAAAGAGAATAAAGCCATGTTGCAACTGCCTACGATTCCTCAAGCGGTCTTTCAGCTACCTGCCACTCACACACCCACTCTCCTTGGACCTCAGCTTGGGCTAGAACCTGACACTTGGCATAGTTGGCAGGATCCCGAGGTGAGTGAGCCTTGGCACCACTGATTCTGGGTCGACCATGTGGCCACAACATGGGTTGTGGTACCTGGTGGTAGCCATGCTGCAAGGATGGGCCCTAGCGGAAACCTGGGTGGTGGTCGATGGGTCACCCATGAGTGTGGAAAATGCGCTGAAGCAGCTGGAAGCACAGAGCACTGAGAAGGAGCGAACCTTTGCCAGCAGAGTTGGATGGGCATTTTTCACTGTGTTACGAGAAGTGCATACCCAGTCCCTGAGGGATAAAGCTCAGGTAAGGGACCTCCAGGCACAGGCGGGGTGCATGGAGTCCCCGCTACAGAGCTTGGAGAAAAAATTAGAGTCTGACATGAATGCAAGCCTGGGTCCGCCGTCTTGGCTGGAGGTCCGCACTCAATCTGATACTGAGGAGGAAGAACCCCTGTTGCAGGCTCACCCAGTGGTTTGTCAGAAAGTAGACCATGAACAGCCTGTGGGATCCCAAGGGCGGGCTCAAGGACCCCCCATCGTAACAAAACACACTTCATATATTGCCTATACCCCAACTGAGTTGCGGAAATTAGGCAAGCAGTGCCGCCAGCGTCTAGGGGAACCCCTGCCCGCCTGGATGCTTTGTCTGTGGGACGAGGGAGTAGATAGTATCTCCTGTTCTGCCTCTGAGATGGAAAAGCTGGCCTCTATCATGACTCATTCCTCCCTCAGTCAGCGGTTGCAAGTGAGCAGGCAGTTAGCAGCAGGGCAAGGTGACCACATCCTGATTCAGGCTGCTATGAGCAGCCATATGGACTGTGTGGAACAATGCCAGGGAAATACCCAAAATTGTGAGTAAATGGCAGTCGTATGTCGATTTGGTGCAAGTCATCTGGGTGATGGGTATGCGGCAGGCTGTTTGACCTGAATACCCAAGGGCCAGATGATGAATGTTTCACGCCCCAAATGAGGGATCTCATGTTGGGTTCTGTACCTCTGAGTGCCTTTGGCTCCCTAGCTGCTGTCCTCACCCTGTACACAGGGCACCACATACATGAAATGACCACTGGTATGGTAGCTCTTGGGAAAGCAGAGGGCCGTCAGCAGGACTGAGGGGTCCACACCTTAAAGAAGGGGAAGATGCCCTGCCTGCAGGGGGCTCCCCCATGGAAGAAAAGGGGACCCCAATGAGTGGCACGCTCACAGATGTGAGCCAAGATTTAATCTTGGCTGGGGTTGACTGAGAGAAAATTGATAAGCAGCCCACGGAAGTACTATTAACTTTGTGGAGGCAATTGTCTCCAGAGCAGCAATTCCAGAAAATGCCCAAGGAGGAGAAGGACATTGCTGTGTGACCCAGTCTTGCCTGGGCGCTCCAGCTCATAGACTACTTGCTACAGCCAGACAGAAATGTAGAGCCTTTTCTGTTTGATTAGAGAACTGGCTGATGTGCTCTGCTTGCGGGGACATGAGATGACCAGAGGCCACATGTGGAGTTGGCAATCCTCTGGTCCCCCACCAATGTACAGCAGATGTTGCTGCTGGTAGATACTGATGCAGATTGTAGCCTTGTTTATAGGAACTTGGATAAGTTTCTGGGCAAGGCTACATACATTGATGGTTATGGAGGCTGGTCAGTGAAAGTGAAACCTGTATCTCTGTACCTCAGCACTGGCCGCTTGGCTTCTCACTTATACACTATGTATGTCTCCCCCATACCTGAATGCATTATGTGGGTGGACATTTTACATGGCCTGGTATTACAAACCATGGCTAGAGAATTCAGACTCTGAGTGCGTGTGGTGAAGCTGGTGCTATGCGGACATATGCATCACTAGCCTCATGTCCTGCCACAACCCCAACAGGTTACTTCCACCCATTAATACCATTTGCCAGGTGGGCATACAGAGATAGCTGAGACGATCAAAAAGCTGGAGGAGCTGCAGATAGTGCGTGGTATCCACAGCCCCTACAGTTCTCCAGTGTGGCCAGTTAGAAAGGCTGATGGAACTTGGCGGATGACGGTGAACTATCGGGAATGGAATTAAGTAACACATCCTTTGCATCAATCATGGATTTGACAGACCATTTGATGATGGAACTGGGACAGTACCACTATATAGTGGACTTAGCCAATGCATTTTTCTTCATCGACATTGACATCACTCCAGTCCGCCTTCACATGGAAAGGGTGACGATGGACTTTTACAGTGTTGCTGCAGGGCTATGTGCATAGCCCCACCATACGTCATGGTCTTGTTGCCATGGATTTAGCCATCTGGCAATGTCCATAAGTGGTCCACCTATTCCATTATACTGATGATATTATGTTAACCTCTGATTCTCTTGCAGATTTAGAAGCAGTGGCACCCCTCTTGCAGCAACATTTGGCAGCATGTAGTTGGGCTGTCAACAAATCCAAGGTCCAAGAAATCCAAGGTCCAAGGTCCAAGGGCCTAGATTATCTGCCAAATTCTTGGGAGCTATCTGGTCAGGTAAGACAAAAGCCATCGCAGAGGCTATCATTGTTAAAATTCAGGCGTATCCTCATCCCACCACAGTGAACAAGTTACAAATGTCTGTGGGCCTTCTGGGATATTGGCGGGCATTTGTCCCCCATTTAGCTCAAATGACAAAACCGTTGTATCGATTAACAAAGAAGGGAACTACCTGGGATTGGGATGATGCAACTGAGACCACCTTTCTGACAGCCAAGTGGGCTATTCAGCTGGCACAAACCCTACGGGTAGTTGACCAGGGGCATCTGTTTGAGCTGGATGTGCATGTGGCCACAGATGGTTTCTGCTGGGGCTTATGGCAGTGCACGGGGCACTTGAGAATGTCAGTAGGCTTTTGGTCTCCACTATGCAAAGCAGCTGAGCTCTGGTATTCCTTAATAGAGAAACAGCTAGCAGCTGTATATGCAGCTCTTCAAGCTTGTGAGAATGTGACAGGACAGGCTTCAGTCATCATGCGTACGACTTACCCCATAGTGGGATGGGTGCGTTCATGGGTAATGACCCCCTGGACTAGGATGGCGCAGACATCCACTTTAGCAAAGTGGGTGTCTACTTAGAGCAACAGAGTACTCTGAGTACAAATCCCTTAGCGGTAGAGCTGCAAGAGGTCTTGGGACCTATAGTCCTAATGCAAGAGAAGGCCATGGGTCAGCCTGAGGTACACTTGGACCCTGAGCCATCACCATTCAAAGAAGGGTGCCCCCCCATTTCCGACAGAGCATGGTACACAGATGGGTCTAGCTGAGGTGCTACTGCTGCCTGGACCACTGTTGTAGTCCAGCCTAGTATTGACACTATATGGTTTGAAACCAGGTGTGGGCAGAGTAGCCAATGGGCTGAGTTTAGAGCAGCATGGATGGTAATCACCAAAGAGGAGACTCCTGTGGTAATCTGTGTGGATAGCTGGGTCATCTATTGAGGCTTAATCTTGTAATTAACCGCTTGGAAAATACAGAATTGGCTTGTTGGCCACTGACCCATTTGGAAATGGGTCAATTGACATATGACAAGCCGTGTGGAAATACCTCTGGGAAATAGGTCATTAGAAGGATGTGACTATTTATCATGTGTCAGGCCATATGTCTTTGGCCACCCCTGGTAATGATGAGGCTGAGGGCTTAGCCAAGGTCCAATGGTTAGAGTTGGTACCTACACGAGATGCGGTCTTGTGGCTACATTGGAAACTGGGACATGCAGTGGGTAAACTGATGCAACAGGTCAATAAGCGTTGGGGTTTGTCCCTGCCCACACAAGATATTTGGGAGGCTTGTCAGAAGTGCCTGGCGTGTACTCACGCATACCTTAAATGGAGGCAGCTGCCCAGTGTTACACAACAAGTGACAATAGGGTCAGTGTCCTTGACAAGGTGGCAAGTAGACTACATTGGGTTGCTGCTGAAGTTGCAAGGGTATACGCATGCACTAACAGCTGTGGACATGGCCACAGGACTGTTCTTCACCTACCCTTGGAGGATGGCTGATCAACAGCACACCATCTGGGCCCTGCAACACTTATGTGCCCTGTATGGTTGCCCTCTGGCTGTTGAGAGTGATAGTGTTGAGACATTTCACTGTATAACAGGTACAACAATGGGCATAACAAATGGACATAAAGTGGGAATTCTATTTGCCATACAACCTGCAAGCTGCGCGTATGATTGGGCTCTTGAAGAACGGGTTACACTTGCATGTCACACCCCCATCTTTGCAAGGCTAGAGTTCAAGTCTGGACCTGATGCTCCAAACCTTGAATGAACGGTCACAGAAAGGTGGCCAGGCCCTGGTGGAGGCTTTGTTACACCAGGCCACCACCCCCATTCAGTTGCAGATACACACTAAGGATGACCTACTCCAACCAGGTGTGGGGATGAATGGTAACCTGTTGTTGCCTGCCCCAATGCCCCTTAAAGGCAGGGGAACAGAAAACCTGGCTGTGGCCATGGGCTGTCCAACCACCACATTGCTGGTGGTTGGCCACTGTAGCTCCGGTGCGGGGGGCCTACAGTATGACTTGCATGTCACTCCTTGGGTATTCAATACATGGCCCCCATGGTTGACTGTTTGTAGGGGAACAGTCAGGGAGGGTACCCTTCTCCGGGGGACATATATAATGTCTGTTTGGTCTATTATGTGTTCCCCCATGACTCTGCACAAATATGGGACCCAGTGGAACCATGGGGAGCTGAGAAAGTGTGGTACCATCACCCACAGCAGAAGCCCTTGGTGGCTGCATTGTTATCTAGGGATGAAAAGTTAGCTTATACTTTGCCTGAGGTACGTGATTTGTCCCTGTTAGTACCTATGCCCGTTTTGTCCTTTTGACCATAAGTTAACATGCTCCAACTGCACTGTGGACCAGGCCCACACCTATGCTGAGGTGACCAATGTTTCCAGTTGCTGGATCTGCACAATTCTTCCAGCAGCAGCTGCAGATGGCTTGCCCTGGCACATACACCCCACATCTCCAGAGAACTGTACATGGTTGGAGACTTGGGGTCCCATGGCCAATGCCTGGAACACAATGTGGCAAGCTTTAGACAAAGGATGCTGCAAGACCCATGGTGTGCCCACCCCCTGGCTGGCCCATGACATTTATGATGGGTGGGGCTGGCTAGTGGGGGAAAATGTAGTACCCTTGGCCCAGGTGCCACGGTGCATAGAGCAACACTGGGGTAACACTACTGTGGGATGGGTACCTGTCACAGCCTGTGCTAACATAACATGTGTCACTACACCAAAGGTGTGGTGGAACATGCAGCCCTACCAAGGTTGGGCTTCAGTGGACTTTGTGGCCCCTGGGAGTTTATGGGTCTGTGGGGACACAGAGTTGCCTTACCTACTAGGGAACTGGACATTGTACATGAGGGTGGCCTTATGTACCTGCCACTGTTCTCCCTGCATTGCCCAGATGCCTGCATGACTGGGAGGTGCTATGCTCTTAGTTTTTGCAAGTGCAACGAGCCCCGTGGTGATTCTACCCCTTGACAATGACTGTCTCTGGAGCAGGTGTCATAACTGTAGAAGCACAAGTTACTCTTGCAGAGCACACCACTCGGGCTCTGAATTATACCTGAGTGGCCCTCCTCTTGTTAACTGGTGAAGTTGATCAGACCAGAAAGGTAGCATTGCAAAACCAAATGGCCTTAGACATAGTAACTGCTACCCAAAAAGGCACCTGTGCCCTTTTAGGAACACAATATTGTACCTTTATCCTTGACACTTTGCAGAACATAACAGCAGCCCTGCAGTAGGTCTCATGGGAAATTAAGGTGGCCGAGAGCCTTACTGATGACCCCCTGAAGAGATGGAGGGCATCCCTGGGCTCTGACCTACACTGGGCCCTAATAGTCATAAGTAGCATAGCTGGGATCCTAGTAGTGAGCTGTTGCTCTCTGTATAGTTGTTATGGGTTATGGGTTCAGGGCTTTGCCCTATGGGCACGTGTCTCTACCTGGGAGATGCCCTTAGCCTAGGGGGTGGAGTGTAAGGGAGATGGCTGCACTTTATTCAGGAGTAAGCCAAGGTAGCCTTCTGACTCAGCATGACTCAATGGGTTTGGAGCACAGGCGCACAACTCCACATATTATGTAACCACTCACGAGAGCTCGTACTTGGCTCAGAGCCACTATTGTGTGTAAAAGATATGATGATCCTGCTGACACTGTACTTATGGCTTGAGCCCAGAAAGATAATAAAGCCATGTTGCAACTGCCTACAATTCCCCAAGCGTTCTTTCGGTTGCCTGCCACTTGCACACCTACTCCCCTTGGACCTCAGCTTAGGCTAGAACCTGACAGAGCCCAAATAGCCAAGGCAATCCTAAGCAAAAAGAACAAAACTGGAGGCATCACGCTACCTGACTTCAAACTATACTACAGGGCTATAGTAACCAAAACAGCATGGTACTGGTACAAGAAAAGACACATAGACCTACGGAACAGAATAGAGAACCCAGAAATAAGACTGCACATCAATAACTATCTGATCTTTGACAAACCTGACAAAAACAAGCAATAGGGAAAGGATTCCCTATTCAATAAATGGTGCTGGTATAACTGGCTAGCCATATGCAGAAAACTGAAACTGGACCCGTCCCAACTTATACCATATACAAAAAT
The DNA here is from genome assembly GCF_000001405.40 of Homo sapiens. Lineage (NCBI taxonomy): Eukaryota > Metazoa > Chordata > Mammalia > Primates > Hominidae > Homo > Homo sapiens. Next base: position 199,223,463 of record NC_000002.12, on the reverse strand, counting down.
TAAATTAAGATGAATTAAAGACTGAAATGTAAAACACCAAACTATAAAAACCCCGGAAGACAACCTAGGCAATACCATTCAGGACATAAGCACGAGCAAAGGTTTCATGATGAAGACACCAAAAGCAATTGCAACAAAAGCAAAATTTGAGAAATGGGGTTTAATTAAACTAAAGAGCTTCTGCACAGCCAAAAAAATATCAACAGGTAAACAGATAACCTACAGATTGGGAGAAAATTTTTGCAAACTATGCATTTGACAAATGTCTAATATCCAGCATCCATAAAAAACTTAAACAAATTTACAAGAGTAAAACAAACCACTAAAAGGGCAAAGGGCATGAACAGACAAAGGACATTAAATGGGCAAAGGACATGAACGGACAATTCTCAAGAGAAGACATACATGTGGCCAACAACCATATGAAGAAAAACTCAACATCACTGATCATAGAGAAATGCAAATCAAAACTATGAGAAGATACTGTCTTACACCAGTCAGAATGACTATTATTAAAAAGTCAAAAAATAACAGATGCTAGAGAGGTTGTGGAGAAAAAGGAATGCTTATACTCTGTTGGTGGGAGTGTGAATTAGTTCACTCATTGTGGAAGACAATGTGGTGATTCCTCAAAGACCTAGTCAGAAATACCATTTGACTCATAAATCCCATTATTGGGTTTATACCCAAAGGAATATAAATTGTTCTATTATAAAACACATGCATGTGTATGTTCACTGCAGCACTATTTATAATAGCAAAGACATGGAATCAACCTAAATGCCCATCAATGATAGACTGGATAAAGAAAATATGATGCATATATACCATGAAATACTATTTAGCCATAAAAAAGAATGAGATCATGTCCTTTGCAGGGACTTGGATGGAATTGGAGGCCATTATCCTTAGCAAACTAACACAGGAACAGAAAACCAATACCATATGTTCTCATTTATAAGTGGGAGCTAAATTATGAGAACACATGGACACGTATAGGGTAACAACACACACTGGGGCCTATGGGAGGATGAAGGGTGGGAGGAGGGAAAGGATCAGGAAAAATAATTAGTGGATACTAGGCTTAACACCTGGGTGATGAAATAATCTGTACAACAAACTTCCATGGCACACATTTACCTATATAACAAATCTGCACATCCTGCACATTTACCCCTGAACTTAAAATAAAAGCTAAAAAAAGAAAGGAAACTAGTTTTCTTTTTAGGTGCACACTCATGGTGTAAAGAAACTAGGCAGAAGATCTTTTACTAAACAGCTGTATTTTAATGTGATGTGAATGTAAGGTCCTGCAATCTGGTTTAACAAGCCCTCCAAGTGATTCTAATATTTGCTAATGTTTGAGAACCCCTCTCCTGGACTACTGATGGGAGGGCCAGAGCTGGAGTCAGGCTGGGCTTAGGAGTGTTAGGGAACAAACAGGGGCAATTTATGGAACTCTGTCTGCCCCAAGAGATTCTGGATGTTACATTAAAGAAGTTGAGCTTGCCTGCGGTGGGGAAGATACTAGGAGAAATATTCAAAGAATCAGATGTGTTTGGCCCAGCACAGTGGCTCACACTTGTAATCCTAGCACAATGGGAGGCTGAGGAGGGAGGATTGCTTGAGGCCAGAAGCTTGAGACCAGCCTGGGAAACATACCATAGACCTCCACTCTACAAATTTTTTTTTTTTAAATTAGCTGGCCGTGGTGGTGTGTACCTGTAGTCCCAGCTACGCAGCGGGCTGAGACTGGAGGATTGCTTGAGCCTGGGAGGTCAAGGCTGCAGTGAGCTATGATCGTGCCACTGCACTCCAGCCTGGGTGACAGAGCTAAGACCTTGTTTCTAGAAAAAAAAAAAAAAAGAAGAAGAACAAATGTGTCCCTGTCTACGTGTGAAGAGTTGTGTATGGAGTTTGGAGAAAAATACTCATTTTTACTCCCATTTCTTTGCTGCTGAGTGAGAAAGAGATATATTGTACTTTCCTTCATCTTTGTGATTGGATATATGATATAGGAATCCTTTATTCATTTAACAAATATTTATTGATTGTCTTCTATATGCCATGCATTGTTTTGGCTCAGAAGCTACGGTTAGATTACAACACACTGGTTTCACGGAGGCTTCATCTTCAAGGGGACAGGCAGACAAATAATAAACAGATTTTTTAAAAATGTATTTACTAGGTTCTTTACCTCTAATAAAGCTTGTGTGCCTGTATCTCTGCTGAAGTCTTTGTTTGAGAAACCTCACAGGAGACCCCCTCCCTTAGTAACTCCATGTGAATGTGCTGTGTTGTTCTGTAGGTCTGGGATGAGCAGATGTCCGGCAACTTCTTCCATGCAGAGAAGAATTACGTGCTTGAGTTGTTGCTGAATTCATTCTCCATGTGAAGAAGAATGTACATTTCACATTGTTTTGAATATTGAATGGCAAAAAGGAAAAGAAAATAAACCATACAAAAATAACTGCATGACATTAATGCTAAGGACTTAAACTCGCCAAAACAAGGAAATTCCAATTTAAGGCCAAATATTCAGGACCACACTGCCTTTTCAGCCACACTGATGTGAACTGTTACTAACCAGGATTCTTTCTTCACCTGGTGTTTCCTTGGCTTGTCATTTTGATGCTCAGCAACTTAGTCAACTACTCAGGGAGAAATGATTCCCATTCATTCAGGTTATACTCTGTTTTCATTGCTGGGATTGGTATTTAGAGTTTTTACTAAGCAGCTTCAAAAAGAAGGGTTTGTTTGTTTCAACTTTGTTTGAAAGTTGATCTTCCTTATTAAAAGTCATGGCATCGCAAAACCAAAAGATGAGAATGGATTTCAATATTTAAAAAACATTTCCACTCTAAATAAAAGTCAAAGAAACCCAAGGAATAAAACTGCCCCCCACCCCCCATCACCACCACCAAAAAAAGGAGGGTATTAGGCAAATTGCAGAGGGAGTATAAAACCCTGAGCCTTGTAGCAGTATGAACTGGAGTATATCAGGAATTTCCAAGGACAAACATGGGCTCTACCAAAGAGAAGTCAAGGTATCTTTATCCCTACTATTATTGTTTTATCTCCTGACTTGCTAAATCTACTTAAACCTAGCTGTCCCAAATTCTAAATCAGTGGCTTTCAAATTTGACTGTACTTTAGAATCCCATGGGGGGTTTAAAAAATCCCAATGCCCAGGCCACACTATAGACCAATTATATCAGAATTTCTTAAGGTGGAATTTGGGCATCAGAATTTTTAAAGCTCCTCAAGAGATGCCAATTGGCAGCCAAGTTTAAGAACTAGTGCTCTAAATAACTAGCTAATGATAAGCCTCACACTAAGCAGTCATTTGCCAAATCCAAAATAATTTTTCTGTGTCAGAGAAAGATGAGTGAGTGGAAGTAATTGATGTGGGTTTTCATACCTTTCCATCTGAGGGGGTGAGGAGTAAAGAAGGATCAGGAGAGATTTGACACTACTGATTAAAAACAGACAAATATACTTAATAAATATAAAGCAGAATGTGGGCCAGTTGGTTGTTCTTCTTGGAAGAACATATGTTGGTCACACTAAGTGGAAGAAATTGTAAGGCTTGTGGAGATGGGGACTTAGAATTCAACCCTGTAATATCATTCTGCAAGCTAAGAATGCTAGTGTTGGGAAATACCATGAATCCACTGCAGGTGTGATTTGTCACCAGGTAAACAAGCGAAGTGGGGAGCAGAAGTACATCATGTGAGTGCTCTGTGCTGGCTGCTGACAAGTTCACGGTCAATGTCCAGAAAAACAAATAACAAAAAAATTGCTGAGTTCTTCTAATAGAGGTGTGAATAGAAGTGAATGAGAGGAGTATTTGAGTAAATAGTAACTTTCCTAGTATTTTGTGGTAGACTACCAGGGAGTATGTTATTATTGATAATAAAAGGAAAAGGATGTGGTCATAGTATAAAGCCTCAAATTTGTGTAGTACTTGATATTGATGACAAGAATATATTGTTGTCATAATATTGCCAATGGGTAAACTGAGGCACACAGACTTTTTTTTTAGGGCCTTTTCCAGGGTGGCAGGGTTGTAGGAGAATAACCAAGTCTGACTGAGGTCAGTGGTACCCACTAAATAAGTAGTGAGCACTTACTGTGTGATTACAGCACTAAGGATCACATTGGAGTTCTTTTGAGCACTAAGGACCACATTGGAGTCCTTTTGACCAATAAAAGTATTATTTTTCATACTCCTTTCTAAGAGATTGGCACCATTGGTTCCCTCAAAGTCATATTTCTATTTTGTGCTTGGAGAAGAAGGCAAATGAGAAGAATTGAGAGATTTTTCTGGTCTTTCTGAATTATCTTGATTTAAAATCCACAGATTCTCCAGAAGCGGGATTATTTAGTCCAAATTACAAGCATGCTTGAAAATAAGTTTCTCTTCATTTTGTTTTCAAATAAAATATCTTCAGGCAGAGAAAGTAATGTAAATGACTTGCCCAAGGCAAGACTCCACACGGTGCCCGAGTCCCTAGACTAATCTTTTGTCTGTCTTCCTGGTCAACACTCTGACAATGTGGCTAGAGAATCAGGGTGGTGAAACAGTTAAGAGTTGGGCTGTCCACTATTGAAATCTAGCCCTTCCCTTTACTGTACTGATTGTGAGGCCACCAGCAAGTTCTGACATCGTCAAACCATCAGATTCTCCATAAAATGACGAGTTTATGATTAGTTTTGTACCCAGAATGCCCAGGATTGGACCTAGCATCTTAGTTGAGTAGGTTCTCAACCAACGGCAGTATTTCCTGTTGTTTTTTGTTGGGTTGTTGATTCCTGTTTAAAGAATCTGCCATAAAGTTGTACTGACAGTTGATGTAATGTTTGTGCATGGCAAAGTTTAATAGACCCAGATTTGGCCTGATGTCTTAAATCGCCAAATTACCTGTAAATGTAAGATGTTCGTTGTGAAACTGCACATTTGTTGTAAATTTCATTTTGGGCCCTTTATCACATGGGAAAATGGTAGTTTGATTAATAGTGAGAGCTGGCCTGAAGTCAAGTTCAACTCTCACGGTGCTTTTACGTATATATAAATTATCAAATGATGTTAAAAATAACCCCTGACTGGCTCACTAAGTTTTAAAATGAAGTACTTCAAATCAATGGAAATAATATAAAATGCCACGAGAAGACGGTTGCAATTTCTTTTGATATTTCTATGTGTGTGGGCTGACTGATCACAAGAAGCTTAAGGTTGACTGGTTGAGAGTGAGCAATCAATCTAAACAGGAGCATCCAAGTATCTTTGTTACAGCATTTAGCCTTACCTAAATTACACCAGAGGTGGAAACATTGAGCAGAGGGGGACATGTGCACTGCTTGAATATGGGGCTCTGGAGTCACAAACTGGGGCTCAAGCTCCGCTCCTGCCATTTACTCATCCTCTTATCTAGGGCAAGTGTGTTAGTCCATTCTCTCATGGCTATAAAGAAATAATTGAGACTGGGCAATTTATAAAGAAAAGAGGTTTAATTGGCTTATGTTCCTGCAGGCTGTTCAGCAATCTTGATGCTGGCATCTGCTGGGCTTCTGGAGAGGCCTCAGGAAACTTACACTCATGGCAGAAGGTGAAGGGGGAACAGGCACATCACATGGCCAGTGCAGGAACAAGAGAGAGAAGGGGGAGGTGCCACTCACTTATAAACTACCAGATCTCCCAAGAACTTACTAATGCAAAAACAGCACCAATGGGATGGTACTAAACCATTCAAGAGAAATCCACCCTTATGATCCAGTCACCTATTACAAGGCCCGGCCTCCAATACTGGGGATCTCATTTCAACACGAAATTTGGGTGGAGACACACATCCAAACTATAGCAGCAAGTTACTTGTATCTTCTGATTTTGTTTCGTCATCTGCAAAAATAATAGTACCTATTTCAAAAGACCATTATGGGGCCTAAATGAAAAGAAACCTATAAAAGATTTGCTACAGTAGGAGGCATATGTTATACATTAGTTATTATCATTGCTATCAGCATCATTATTATTATCACATTCAGGGACTCTTTCCAGCCAGAACTTCAAGGGAAAAAAAAACATATTAATTAATTTGACACAGGCTGTAATGTAGATGTATGACTTTGAATACTTTGAGTACATTTTGCATGTGCTATTTTTAAAAAATAAGAACCATTGTCACCTTAGAAAATTATATTGTTTCATAATCATGGAAAGATCAAAGACCTCCTTCATGATAATGTATAACCCTGTAACTAAAATCAACATATAACAACAGATTATTGTCTCCTTTCCTTCCCTTCCTTTTGGAACTTTATTTTGAATTGTACAAAAATACAAGTCAGGCATGGCGGCTCACGCCTGTTCTCCCAGCATTTTGGGAAGCTGAGGCAGGTGGATCACTTGAGGCCAGGAGTTCAAGACCAGCCTGTCCAACATGGCAAAACCCTGTCTCTACTAAAAATACAACAATTATCTTGGTGTGGTGGCACATGCCTGTAATCCTAGCTACTCGGGAGGCTGAGGCATGAAAATTGCTTGAACCTTGCAGGTGGAGGTTGCAGTGAGCTGAGATTGTGCCACTGCACTCTGGCCTGGGAGACAAAGCAAGACTCTCTCTCTCTCTCTCTCTCTATATATATATATATATATATATATACACACACATATATATAAATACATATACATATACACACATATATATAAATATATATACATATATATATTTATATATCTATATAAAAAAATATATAGCGAGAGATGCCCAGGATTGGACCTAGCATCTTAGTTGAGTATTCTGGCGATTTAAGACCTCAAGCCAAATCTGGGTCTATTAAACTTTGCCATTCAGAAATATTACATCAATTGTCAGTACAACTTTATGGCAGATTCTTTAAACAGGAATCAACAACCCAACAAAAAAACAACAGGAAATCCTGCCATTGGTTGAGAATCTACTCAACTATGGAGGTTGAAAGTCTGAAATCAAGGCCTCAGCAGGGCCATACTTCCTCTGAAACCAATAGGGGAATTCTCACTTTCCTTTTCTAGCTTCTGGTAGTTTGCCGGCAGTCTCTGGCCTTCCTTGGCTTGTAGGTGCATCCCTTCCATCTGCCGTCTTCACATGGGTTCTCCTTGTCTCTCTATATGTTGTCGTTCCTCTGTGTGTGGACCCCAGTCATATTGGATTAGGGCTCACACTAATGAATTCATTTTAATCTGATTACTTCCGGAAAGGACAGAAAAATATGTGACATACTCCATTGTTAGGATCAATTTCAGAAAAGGAACAATAGTTAATTATTGTCACAAGTTGTTACAAGTGGCAGGTACTGTGCTAAGTGCTTTTTTGTTTATATAACGGAGCCCCACACTGACAGTTGGTATATTTAATAGAATTTAATTAACTTTAGTGATGAAAACCTTGTTACTTATAACTTTATTGACCATTTGAGTATAAAAATAAAAGATCTCTTTTTAAATTCTTGGTTACTGAAAAACTGAATATTCTGACTTTTCCCTCCTTGATGCTGTACTTGGTTACTTAGTTTGATGTATTGCTTGCACAATTTCTCAACCTCTGTTATAAGCATCTAGAAAGAGAATTGAAGAGGAAGTCAGTTTTTGCTTTCCTGATACCTTATGTGCATTGAATAATGGCCAATTGGGTATATTTAAACAACGAATACATTATTTGTGCATCTTATTGAAGCATTTACGTACTTAAACACTGTGTGAAAATGTTCTCATGTATCTTATTTTTGCATATATTTTGAAACTTCCTATTCCTTGAGGTATTTTTTTATGGTCAGGCACATATGCAGGCAATGATTGTATGACCACCCTTGGTTATGTATTACATCTAATGAAATTAGCTTTTTTGCTCACCCCCGGGGAACCTTTGGAAATAAGACAATAGTCTCGTTGTTTGTTTCCTAGAGAAATGTTAATGATTAACTTCAAAATGGAAGAATTTCTGTTACCCCACTGCCTAATTTTTCATAATTCCATAGAATTGGTGTGTACTTTATCTTTGTTTAATTTATCCCATGCAAGATATTAACTGCTGTACCACTGGTGTACATATATTTTTGGCTAAGGAGAAAGCACTACCATACCTAAAGACTTAGTTCTTTCCAGTTGGGGTGATTTTTAAAATATTAAGCCTTGTCAGCAGCCAGAAAATGTTGAATTCAGGCCTAGCTTTAATGGTTGTTAGATAAAGCATCAATCTGATTTATTTGGATACTAACCACCTTTGCCTGAATGCACATAGTAAGTAATATTTTCCACATGTGCCCAGCAAATCTTTATTGGTGTACTCTAGCACAATGTGGGATACTAAAGAAATGTGAATTACTATGACTGGGCTAAGAGTTTGTAGCCCCTGAGTTTGTAGTTGAGGACATGCGTACGTGGGCAACTCAATGTGAAATTTGGAAGACAACTTGCTCTGTGCTGTATGAAGCCTTTGGACATTAGCCACAGTCGTCTGCTGGGTATTTAGAGCGGGATGGGTCTTCTGTTGGGCTCCAGAGAGTGTCTCTGGGCTAACCAGGGTTCCTCCATAGCTGCCTGGGCTGAAGAGAGAAGTCAGTTTGCTTGCCTGAGTCTTGATGTCTGAACATCTGGATTGGGTGCAAGGCTAAAGGTACAACACTAACCCTTTTATCTGTATTCCTTCTTTTAATTTGCCCAACAGCACTATTTTTAGTTAAGCAACTTCATTGCATATGTTTGACATACAGAAAGCTGTACATATTTAATGTATATGACTTGATAAATTTTGAGATAAGTTTACACCTGTGAAATCACTACAATGTATGTCTATCACTTCCAAAAGTTTTATTCTGCCCTCTTTATTTATTATTTTGTGATAAAAACATTTAACATAAGATCTACCCTCTTAGCAAATTTTTAAGTATCCAGTACAGTATTGTTAACTATAATACTATGCTGTATAGTAAATCTCTAGGACTTACTCATCTTACATAACTGAATCTTTGTACCCTTTCACTAATATCATTCCATTTCTCCCTCCCTTCAGCTCCTGACAACCACCATTCCACTCTCTGCTTCTATGAGTTTAACTATTTTAGATTCATCATATAAGTGGTATCATGTAATATTTGTCCTTCTGTGTCTGACTTATTTCGCTTAGCATAATGTCCTTTGGATTCTTCTATGTTGTTGCAAATGGTAGGATTTTGCTTGCCTAATGCTCAATAATGCTATAATGAATGTGGGCGTGCAGATATCTCTTTGAGATCCTGATTTCAATTCCTTTGGATATATACCTAGACGTGGGATTGCTGGAACATATGGTAGTTCTATTCTTAATTTTTTGAAGAACCTCCATAATGTTTTCCACAGTGACTGCACCAATCCACATTCCTACCAACAGTTTACAAGGGTTCCTTTTGTTCACATCCTCACCAACATTTGTTATCTTTTGTTTTTCTGTTTGATAATAGCCATCCTAACAGGAATGAGATGATGTCTCACTGTGATTTTGGTTTACATTTCCCTGATGATTAGTGATATTGAGCAGCTGTTTACATAACTGTTGCCCATTTGTATGTCTTCTTTGAAGAAATGGCACTCAATTCCTTTGCCCATTTTTAAATTGGGTTGCTTTTTGTTTTTTGTTTTTTTTTTGCAATTGTTTTGTGAGGGTTTCTTATATATTTTGGATATTAACCCCTTAAGAGTTAGAAATACTTTTTCACATTCTGTGGGTTGTTTTTCATTCTGTTGACTGTTTCCTTTGCGGTACAGAAACATTTTAGTTTGTTATAATTCTGCTTGTCTAGTTTTGCTTTAATTGCCAGGTGTCATAGACAAAAATTGAAAAGATAAATAAAATTGACAAGCCTTAACTAGACATAAGAAATAACTTGTCCTAGCCTTAACTAGACCAAGAAAATAAGAGAGAAGTCTTAAATAAAGAAAATCAGAAATGAAAGAGGAGATAATACATCTGATGTCACAAAAATAAAAAAGATCATAAGTTAACTATTATGGACAATTATATACCAACAAACTGTACAGCTTGGAAGAAATGGATAAAGTCTTAAAAGTATACCTCCAATCAAGACTGAATCAAGAAGGGATAGAAAGCCTAAACAGACTAGTAACAAATGAGATTGAATCAGTAATCAAAAACCTTCTAACAAAGAAAACCCCAGAACCAGATGGCTTCACGGGTAAATCCTACCAAGCATTTAAAGATAAATCAATACCAATCCTTCTTAAACTATTCCCAAAAATAGAAGAAGAGGGAACATTTCTTTTTATGAGGCCAGTACCAGTACTGTATCACCCTTATACCCAAACCAGGCAAAGATACCATTACCACAGAAAAGAAAACTACAGGCCAATATCCCTGATAAGTATGGATGAAAAAAATCCTCAACAAAGTATTTGAAAACTAAAATCAACTGTACATTGAAAAGATCATATGTCATGACCAAGTGGGCTTTATCCCTAGGATGCAAGGATGGTCCAACATATGCCAATCAATCAATGTGATACAACACAGTAACAGAATAAATGGACAAAAATAACATAATCATTTCAATAGATGCAGAAAAAAGTACTTACAAAATTTAACATCCCTTCATGATAAAACCTCTTAACAAACTAAGTGTAGAAGGAACTTATGCAACACAATAAAGGCCACATATAAAAACCCACTGCTAATATTATCCTCAATGATGAAAACTTGAAAGCTTTTCCTTTAAGATCTGGAACAAAGCAAGGATGCCCACTCTCACTACTCCTATCCAACATAGTCCTGGAAGTCCTAGCCAGAGAAATTAGGCAAGAAAAAGTAATAAAAGTCATCCTAATTAGAAAGAAAGAAGTTAAATTGTGTTTACAGATGACATAAACTTATATGTAGGAAACCTGGAAGACTCCACAAAAAAAACTGGTAAAACTAATTAAAGAATTCAGTGAAGTTGCAGGACATAAAATCAATGTGCAAAAATCAGTCATGGTTCTATACACTCACAATGAACTACCTAAAAAAATTAAGAAAACAATTCCACTTGCAATGCCATCAAAAAGAATAAAATATTTTGAAATAAACTTAGTGACAAATATGAAAGACTCGTGCAATGAAAACTAGAAAACACTGATGAAAGAAATAAAGTAAACACAAAAAAATGGAAAGATATCTTGTGTTCACATATAGAAATAATTAATATTGTTAAAATGCCCATACTATACAAATCTGTCTATAGATTCAGTGAAATCGCTATCAAAATCCCAATGGCATTTTTTACAGAAATAGAAAAGACAATGTTAACATTCATATGGAAGTACAAAAGACTCTGAATAACCAAAGTTATTTTGAACACGAAGAACAAAGATGGAAGTATCATATTTCCTGATTTTAAAATATATTACAAAGCTGCAGTAATCAGTACAGTATGGTATTGGCATAAACACAGACATGCAGACCAATGAAACAGAATAGAGAGCCCAGGAATAAACCCATGAATATATGACCAACTGGTCTTCAACAAGGGTGGCAAGAATACACAATGGACAAAAGATAGTCTCTTCAATAAATGATATTGGGAAAACTGGATATCCACATGCAGAAATATAAAATTGGACTTTTATCTTACACCATGCACAAAAGCCAACCCAACAGGACTATCAGGTAGTTACTATCATTCTTTCCCATTTTATTATAAGGAAACTCAAAGCCAGAGAGGTTAAATGCCTCATCTTTGGTCACAAAAATAGCAAATGATGGAGCAGAAATTTGAATCCTGGCAGTTTGACTCCAGATACCCCTTTGTTTGGGGTTAGTGCTTTATAATTTCTTAGAGACATTGTATGATGTAATGCAAAAGGCATGGCTTTATGTATAGACAGCCCTGAATTTAAATCCCAATTCCATACTTAGTGGCTGAGTGTCTTTGAGTTTATTATTTAATCTTTCTAGGCTTTAGTTTCCTCCTCTGTAAAATGGAGCTGCTATGATGCTTAAATAAAATAATCCATATTAATGCTCCACCTGACAACTACTAAATATTCAAAAATGCTACTTTATTTCCCTTAGAGCTCCTGGCTTATCCATTCCAGCACCTTATATAGGTCTCCCAAAGTGGCCCTTACTTGTGCTGGGAATGACACCACAGTCATGCTGCTAGGCTGCCATTGCTCCAATTGATGCTTCTCAGAAATGGGGCTTTGGCCCAAGTTCCAGGAGTTTTGTTTCTCTTCGATCAGAGGTAAATTTATCCAGACATCCTCCTTTTAAGTACCAAGGGCTGCATCTGTTTTAGACCAAAAATAATACCTTGTGATTGGAAATGCTTCAGTAACATTATTTGTGTGTTTTATTGAAGCAGAGGTTACAATTATTAGCGACACCAGGAATTTCAGACATTTAAACACAGTCTTGACTTCTCCAGAGCAAACCACATCCCTGTGCAATTAGTTTATCTAAATACCTTCCATCCAAGCCCTAAACTAGAGCCAGGCTTTGTAGGTGGTGGTCCCTTTGAGGACCGACTCTCCACCGTGCTGTCCATGGCAGGCAGACAAACCTGGAACTCTGCTGAGGGCTGCAGTAAAGGTGACTTGGGACTATTAGCAAGTAATTTGCTACTTGGCTTGGGTCACTTCCTAGTCACTGCCAATCTGGCTAGGTTATCCCAACTGCCTGTTTGAAGCTGACCTTAAGGATTTCAAAGAATTAAAAACAGCATTTTCCTTTGCTGAGAATTCATTCCTTTTATCACATGATCTCTTTATAGTATCCATTTCAGCCAATCTCTTATAACCCAACATCTGCTCAAGAGAAGGAAACAAAAACAAAAAAACAGCCTATCCTTTAAAGTCTCAAAATCTTACCTCTACTCATGGGCTCAGCACACTTTTTTGTTGTCATTTTGGTATATTTGTTTTACTAAAACAATAATTTTAAATAAAAACCATAATTCCTTTTAAATTTGAGGTAGGTGATCAGAATGGATGGGCATATTGTGTTACTAGAGAAGGTGAGTTAGGTTACTTTTGAAATGAGAATACCTCACTTAGTCCTCATAACTATTGGTATGTATGTATTATGATATCCACTTACAGATGAGGAATCAAGACTTGCAGAGAGCAAGCCATTTGTACATGATCATATATGGGTGGTAGGGCCAGGAGTTGAACCAGGGTCTATGTCATTCAAAGCCTATAGTTTTCCAGCTACTTTTTGCTTAAATTTATAGGAGAGGCAAAAGAGTAATTCTTTCAGCTTTAACCTCATCCCCAAACATGTCACCATATTGACAGACTCTGACAGGCTAATGTTCATTGTTGTTTTACATCTATCTATTCTTACTTAAATACTAAACATTTAATTGGGCCAATCTACAAGCTGCTAACATAATTGCATTCAGCAGGAAGTTGTGGAGTGTTCCATACACTGCATTGGGAGATATGAAAAACATTTTCAGGAGCCAGGCAGAAGATGGGAGCTGCTGAAGATGTTTAAGCAGGGGTGTAGTGTTAACCTATTTGAGGTTTGGGAAGTTGATTGACAGTAGTGTGGAGAGTAGATTAGAAAAAGGACTGAAGGTAGGTCAGTTCCAAAGGCATTTTGCTGTCCAGGCAAGAAATCATGAGGGTCTGGTCAATACTTTCTCACACCAAAATTAAAGGAAAATACCTTAGACTAACCCCTTCAGTGAGTTAATGTGTTGGGTGGGGTTTCTTAGTAAACAGTCCTAATGGAGTCTCTCTCTTTTGCTGCCTCTCTCACTCCAGCATCTGGGGAGGGAGCAGTTTAGTTTTGAAGTACTGCTTCCTTTTTTAAGGCCTAACTTATCTGGTGATGGAGGCAGAAATTTTATGTTGGGGAAAAAGGGAACAGTTACAGACTGTTGGGGGAATTGTAAATTAGTTCAACCATTGTGGAAAAATAGTGTGATGATTCCCCAAAGACCTAAAACGAGAACTACTGTTTGAACCAGCAGTCCCATTACTGGGTACATACCCAAAGGAATATAAATTGTTCTATCAAAGACACATGCATGTGTATGTTCATTGCAGCACTATTCATAATAGCAAAGACATGGAATCAATCTAAATGCTCATCAATGGTAGACTGGATAAAGAAATGTGATATCTATACACCATAGAATACTATGCAGCCATAAAAAAGAATGAGATCATGTCCTTTGTAGAAACATGGATTGAGCTAGAGGCCATTATCCTTAGCAAACTGATGTAGGAAGAGAAAAGCAAATACTGTGTGTTTTCACTTATAAGTAGGAGCTAAACGATGAGAACACATGGACACATAGAGGGGAAGAACAGACAGGGCCTGTCGGAGAGTGGAGGGTGGAAGGAGGGAGAGGATCAGGAAAAATAACTAGTGGGTACTAGGCTTAGTACCTGGGTGACAAAATAATCTGTACAACAAACCGCTATGACACAAGTGTACCTACATAACAAACCTGCACATGTATCCCTGAACTTAGAATAAAAGTAAAAAAAAAAAAAAAAAGAAATTTCATGTTGGATTACTAGGAGCTGCATCAGTGAGAGCTGAGGCCCCACGGATGAAACAACATGACCTACTGAGAACCGTGCAGCTCAAATTGCTGAAACAGAAGAAAAAGAAGAGGCTTGCTGAGAGGTGAAACAATGTCTAGATCACAAATGCTCTTATAGGTCATACTGCAGAGACTCAGCCATATCTCTTGAGACAATAAGGAGCCACGAAGAGGTGTAAGCCAAGCTGGTGGAGAGGTGGGGTAACTTGTGCACTATCTCATTTCATAAAGATCACCCAGGCAAAACTGGAGTCAGGGCAACCACTGAGAGACTATTGCAATAATCCTTGTGAGAATAATGAAAGCCTGAACGGAATTAGTGGCTGTAGTGAAGGGGAGGAGAGTATAGAAGTGAGAGATGTTAAAGACTTGGAATCCACTAGCCTTGATTATTGATTGGATGTGGTGTGGTAGGTGAAATTTGAAAGGAGTGCTGGGATGTCTCCAGATTACTGAATTGAATGACGACAAACACATGGCGCTCTTCACTGAGATGGAGGACACAGGCTGCCCTCCAAAGTGCTGTCAATGAAGGGGCACTGATAGAAGTGATTCCTGAAGCCTCTTGCCAGGCTGTGTCTTGACAATGGGAGGAGCTAGTGTGGGAGGATGGTCAGGAGCTAGGTTTGGGACTGTTGCATTTGAGAGTCTGTGGGACACCCAAGTAGAGCTAAAGGTCTCAGAGGTAGTTAGGTAGAAGGAGCTCAATCTCATGGGACAGCCTCAGGGTGAAGAGCATCTGAGCGCAGGTTTCAGCTGGAGAAAAAAGAATGGATGATGAGATTGGCAGAAAGAAAGAAGAAAAATAAACCCAGTGACTAGTAGCTGACTTTAGAAGGAAGCATGTAAATTCTCACCAGCCTGCCTTCTGAAAATCACTCCTTTGGCAGGTGGGGCATGTACAATGAATCTTAAGTTCCAACAACAGGAATTGTGCTCAACTCTCAGGTGCCTGGATCATTCATTCACTCTTCATTGCAACTTATTTTTTTAAATTCTAAATCTTTAACCAAAACGTACCAAAAATAATTTAAAATATTTAAAAATCTTTATTATTCTTGTAATTCAATTTCACTCTATCCTTTCTGTCACAACCTCTGTACAAAGTTTAGAAGCCATGTCATAAGACATCTGGTGCTTTATTCCAGGTGTCATTCATTCATTCATTCATTCATCCTTTTTTGCATTTATTTGTCCAGTTTGGCCACTAAATATTTACTGAGCACAGTGACAGTGACAAGACCATTAACCTCATGGAGTTTACATGATAGTGGAGGGAGATAGCCAGAAAACATGGAAACAAATCAGGAAGAAAATTTCAACATATCCACTGAAACCTTGCCATAAACTTATATTCTCTCATGAATGTAATTTAAAAGAAAAAATTATTAGTAAAATTCTGACATATATGCAAGTAGTAATGGATTTCTGGGCCATTTAAAGCATATTTCCATTGTTAAATTTTCTAGAATCTGTTTACAGCTCCAGTAAATACTCAGGTGTCTTTCATTTTTTGGTTATGGTTTTTGAAAAAATTCCCTCTGCCTCCTTCCCTATTAACTCCTCCCTATTGCCTCTGGATCTGGAAAATGAGAAAACAAGTTATCACATTGCAACATTCCCTCAGACACTCCCTCCATTGTGGGAGAGAGAGATGCTCCTGGCATGTTGATGGAATCCACTTGTGTGTGAAAACACTCTTGCTCCCCAGGAATGCCCTCCTTGGAGCAGTGAGAGTCCATAAGGTGGAATGGACTTGATTTGCTCACCCGGCTATATTTAGGCAATTTCTCCCTTAGTGGTACCCAAAAGAAGTCCTGTGAAAACAAGCCTCTGCAAATCACAGAGCCAGGTGATCATGCATTGAGGCAGTCGGGCCAGTGAAAACTGTGCTTGATGAATGAATAATTTGAGAGTTTCTTTATAAAAGTGACGGGTTTTTAAATGGCTACCATATGGGGGCAGGCAGGTGGCTGGCAAAGGTTTCTGTCCTGCTTTTGCTAGACAGGCTGCCCTCCAGCGTGCTGTCAATGAAGGGCACCGATACAAGTGATTCCTGAAGCCTCTTGCCAGGCTGTGTCTTGACAGGGGACACTCCTGCCTGAGCAGGCGGCAGGTGCTGGACCGCGCTGAGCCCCGAGCTCGCCCGCAGTTATGCTGTCAGCCTCTCATGGCTCTAATGCTTCGTGACAACTGCCTACCTGGAGTGTGATAATGGCAGAAAACCTCTGCAAAATTGATGGGGGATTTCACACAGAAGAGTGGCTTCTTATGTTATGGGAGGCAGAACACCCTGGTTCTCTTTGCCATTGGGAGACAGAAGGTTAGGGTCAGGACCTGGGCAATGGTGTAGATTTTAAATCCAAATTTGCAGTTGACTTGACCTCCTCCCTGGCTCTGCATGTCACATACATTTGTTTTCTCTTGAATGCGTGAGCTTCGGCTGCTCTTAAAAAATGTTACCAAAAGATTATCTTTGAACTGGATTCTACATGACATTAAGCAACATAGAAAGTTGACAAGAAACATAATGAGTCAATGCTTCCACTGCAGATCAAATAGGATAAAATTCCACATTGTCTTTGGTTGCCTGGATCAAGCTGAATGTTTTGCGTGAATTATACAGCTGATTAAAGCTTATTCAGAGGTCCATAGCCAACCATTTATGCTGTGCTGCTTAACATCCCCCCTCGACACAGATCAAAAACACATTTTTATCCCAAACCTCTGTCATTGGCATTTGGCTCATCAGAATTATTAAAACTAAATTAAGTTTGCCTAGTTTTATTTCCTTGACTTCAGGAATGAAAAAGATACAGGTATCTTAAGAGACCAAGAAGATTCTAAGTGGTAATCAGAGAAATAAAATATTGAACCCTATCTAACAGAAACTCACATGAAATAATGCATGGAAAGTTTGTATCAAGATGCCTCAATTATCATTAGCTTTCATAATTTTTATTCTAAAATTATTTAATTGATAGGACTTTTGACATTTCTGACATTGTTCAGATGCTGATCGTATTTTCTCTTCTTTTCATCTTTTGACTGTAGAGTTAGGAAAGAGACAGCAAAATGGTCCATTTGTGTATATATCTCTGTTAGAATCTAGTGGAGCAACGGTGTGAATGTGTGGGGAGTGCTTAAAAATGGGCACACCAGGAAACAGCCCTCTGTCGTGTCTTGTGGGTGTACTGTTCTCTGAAACATGAAAATCTTCAGGCTATTTTTAATATCTACTTGATAGAAATACTTTGTTATTCTACCATAAAGTTGAAAATGAATTATAATAAAAACATATGCCTTGAGTAAACATTTTAAAGTAAAAAATTCCCACTTCTTTCCTCTCACTGGAAATTCTTGGCGTTCCAGAACTGTCTATGCCACGGTCCTTGTTATAGCATCTGTTAGGGAATCATTTTCAAATAAGCAGCCGTGAGCCCATTTTGAAGGCAAAGGTATTTTAAAAAGCTGAAAAAAAAAAAAAGCAATGATATCCTGGATATAAAAAATTCCCTATAGTGTTCACAGCTTTTGTACTTATTTTATTTAACAAACATTTTTATAGCATTTATTATATGCCAGATACTATTCTAAGCAGTTTTCAAATATTGATTCATCTTCACAAAGCTATATGGTAGGTAGTATTATTAACTGCCTTTTTCAGATGAGGAAACTAAGGCAATGAAAGAATACGTGATGCATTCTGGAGTCTATGTTCTTAATCACCACGCTTCCTCCATATTCAGTGTTGCAATGCCAGTCATGATATATTTCAAAGAGGACGTTGAGCTTTGAGGCTAATTTTTCCCATATGAGTTTGGGTGTCTTATAGGGTATCTTATTAAACTTCAGAGAAATTTTAATTTTATAGTTTTTTTCTGAAAAATTATTCTTAATTGGTTATTTTAACTTTGAGGATTTCAACTTTTCTAAATGTAAGAAATATTTCTTTAATATGAGGGAGTTGTTTTATGCCTTGTCTACCCTCATTCCCTCAGATAATTTTAAATTAATTAAATAATGGAAAATGGTAGCCTCGACGCATGCCCGTAGCTGTCATCTACCTCCGGGCAAACCCTGCAGGATATACTCAGGTTGTATGAAACAATCTCCTGAGGTCTGGGATCCTTAAGAAGTGCAGGAATTTGGGGGAGGAGAGTTGCTGGTACAGGGGGCCAATGTTTCCAGTGCCACTGCCAGAGCCTGGGGAGGAGAAAGCCAATCCTGCAGTTGCTGGCTGAGGCTCTAGCTCTCAGTGCAGAGGTCCTGGCTGGCTGTGGGCATTTCATGGCTAGCCTCCCAAAGAAGAAATGCCAGTCTCATCTCTCACAGCTGGCCAGTCTAGCACTGCCCAGGCTCCAGCTACATGGCACTAGGAGCAGGCAAAGAAATCCCAATTACTTGAGGAAGAGAGACCAATCTGCCATGTATGGGGAAGATGTAATAAAAGTAAAAGAGATTTTGAAAAACAAACAAAAACCAAGAAAGAATTTAGAATGCTTTAGCAACGTTTTAGGAAATGATGAAAACAATAAAACAACAATTTCCAAATTAAAATAGTTTACCAGTAGAAGGGAAAAAGGAGAATCCAACTACTGAAATATGAAATAAATAATCCATAAGATGAAATGGGGGAACAGTTGCAAACACATATCAAAGAAATGAAGCAAAAGAAAGAAAAATCACGAGTGAAAAGATGCAATAAGAGACAAGGAAGATAAATTCTAGAGTTCCAATAAGCAAACAATGACCATTACTAACAGAGAAAAAGGAAGAATAGAAATGAAGTAATAAATACAAGTGTGTGCACATATGTATACTTGTAAATGTGCATGCATGTGTATGTACATGTGTGTGAATAAATCCCTGAGCCAAGGAAACACTTGAATTTTCAGATTGAAAGGGCTCACCAAATCTCAGGAAGGATTAAAATTAAAAATGTTCTCAAGCAAACATACCTCCCCTGCATTTTTATCTATTTTAGATGGGTACACTAAAGGAGGAAGACTGTTTTTTCTGCTTTGCAAAGAAAAAATACAGTCAGTTCCAGCGCAAAGCACGTTTTTCATGAGGTGGGATTGCAACAATGAACAAGACAGATCAGTCTTTTCCTCGGAGTCCAATGGGGGAAACCATTAAGTATTAAAATGCTGTGTTAGACACACAGCAATAGAAGGAGCCCAGGCAGCTGTGGGTACATAGGTGAGGACCACCTAACTCAGGCTGGAGGAAGTACAGTCTGCATCGAGACCTAGCAGAGGAGTGTGGGTTAGCCAGGAGGAAAGAAGAAAGTAATCCAGGAGAGGCAAGGGAGAGCATGTTTGAAGAAACCTTGGTGGCAAGATTCAGGGAAAGCAGTTGGGAGTGGGAAGGCAGAGACGGACAAAGTAGGGAGTTAAGCTGGAGCCAGATCAATTATTGCATGCCTTCTCTCTTTTGGGCACCATACTAGATGCTTTCATCCTCATGCTGACCATAAGTTGTTGGTACAGCCCCATTTTTCAGATAAGGAAATTGAGGCAAAGAGAGGTTAACTAACTTGCACAAGGTCACCCAGTTACTTAAATGGTGGTGCCAGGCAGTCTGGCTCCAGAGCCCACACCCTAAGAATGCTGACAAAGGAAGGATTTTATTTTTTAGTACTGCTTGACCTTAGGAACCGTATCTAGTGGTTTCAGACATAAGAGGATAGTCTTGGCTAAGCCACCCTCACGCAGCCCCGATGCAGTAGCTGACACACATGCCCGCCTGTTGCATTTGTGGACTTATCTGAGTGCTCTTAAACCATGGGTAAATGATCCCCAGGCTGTCTTTAAGATAATTAGAAACAAATGGAAAATAGTTATCCTGTATTATCAACAGCATATCAGCAAAACTTGTGTCTTAAAATGTGCATTCAATTTCTAATATTAAAAAACGTAGTTAAAGCCATATGTTGGATATTATCACGCATCTTTGTAAAATTAGTAGGGGACCCATTTGAATAACCATTTTGTTTAGATCAAACTTACTGGAGTTTTTTTTTTTTTTAAGTTTTCCCCCTCCTTTGCCTCTGACCTCTCTGCAAATCTGTTATGAGAAAAACTGTGTGTTTGTGTGTATACGAATGTGTGACCGTGCATACATGGGTGCCTGCAATGGGGATGAATTGTCAAAAAACAGAGTCTTAGGTTTGGAAAATTGTTATTTAGAGAGGTGGAGATAGGGTGAGAAAATCAGCAATTGTTCAAAGAGAATATAAGTTGCTGATAATATATGATGGAACCAAAAGGACTCTTCTTTTCCTTTTATTTTGAGTTTTTCTTTTCTTTCTTTTTTAGGTCTACAACTTTAGTGTGGGTTGGGGGCAGTGCTGATCTGCTTCATCTAATCTTCCAGTTATTCTTCTGAAAGCCTAATGACCATATCACATAGCTCTAGAAGGAAGCCTTTCAAAAATGCCCAATCAATGCTTGGGAAACTTTAATCATTGTTGTTTTGCTAATTTCCCCTTTTAAAGTAATCATAATTAAGTAAACTCTGAGTAGAATGGATTTCATGAGATGAGCAGTCCTCAAAAGATATGCCTTCAAAATTTCCTTCTTCTTATGGAGAATGAGAATCATAAAAAGGGTTACCTTAGAACATTTGGGAATACAAAATGCCAAAACAACCATTTTGTACCAACAGTGTACCCTCTACGTGTTATGCAGACATGTATTCACTGGGGTCTTACTGAGTGCTGGGGAAAAATACATTCATATCATCAACCAGAATTTCAGAAGAGAACAGTCCTGTGGATTCCTGAAAATTAAAAAAAAAATACATTTTCTAACAAATTAGTTGAATTTCCATAGAAGTCTACAAGAAAAGAAATAGACAGCTATTGTTAAAAAAAAAAGGATAAAAGCATATTTCTGATCACTAAAACTGAAAGACCTTTGTAAAACATAGAGTTTAGTCAAGGTAAGAAAAACAAAAATCAGGAATAAACATGAAATCAGTTGATTTAATCTGCCTTAAGTAAAATTGAATAACAACAAAATCTCTTGATTGTAGGAGCTGAATCAGCAAATAGAAGAAAAATCCCCCAAAGAATCAACCCTATATTTACAACCCACTTGAGGTTTTTCACTCTGACAGACTAGTCACTAAGTATAGATGGTCCTCCCACTGTTGGTTTGTACAACTTTAAATTTGTCTCTTTCTTTGGTCTGGGCCCCAGGATATATTCTAGGTTCAGACTGTGTCACTTTGTGCTTTTTAATTGATGCTTCATCTATAACAAAGAGGCTAAAATTTTCCATGAGAAACTTTCCCACGCAAAAACCTTGTGGACAACTCACCTCATTGCTTAATAGAAGAAAAATAAAAAAGCTGTTGGGATGAAATGCCACTACAGTTGGTAAATTTGTGTGGGTATCTACTTTGTATAAGATGCTCAGTTATGTGCATCAAGATAAACAAGTAATAGCCCTTACCTTTAAGGCTGTGTATATTCTGTTGAGGAACTGAGGTAGGCTAATAATCCAGTTCAAGACAAGCAGAATTAGAAATGGAACAGGGCTAAAAAGACAAAACACAAAGCCTTGTTTGTGCACAAAGGATGGAACAAGAGCAATTCCAGATGAGGGAGTCATGGAAGTAGCCTTTTCCTTAGACCCTGAAGGATAGTGTGTTAGTCGTTTTGTGTTGCTATAAAGAAATGCCTGAGACTGGGTCATTCATAAAAAAAAAAGGAGGTTTCTTTTGGCTCACAGTTCTGCAGGCTGTACAAGAAGCATGGTGTTGGCATCTGCTTCAGGTGACGGTCTCAGGGAGCTTCCAACCATGGTAGATGGAGAAGGGGAAGCAGGCATGTCACATGGCAAGAGAGGGAGAAAGAGAGAGGGAGGGAGAAGGTCACAGAATCTTTAAAACAAGCAGATCTCTTGTGAACTCATTATCATTCACTACTGCAGGGATGGCACCAAGCCATTTGTGAGGGATCCACCCCCATGACCCTAACACCTGCCACTGGGCCCCACCTCCAACAATGGGGATCACATTTTATCATGAGATTTGGGGAAAACAAAACATCCAAACCCTATCAGATGGAGAGGATTTTGAGAGGCAGGGATGGAGACTGGAAATTTCTGAGGGAGGAGAGCACAGGTAAAGACCCATGTGGAGGAGGAAGCTGTTGGGGTTGCACTGTCATGGGTGGGAGAGGCTGGCTGAGGAATAGTGGGTTGGGGCTGTTGGTTCAGAGCCTCTCATGCCAAGCAGAGGTAGTTTTAGTAGAAAATTGAGAGTTGAGTTATAGAGAATGCAGGGCTAGAAAAGGCTATTCTTGGTTTAGAGACAACAGCTCTGTCAAAGCAGCACAGTATATAACAGCCAGAGTGTAATTTTAAAAAGAATGCCATACTTTGCTTGTCCTCCAAAGGTAAATTAAAGGAATTAGATTCATAATACCAACCATCTTTTTCCTACCCTGGTTTCTCGTCTCCTCAATTTCCTCATTTTCAAGCTGTCAGCACTTCCTATCACCACCTGTCCTCCCCATCCCTCCACCCCATTTGGTGCAGATTTTATTCTCTCCTTCTTCACTCCCTCTTAGGCCTAGGTCTTTCATGTAGGCTGTGGCAATTTCTCTCCTGTGTCTCTTCCTTCTTCCCCCAGCCCCTCTGCCCTGTCAATCTCTGCTTATTTTGTGGAGGAAATTTAAACTAGTGGTAGTTCTCTTATGCTCTGTTATGCTTTCAAGTCCAGGGAGCATAAATGAGGATGGAGAAAATGACAATGAAGAAGAAGGGATAGATTGAAAGCCCTTCAGTAGCGGAACAAACAGTAGGACTTAGCAGCAGATTTCACATGAAAAGGAGCAGGAGTCAAAGACAGCATCAGGATTTCAAGAATGGGTGAATGATTGGCAGGTGGACAGAGAACACTGGGAGAGAGAGGGAATTTTGAGAGAAGATGCTGATTTCAGTCTCAGTGGCTGACATATTAATTCTGACATTGATATGAATGAATATTACACATCATAGACTTTTGTGTGTCTGTTTTCTATTGCTTAGAATACTTGAAACTAGGTAATTTATAAAGAAACAATTTTTTTTTACAAAATTATGAAGGCTGAGAGTCCAAGGTTGAGGGGCCACATCTGGTGAGAGCCTTCTTGCTGGTGGGGACTTTCTTTTTTTTTTGTTTTTGTTGTTGTTTTATTTTATTTTATTTTATTTTATTATTATTATACTTTAAGTTTTAGGGTACATGTGCACAATGTGCAGGTTAGTTACATATGTATTCATGTGCCATGCTGGTGTGCTGCACCCATTAACTCGTCATTTAGCATTAGGTATATCTCCTAATGCTATCCCTCCCCCCTGCTGGTGGGGACTTTCTACAGAGTCCTGAGGAGATGCAGGACATCACATGGTGAGAGAGCTGAGTGTGCTAATGTGCTAGCTCAGATCTTTCTTCCTCTTCTTATAAAGCCACCAGTTCCCCTCCCCTGATAACTCCTTAATCTATTAATCCATGAATGAATGAATTCTTCATGAGGACAGAGACTTCATGACCCAATCACACCCCCCCATCAATACTGCCACATTGGGGATTAAATTTTAACATGAGTTTTGGAGAGAACAAACATTCAAGCCATAGCAACTTCCAAGGAGAAAGAATATTTTTCTAAGTAATATTTTTCTATGTTCAGATAAAAATTCGAAAGATAAAGAGACTAAGCATTTAGGATGGGCAAGATTTTAGCAGGTGGCATGATGAGTAAAGATACTGTGAAATGTCATACTAAGGTATTTTGGCTACATGCAATGAGAAGTCATAGAAAAATTTTGAGCTAAGGCATGACTTACAGTTAGACTTTTTTTTAGATGAAATTTTTAAAATATAGGTTGGGAGGAGAAGAGATACACAAAAGGATTTTGTGTAGCAATAAAAATGTGACAGATTACAAAACTTAGTTCAGTAACAGTGGGAATGGAAAGAAAGAAAGAAAGAAAGAAAGAAAGAAAGAAAGAAAGAAAGAAAGAAAGAAAGAAAGAAAGATGAAATATTTTTTAAAGGAGGCAGTGTGCCAGTTAAGAGTGTGGTTCAAGGCTGAGGAAGATCTTGTTCAAGTCCCTTCTCTGATACTTCATCACCATGTGATTTGGGCAAATACAGTGATTTGGTATCTCTTTGAGCTTCAGTTTTCCTCTCTGTGAAATGACTATTAATAGCATACCTATCGCATGGCACTGTTATAAGGATTAAAAACTATAAACTGCACAAAGTTCTTAGCACAATGTCATAAAACTAGTTAAGAATGCTTTTTATTACTAAAAGTACAATCTTCAATGACATAAATATCTTTGAAGAGTAGAATAGTCAACAGGAGCAGGGACCTAATTGAATATGAATGAAAGGAAAGGGGTCACTGATGACAGGTTTTAAACTTGGGTTACTGGAAGTGACCATAGAAGCAAGGAAGTCAGGAGGGGGTACCAAGAATGACAATGAGGCTAGTTTTGCCATGTTAAATGAAGAAGGTGGCCCCACCCTCTGGGCCAGTGATGGCAACGGAAGCTCCACCAGCCTCTGAACTGCCTTTGGAGTCATTCTTCCCTTTTCTTGGAGGTTAACACATATGCGTAGCCAAATAGCTCTATTGGACTGTTTCCTGCCTGTAGGATCCCTGAAGTCACACAGCCTCCCTTTATCTTGTCTTTTCTCTGTACCCTTCAGTCCAAGCTGGCATTATTTATGCTGAGATGGTTGATTGGGTCTACAAGTCACATGCCTAATGTCTCTAGCAAAGGGTGGTTCAGTCATACCCTTGGACTTTTCTCCAGAGTATACCCTTTTTAGTATGAGTAGGCTGGGCATTTTCCAGATCTTCAACTTCTAGTTCCTTTTTGCTTCTTCAATTTATGTCTCTCCTCTTGTATTATATGATAAGCAGCAAGGAGACACCATGCTCCACCTTCAACACTTTGCTTAGAAATCTCTTCAATGAAATATCCAAGTTTGTCACTTACAACTTGTCTCTTCTAATCAACAGAACACAATTTGGTCAAGTTCTTTATCACTTTATGACAAGGATCACCTTTCCTCTAGTTTCCAGTAATGTGTTCCTCATTTCCATTTGAGGCCTCACCAAGAAGCACCTGTAACATTCATATTACCAGCAACATTCTCCTTTAAGGCAATATAGGCTTTTCCTGTCATGTACCTCAAAGCCTTCCAGCTTCTACTCATTACCAAGTCCAAAGCCACTTTCACATTTTGTGGTCACAGCAATGCATCACTTCCTGATACCAAATCTGTATTAATTTGCTAGCACTGTTGTAACAAAGTGTGATTAACTGGGTGGTTTAAGCAATAGAAATGTATTGCCTCCTAGTTTGGGAGGCTAGAAGTCTGAAATCAAGATGTTGGCGGGGTTGGTTCCTTCTGAGGATCATGAGGGAAGGATCTGTTCCAGGCCCCTGTCCTTGGCTTATAGATGGCTATGTTCTCCCTGTGTTTCTTCACAGGGCATTTCCTCTATGTGTATACCTCTCTCTGTGTCCAAATTTCCCTTTTTATAAGAACACCACCAGTCATATTGGATTAGGGCCCACCCTAATGATCTCATTTTAACTTTATTACCTCTGTAAAAGCCCTATCTCCAAATAAGGTCACATTCTGAAGTACTGGGAGTTAGGACTCTAGTATTTTTTTTTGAGAGACACAATTCAGCACATAATAGTGTTCAGAAGGATTTTACAATGAAATTGTTCACATGTGGGGTTTATAAATCAGCCGTGTACTTTCAGATGATTATAGTTTTTGACATTTCTTCTCTGTTTTGATGGGAGCTTTCCAGTCCAGGAGAGAGCGAGCAAAGAGATAACATTATGCCTTTTGTTGATGATAGTAGCTTAACTTGGTGGTGGGGCCAATGAAATGGTAAAACTGATTCATTTTCCAGCCTCACCATATATGGGCCTTTTGGCTCCCAACAAAATGAGCTTCCTTTGATGAACTGCTTTTTCATTTTAGTCTTTTCTCTGCCAGAGTAGAAGCCTTTCCTGAATGAAGCTCTTAATGACACACAGAATTTATATCTCTTAATAGAATTTAATCACAAGACTGTCTAGTGATCTACTTCAGATTCTTTCTGATGCAACCAGCAGTTTTTAGGGCTATTTTAGAGTTTACGTTGGATACGACCTAATAGAAATCACAAAATATCCTTTGTATGATAGAAGAGCAGCTGAGTGCTGTATGATTTTTAAGAAGGCTCTAACCTATAGCAAATTGTTTTTGTGAAATTCCAATGTATTTGCACCCTGGTGATAATATTAGAATTATTAACTTCTAAAGCCTTTTTTTTTGTAAATCACGTCATCATATTGTATGCTCTATGGATGCAAAATATTCAAGTTTTCTGTGCTACCAGTTTAGTTGTTTGTTTTTCCTTTTTTATACCCTCCTTCTTGTCCCCTTTCATTTGATATTTTACTGTGTTGTACTTCCTGTTCTGTGTAAAAATGGGGCACTTGATCAGAAATACTCAAATCTATGTGCATGCACACAGGAAAGAGCCTGCTTATTATCTATGAAATCTGGATCAGATGCTTCCTGATTGTCTGCAACATTTTGTCAGACTCTCTGTGAGTCCTGTCATCTGGCACAGATTCTTCCCCTCATGGAAGGCCTTCCCAAGCCCGTGTCTGGTTTGTCAGCTCCTATCTTCTGACTGACAGAGCCAGCTTACTCTGCGTCGATCGTCACCCCCTTCACCATGCCAAGGAAACAGATGGAATGAAAGAAATAGGAATCAATAAGATGAAAAAAGTTTAATTTCCTTGGTCTTCCCACAGTATGTCACCTTCGTTCCAAAGCCAGAGTTTTTAGAGGGAGGAAATATAGCTCCTTTAAAGAAAATGAGAGGTTTATAAGCCTCTTGGTCGCTTTGGAGTTTGCTTTGCCACAGCTTGACTGTTTTCTTCTTTTCCTTTTTATTTCTTTT
The DNA here is from genome assembly GCF_000001405.40 of Homo sapiens. Lineage (NCBI taxonomy): Eukaryota > Metazoa > Chordata > Mammalia > Primates > Hominidae > Homo > Homo sapiens. The sequence continues at coordinate 199,195,907 of NC_000002.12, read as the reverse complement.
ATAATTACAATGTTTATTCTGAGTATAATTTCCCCCCTCATTCACTTTGTTTTGACTGCATGTTAGTTATCAAGGATGAGAAATATGAAAGAGCCAAAAATCTATGTGTGACTATGTCTAGGTTGTGAAGCATCGTGGAAAGAACACAGACTTTGAAGTCAAACAGTTGATGGTTCAAATCATGGTTCCATTATTTACAGGCTCTGTGATCTTTGGCAATTTGTTTAACCTCTTTGAGTCTCAGTTTTCTCACCTTTAGAAGTGTCAATTTTATTGTGCTATTGTCAAGTTTTGAGGGGAAGTGAATTGGAGCATCTTACACAAGCCTGATACTCTGCCAGTACACTTTAATGGTAGCCATAATTACTATTTACCTGTGGACTTCTGAAACACAGAGACAGATGTACAAGACAATGACCATTAATGGAAAACCATTAAAAAGGTGGTCAGAAGATTTGATACTTTTTCAATTGGAAAAGATAAATTTTTTGGCACAAATTATGAGACTGATAGTAAAGTTTTAGGCACATGCTAAAAGATGTTATAGCTTTTAATGGCCCATGGGATTTTATACTTGCAAACAGTTATTTAACATGTTATTCAGATTATAACCATATAAGCCTAATGCTTCCAGGGGTATGTAAGAAAAAAAAATCTAAGCACATATACACAAACACCAGTTGATTGGCATTCTTGTCATTAAATTCTTTGCAAATATGTAACTAGTTTTGTTAGAACATTTGGTTCACCTAAATAATACCTTAAATGATAGAGAGGACAAGGATGAGTTCCTATCAAAAATAAAAGAAAGGCGGACACTAGTTAAAGCAGTAGGGACAGATCTTAATCTGTAATATACAATTGCATTAGAGAATAAGGTCTATGGTAAACTGAACTCAACTTTGATTTATGTGAAGGTGACTGGGTGTTTTGACAGAAAAATGAGGGAATGGGGAGGAGGAGGAGAATGAGCAGGGGGCTCAGTAGAGTCAGAGAAGTGAGAAATTACAAAGGATCAGTCAGTATAAAGGCCGACTAGACCAGCTATATCTGTTAGCTGGAATTATCTAAGGTAAGATTCTATTCTCCCACAGAGCCTGTGAAGCAGAGGCCCTATCCTTCTACTTTTTAAAGGATTGGGTTTTAGGTCTTTGAGAAAAAGGCACTCTTGAGAAATAGATTAACATACATCTCAAAGGGACAGAGGAAAGATTACAATTTCAAGCCATTTCGAGTAAATGCTCTAAGAAAGGTTGCTATAGTTGAGTATCGGCTAGAAAAAGCAGTAAATTGTTCTTTAAAGGGGACAGGCACTTTAAAGCGGGGCCAGGGTCATCTAGGGATGCAGGCTTGAGCTCTTAAAAACCACACCAGTGTTTGCTTAAGTCTTTAATGTTGGGGCAGAAGGATGGATGAAATAATTTGTGTTGAGAGTCTGTAGTTTCTTTAGGCCCAAGGTTGAGGCCTATAGAGGCCTATTGAGAAGAGGGCTCAGAGGAAGTTGGCTAGAGTTTGGTCAAGGACAAAAATCTTTGTCATTTCAAGGCAAGCAAAAATGTTAATAAACAAAAGCTTATGTATATAAAAATATAATCATTTATTCATGCAGTGAATAATTTTAACTGCCAGTTATGTGCCAGGACTTGTTCTAGGCTCTGTGATGTGTGATACTTGTCTTCACAAAGCTTATAGTCTAGAGGGTGAGAAAAATTAAACAACCCAACCAAACCAAAAAAAACACCACACCATAAATTATAAATAAAATTTATTCTTTACATTTGTGAAAATATTTTAACATATGCCAAAGAGAACCACAATCTATTCCTTTTTTTTTTTGCTTCTTATTTTGGCAGTAATTTTAAAAACCGGTAATATTAAGAGGACTATCAACTTGAACACTCTCGTAGTCTACTGATGGAAGCATACATTGGTTTCAGCATTTCTTGGCTAGTATTTTGGCAGAATATGGGGAGAGACTTTGACATATTCATACCTTTCAGTTCCCATTTCCACTTCTAGAAATCATTCCTAAAGAAGCAGAGATAGATATAGTTATATGTAAAGACATGTATCCCCGTGTTAAAATAGTGAAAAACTAGAGTATAAATGCTCGATATAATGGATTATTAAGTAAGCAAAGTATGTGTATATACATATATGTAATATATGTGTATCTTATATACTTTACTTAATAATCAAATCAAATATATATGTGTAAGAGTCATCATGCATCGCTTAGTGAATGGAAAACATTCTGAAAAATGCATCATTATGAGAATTTGTCATGTATGAACATCATGGAGTGTACTTACACAACCCTAGGTGGTGTAGCCTACTACACACCTAGGCTATATGATGTAGGCTGTTGTTCTAAGCTACAATCTTGTACAGCATGTGACTATGATGAATGCTGTAGGCAAGTATAACACAATGGTAAGTATTTGTGTATCTAAACATAGAAAAGATGCAGTAAAAATATTATAATCTTATGAGACCATCATCATATACACAGTCTGTCATTGACCGAAACATCTTATGTGGTGCATGACTATAAATATAGTTTGTGTGTGTATATGTGTGGAATAGACTTAGCCTATACTGAAGAGCCCTGTAAGAAACAGCTTTTTGAATCTCATGGTCAAATCTACCATAAGATTGGTACATGTCCTTCGTTGCATGTTTATAAAGACCATCTGAAAAAAATATAAGGAACATAAGGAAAAGCTATGTTTTGTTGAGAAATTTGTTTGTTTGTCCCCCTTCCTCAATGGCCACTTAAGTAAATTGTGTAACTGAGCAATCTTACTGCTTTGCATTAGATGCTAAAACTGTGACAGGCTGGTGGCAGGTATGAACATTGTCATCATCTGCCTTTTGATTTTAAAAAAATTAGTTTTATTTCAATCCCCTTTTCTATCCTTGTTATTTTCTTTTAAATTCTCAACAGTTTTTAATTTATTTTGCTATAACTGTATTTCATTGTAAACCACTTTAAATCCTTTCTGGAACAAAGTAGGGTATAAATAAATTATAGAGGATATCCCTGAAAAGAAATTTAGCAAAATTTTATTGTAGGGTTTTTTTTTTTGTGTGTGTGTGTGTGTGTGGAGGATGTTAAAGTGCTTTTAATTATCTTTAAATTTTTCCAAGTTATTTCTATAAGAAACATGTGTTTTCAAAGATTGTTTCATAAATGAAACTCACTGTCTGCTCAAAGTGCTTTGTAAACTGTAAAATGTAATAAAAATAAAAGAGATTTCTATTTTTGTGACTAAAATTATTGGTTATATGTTTAGTGGACTGCATGTAAAGTCACACGAATTTAGGCATCTGCTTAACTTATACTCAGGCTTTGACTTGGCATGTACATATTTTGAAGGAAGAGTGTAATTCCAATACTATTATCATTAAACATCTACTTTGTGTTCCTCAGATATACAATATTGCATGGAATTAAAAGTAGAAGCAGCTGGGCATGGTGGTTCATGCCTGTAATCCCAGCACTTTGGGAAGCCGAGGCAGGTGGATCACGAGGTCAGGAGATCAAGACCATCCTGGTAACGTGGTGAAACCCCGTCTCTACTAAAAAATAAAAAAAAAAAAAAAATTAGCTAGGCATGGTGGCATGTGCCTGTAATCCCAGCTACTTGGGAGGCTGAGGCAGGAGAATCGCTTGAACCAGGGAGCCGGAGGTTGCAGTGAGCTGAGATCCCGCCACTGCACTGCAGCCTGGTGACAGAGCGAGACTCCATCTCAAAAAAAAAAAAAAAAAAAAAAAAAAGTAGAAGCAAACTAGATGTGGTAAAATACATTCTACATACACTTAAACTGCATCTGGGTGAACTCAGACTGCTAGAAAGTCAGTCTGATAAACTGGATTTTCTTTCTTTCTTTCTCCCTTTCTTTTTAAAAAAAAGTTGTTTCTCTAGTTGGATACTTCAAGGATTTCAGAGTGCTGAAGAGATGTATCAGAATATTACCTGCCCTTTGTGATGTCTGTAGCATCACAAATTCTTCCTGCTGAGACCACTAATTAAAGGGAGCCATCCTGTGTACGTAAACAGGCTCACTTGTCTCAATCCCTTGTAAAACTGCCATCTCAAAGTTTCCTTTTCTCTCAAAAGCCTCTGCCTCGCTGCAACATTCTGCTCTTTGAGTCTTTCTTTTGATGCCGTTTGGTCTCCACGTTGTATCTTGTGGCTATACCATGAATAGCTATTCTTTGAACCTCTTCCTTAGCTGCTGATGGCTCAGCTGTGCACAATTTAGGGTTGTGCAGGATATTAAAGGGTGGGCAGCGTCTTTACAGTGATTCATGGACCTTGTCATAAGTAACAATAAATGTGCGAGGAGGGAGTTAGGAGTCGAGTACCGCAGGAATCTTCACTGGGTGGCAGGTGTTAAGAGGCCTGAGGAGGTGGATGAGGATTTTTATTATTATCTTACTAGGCTTTATGTTGGGTGGTTGAGCTTCCATAGAAATGTTCACAATGCTCTTATTGCTTGAATCAAGGTTAAATAGACAAATGCATAGTAATGTCCCTGGCCTCTTAGTTAAAGCTCTCCTTAGGTCCTTTCTAACAACCAGCCCATAGAACAATATGATTTCCCTGGGTTTATAATGGTCAATAGCTATTGAATTCATGTAAGAATTTCAATTGGGATATGGTCGGCCAAATATTTACAGTATATGCTGAAAAGAATTATTTACATATTTCTTTTGATCTTCAAATATATGTGTATGTGTGTATATATATATATATATATTCTTTATTTTTTATTTTTCAGGGAGCTTTCTGGCAAAAATTGGAAAGCCTGCTAAACAAATTTTAAAAGAGCGGTAACACTATACACACACACACACACACATATATAATAGTAAAAATTAAAATAACATAGTCTCTACTAAAATAGAATAATAGAAAACTACCAATAAAAAACCCCAGAAGACTTGACTTGTATATAAAAAAGAAGAAAAAAGTTAAAAAGGTATCATCAGACTTTGCAAGATGTCGATACTAATTTGTCAAATGGAGGATGTGAAAGAAGGAGCTCAAACTAACAATTAAAATGGGGAAGAGTTGGCAAAATTGAAGTTTTTTCTATTAAAAAACAAAACAGTTTAAAGAGGAAGATGCAATCATTCGTAGGCTTCAGTGAGCTTGTCACATTGCAGGCATCCCAGACATGTGTAAATCCATTTATTTAAATAAATTTGTTTGCTACTACTGTTTGCTAGGCACCACAAGAGGTGTGTGAGAATGCAGAGATGAATCGTGCATATAACCTGTTTTAAGAAAGCTGTCAGTGCTGGGTGCGGTGGCTCACGCCTGTAATCCCAGCACTCTGGGAAGCTGAGGTGGGAAGACTGTTTGAGCCCAGGTGTTCAAGATCATAGTTAGAGCTCATCTGTATTAAAATAAATAATAAAAATAAATAAATAAATAAATAAAATAAGCATGTAAAATACTTAGAATTGTAACTAGCAATTAGTGAGAGCTCAATATGTGTTAGCCAACACTGTGATTTCTCCAGTGGTTGCACAGAAATGTGACAGGAGGCGAGTGAATCACAAGGTCAGGGTATCGAGACCATCCTGGCTAACATGGCAAAACCCCGTCTTTACTAAAAATACAAAAAATTAGCCAGGCATGGTGGCAGGCCCCTGTAGTCCCAGTACTCTGGAGGGTGAGGCAAGAGAATCGCTTGAACCTCGGAGGTGGAGGTTGCAGTGAGCCAAGATTGTGCCACTGCATTCCAGCCTGGGCAACAGAGCAAGACTTCCACCTCAAGAAAAAAAAAAAAGAAAAGAAAAATAAAAGAAATGTGACACTTGTCACAAGAGACTTTGAGAAGTGTAGTCTTTCTTTGGGTAGCCATGTGTACAACTCAAGTTATGGTTTTCTTACCAAAGAAGAGGAGAATGGATATTGGAGGCAGCTAGCAGTCTATGCCACCCAAGAAAACATTTTATTTAATTCAGCCAGTCTTCATGGCTCTTACTGGACATAGTGCTGGTTGTTTGTTTCTCCTCCAAATTGACACCCACACCATAGCACAACAGTTTTATGTGCTCTGCTAGGCAAAGAATGACATGGAGTTATTGCCTCTCTGTCTGGGCACAATGTGTCTCAATGTGTCTAATTACGTAGCCCATTTGTTTCCCTGACATCTAGTTCAAGGATCCTAGAGTAAGAGACAGTAAATGCATGTTGAATAATTTAATGAATTCTTGAAGCCTAATATTTTACCTTGTTTATTTTGTAAATTCAAAATATGCTGGGAAGTCTTCCAGGCTATGTGAAAAAAAAAAGTGGACCACAGCTCATGGCTAAAATGAGGTTGGTGAGCTCTTTTAATCTCTGCTGGCTGAGGTCCCGAGCAGCATGATCATCTAAGATTTGGAAGTGTCAGATGCTACAGTAGAATGGACAGTTTCTGAGTTAGCAGTCCTAGTACAGGAGAAGTGGGGTGGTTGTGATGATTAATACTGAGTGTCAACTTGATTGGACTGAAGGATGCAAAGTATTAATCCTGGGTGCTTCTGTGAGGGTGTTGCCAAAGGAAATTAACATTTGCATCAATGGGCTGGGGCAGGCAGACCCACCCTTAATCTGGATGAGCACCATCTAATCAGGTGCCAGTGAATATAAAGTAGGCAGAAGAATGTGAAAAGGCGAGACTGGCTTAGTCTCCCAGCCTACATCTTTCTCCCGTGCTGGATGCTTCCTGTCATCGAACATCAGACTCCAATCTTCAGTTTTGAGATTTAGACTGGCTCTCCTTGCCTCTCAAGCTTGCAGACAGCCTATTGTGGGACCTTGTGATCATGTAAGTTAATACTTACTAACCTCCCCTTTATGTGTGTGTGTGTGTGTGTGTGTGTGTATATATATATATATATATATATATATATCCTATTAATTCTGTTACTCTAGAAAACCCTAATACAGTAGTATTATGAGCTAAATTGTGCCCCTTCAAAATTCATATGTTGAAGTCCTAATCCCCAGTACCTCAGAACATAACTATTTAGAGACAGCTCCTTTAAAGAGGTAATTAGACTAAAATGAGGTCTTTAGAGTGGGCCCTAAGATGACTGGTGTTCTTAAATATAAGAAAAGGAGATTAGGACAAAGATGTACAGAAGGAAGATAATTTTAAGACACAAGAAGACAGCTATCAATAAGCCAATGAGAGGGCTCTCAGAAGAAACCAGCTCTGTTGACTCCTTGATCTCAGACTTCTTGTTTCCAGAATTGTGAGGAAAGAAATTTCTGTTGTTTAAACCACCCAGCCTGTGGTACTTTGTTGCAGTTGCCCTAGAAAATGAATACAGGGGTTTTCTTAAAGTAGCATGGTAAAGCAGAGACCAGGTTGGAGATCATCTTATGACACGATAGGGTGTGCTCCAAGAGGGTATTTGATCAAGGGCTTTGCTACTAGCCCCCTGGTGTGCTTGGACTAGTGCCGTCACTTCCTAACTGGTTTTCCTGTTTTCATTCTTTTTCTCTTTTCTTTTCTTTTTTTTCTTTAAATAACAGCTTCATTGAGATGCAATTCACTTACCATAAAATTGACCCTGTGAAAGTATAAAATTAATAATTTTTGGTATATTCTCAGAGTTGTACAACAATCACTACAATTAATTTTAGGACATTCTTACCACCTCCCTCTCCAAATCCATACCCATTAGCAGATTCCCCATTTCCTCCCAACCCTTTCAGTTCCCACCCCCCAGACCCAATCAACCACTAATCTACTTTCTGTCTCTATAGATATGCCTATTAAATAGAAATTGTTCTCCAATACATTCCTGTCCAGATTTTTTAGGACTGGGTTGAGGAAACAGGCACTAACTGGAGCATTTTCTTGGAATAACTGAGACTGTCCTGGAAGGCTCAATAAGCCAAAGAACCTAGAATTGTCATTAGTATTTAAGCTACAGCAGTAGTGCCAAACTGTAGTCAGGTCTAGAAGGTTCGAATTGAACGGAATGTAGTGAAGATGGCCACAAGGGAGACTATCATGCTTGAGAATTCTCTGGCAGGTGATCTTAAGACATAGTCACAAGAGGAGGAAAAAATGATAAAGAGCTAAATAAGTAGATGAAAAAATAAAAAAGAATGACAAGAGAAAGAAAAATAGTAAGTATATGACTAAAGATGGGAAGGGCTTTTTTTTTTTTTTTTTGAAACGGAGTCTCAGCGCTTTGCTCTGTCACCCAGGCTGGAGTGCAGTGGTGTGATCTCAGCTCACTGCAACCTCTGCCTCCTGGGTTCAAGCGATTCTCCTGTCTCAGCCTCCTGAGAACCTGGGATTACAGGCGTGTGCCACCACGCCTGGGTAATTTTTTTTGTATTTTTAGTGGGGACGGGGTTTCACCATGTTGGCTAGGCTGGTCTTGAACCGCTAACCTTGTGACCTGCCCGCCTCGGCCTCCCAAAGCACTAGGATTACAGGTGTGAGCCACCATGCCCAGCCTGGAAGGGCTCTTTTAGCTTATAAGTACTATCTCAAACAGCACTGAGTTTTGTAGTTTGATTGTTTCAAGCCAAGAGAAATTACAGTTTCAATAAGGTTTCCTGTTTTCTAGATTTCTCAGATATGTCTAAACATCCCACTATAAGTAACCACAGAACATCAACCATAGAGTGAATTGTTCCAAGATTCTTGCAGTATTTGGCTTTCAATCACCTTTAAGTGTAGAGTACATTTAAAATTAAATAATCCATGAAGTCATCTAGAAAATAAGAAAACATGTGATTACCATGCATTTATTAGTGAGCTACAGATTCCTTGCTGTTTCAGGCCAGTATGACTACATGTAAGGAAGTCTTTTGTAATAATTCAGCTGTAATAACATGCCTCATTTAGAATGTATTAGGAATATGCTTCTCTCACTGCTGATTTAAAAAAGAAAGAATGTATCAGGAAATTATCATTCATTTGAGTTTATTAGAAAATTTTGAATCAATTACGCCCAATTGCAATTAAATTTCTCCAATTTATCATGCTATACCTTGCATGAGTAGTCAAAGCAGACATAGTATACAAAGTATATAACACAAGGATAGTTTGAGTAATATGGTGGAAAGACTATATCACACTATTGTAAACACCCTGGGATCAAGATCAAATTCTAATGATTTGCACAGCTAAGGGAGTTTGTGGTGTAACACATGGTCTGATTTCCGCTTGTCCTGCATTATGTGTTAGAAATGGTTTGTGAAGGAATTCATCAATTTTGTAGCTTGCTTTATTTAGGCTCTGCACAGAGCATTCTATACTGTATGATTGTTCACTTTGTTTATCTTGTGCAGCTGTTTGCTAGAGAAACATAAGGAGGGGTTTTGAAAACAATTAATTTTTAAAAGAGATTGGGGGTTAGGAATGCTTTGGAGATGTTCGTTAATCTTCTCATTTGAATTTAAAACAGCTTTGAACAGCTAGTTCATTGTTAGGTGTTGTGATTATGAATGGGGCACCTCTGTGTGAAACTACCAAGTTCTTCTTACAAGACCTTCCAAGCAGAAAATAACCTTTTCATTTCCTGTCCTTTACCTCCCAGAAGGGGGGAGGGGATTTGCAAATAAACCCAGCTTCATGAAAACCCAAGAATATATGGTTTAATTGGTTCTTTGAATTGGCCAAATCTAACTACAGGAAGGAGAGTGATCTCTTGACCAAAATATCTGGAGTTCAGATTGCTTTTCTAGAAATTTAAGTGATACGATCATATCCTTTTATTTTAATCTTCAACAGTATTTAATAAGGAAAACATAAAATATAAACAAAGATATAATATAAATATAGAACTAATCCAAACAAATGATAATATTGATGGGAAGATTAGAAATACCATTGTTTAACTGGTCCTCTCATCACATTCTTTCTTTGAATATACCTGCATCATCTAGTTCTCCTGAAGTTCTTCTTTGGAGGTACTTTTTCTTAATGATCTTTCTTCTGAGTCTTACTGTTTATATTGGATTGCAATTTATATTTCATCATCTATTAACTTTATATGTTTATTGAAACTGTAGGGAAAGATCTGAATAAGTATAGTAAATTTTTTTTTTTTTTTTTTTTTGGCAAACTTGATAGATTTGGCACAAGTTACCAGAATTTATAAACATAGCCAAAATGGTCCTTTTAGTGGTCACTCAAAGAGACATTAGTTTTTTGCTTAAAATAGCATGAGGTTTAACATGCACTATAAATGCATAGATACTTTCATGCGCGTCCGTGTGAAGAGACCACCAAACAGGCTTTGTGTGAGCAACATGGCTGTTTATTTCACCTGGGTGCAGGTGGGCTGAGTCCGAAAAGAGAGTCAGCGAAGGGAGATAGGGGTGGGGCCATTTTGTAAGATTTGGGCAGGTAAAGGAAAATTACAGTCAAAGGGGGTTTGTTCTCTGGTGGGCAGGAGTGGGGGTCGCAAGGTGCTCAGTGGGGGAGCTTGATGAGCCAGGAAAAAGACTTTCACAAGGTAATGTCATCATATAAGGCAAGGACCGGCCATTTACACTTCTTTTGTGGTGGAATATCACCAGTTAAGGCAGGGCAGGGCATTTTCATTTCTTTTGTGATTCTTCTGTTACTTCAGGCCATCTCGGCATATACATGCAAGTCACAGGGGATACGATGGCTTGGCTTGGGCTCAGAGGCCTGACATTCCTGCCTTCTTATATTAATAAGAAAAATAAAACAAAATAGTGTTGAAGTGTGGGGGCAGCAAAAATTTTTGGGGGGTAGTATGGAGAGAGAGAATGGGCAACATTTCTCAGGGCTGCTTCGAGCGGGATTGGGGCAGCGTGGGAACCTAGAGTGGGAGAGATTAAACTGAAGGAAGATTTTGTGGTAAGGGGTGATGTTGTGGGGTTGTTAGAAGAAACATTTGTCATGTAGAATTATTGGTGATGGCCTGGATATGGTTTTGTATGAATTGAAAAACTAAATGGAATAAGAGAAGGAGAAAAACAGGTATAAAAGGTCTAAGACTTGGGAGCACCCAGGACATCTGATTAGAGAGTGCCTAAGGAGATTCAGCATAGTCCTGCCAGCAAAGATTATTTATTTACTTCAAGAGTTTAGAGTGGCAGTTTGGGGATAGCACCAGGAGATATCAGCTGTGATGACTTGGAGAAACAGTGTAAACTGGCAGTGTAAACAAGAGCAGGGCATGTATGAGTAGCTGAGAACAGTGAATAGGAGTATGACTAGACAGAAGATAGTAAGGATGATAAGTTTTTTGGGGCACAGTCTAAGTTGCTCTGGTGTCTGGAATGAGACTGAGGCCTAATAAAAAGGAGTGTCTTATTCAGGAGCTTAAATGGGCTGTACCTTGTAGCATTCCGAGGACAGGCCTGAATTCTGAGAAGCGAAAGTGGTAAAAGTATTGTCCAGTCCTTTTTAAGTTGGTGGCTAAGCTTGGTGAGGTGTGTTTTTAAAAGACCATTAGTCTGTTCTACTTTTCCTGAAGACTGAGGACTGTAAGGGATATAAAGGTTTCACTGAATACTAACAGCCTGAAAAACTGCTTGGCTGATTTGACTAATAAAGGCTGGTCTGTTATCAGACTGTACAGAGGTGGGAAGGCTAAACTGAGGAATTATGTCTGACAGAAGGGAAGAAATGACTGCGGTGGCCTTCTCAGACCCTGTAGGAAAGGCTTCTACTTATCCAGTCAAAGTGTCTACCCAGACTAAGAGATATTTTAGTTTTCTGACTCGAGGCATGTGAGTAAAGTCAATTTGCCAGTCCTGGGTGGGGGCAAATCCTCGAGCTTGATGTGTAGGGAAGGGAGGAGGCCTGAACAATCCATGAGGGGTAGTAGAATAGCAGATGGAACACTGAGCAGTGATCTCCTTGAGGATAGATTTCTATGATGGAAAGGAAATGAGAGGTTCTAAGAGACGGGCTAGCGGCTTGTAACCTACATGGAAGAGGTTATGAAATGACGACAGAATAGAATGGGCCTGTGAGGCTGGAAGGATATGTTTTCCTTGGTCTAAGAACCATTTGCCTTGTGTGAGAAGAGACTGATAGGTGGAAGTTTCAGCAGGGGAGTAGGTGGGAGTGACCGATGTGAAGGAGAAAAACTGGCCGTGAGGGACAGAAGTTGGAGAGCTAGCTGCTTGTCTAGCCACCTTATCAGCACAAGCGTTGCCTAGAGCAATGGGATCTGATGCCTTTTGATGCCCCTTACAGTGAATGACCCCAGCTTCCTTTGGAAGTAAAGCGGCCTTGAGTAGAGTTATTATTAAAGAGGCATTCATGATGGAGGACCCTTGTGTAGTGAGAAAACCTCTTTCAGCCCATATGACCGCATGGTGGTGCAGAATATGAAAGGCATATTTAGAATCAGTATAGATATTGACGCGTAGTCCTTTTGCAAGAGTGAGGGCTTGAGTTAAGGCAACTAGTTTGGCTTGCTGAGAGGTAGTGGAGGGGGGCAGAGTGGTAGCCTCAATGATAGATGTGGAAGATACTATAGCATAGCCTGCCTTTGCTGGTGAGTGGCAATTAGGCCTGGTGGAACTGCCATCAATAAACCAAGTGTGATCAGGGTGAGAAACAGGGAAGAAGGAAATGTGGGGAAATGGGGTGAACGTCAGGTGGATCAGAGAGATGCAATCATGAGGGTCAGGTGTGGTATCCAGAATAATGTGGGAGGCTGGATTGAAGTTCGGGCCAGGAACAACGGTAATTGTGGGAGACTCAACAAACAGTGAGTATAGCTGAAGGAGCCGGGAAGCAGAAAGTATATGCGTCAGGTATGAGGAAGAAAATAGATTTTGGAAGTTATGAGAACTGTAAAGAGTGAGTTGAGCATAGTTTGTGATTTTGAGGGCCTCTAAAAGTATTAAAGTAGCGGCAGCCACTGCACGCAGACATGAGGGCTAGGCTAAAACAGTAAGGTCAAGTTGTTTGGACAGAAAGGCTACAGGGTGTGGTACTGGCTCTTGTGTGTAAGAATTCTGACCACGATAACCATGCCTAGGAAGGAAAGGAGATGTTGTTTTGTAGAAGGTGCTAGGGTTTGAGAGATCAGTCGGACACGATTGGCAGGGAGAGCACGTGTGTTTTTATGAGAGTTATGATGAGATAGGTAACAGATGAGGAAGAAATTTGGGCTTGACTGAAGTAATGGGGGCTGTCTGTGAAGCTTTGCGGCAGTACAGCCCAGGTAATTTGCTGAGCCTGATGGGTGTCAGGGTCAGTCCAAATGAAAGCGAAGAGAGGCTGGGATGACGGGTGCAAAGGAATAGTAAAGAAAGCATGTTTGAGATCCAGAACAGAATAATGGATTGTGGAGGGAGGTATTGAGGATAGGAGAGTATATGGGTTTGGCACCATGGGGTGGTTAGGAAAACAATTTGGTTGATAAGGCATAGATCCTAAACGAACTTGTAAGGCTTGTCTGGTTTTAGGACAGGTAAAATGGGGGAATTGTAAGGAGAGTTTATAGGCTTTAAAAGGCCATGCTGTAGCAGGCGAGTGATAACAGGCTTTAATCCTTTCAAAGCATGCTGTGGGATGGGATATTGGCATTGAGCAGGGTAAGGGTGATTGGGTTTTAATGAGATGGTAAGGGGTGCGTGATCGGTCACCAAAGAGGGAGTAGAGGTATCTTATACTTGTGGGTTAAGGTGGGGGGATACAAGAGGAGGACGCAAAGGAGGCTTTGGATTGGGAAGAAGGGCAGCAATGAGATGTAGCTGTAATCCAGGAATAGTCAGGGAAGCAGATAATTTAGTTAAAGTGTCTCAGCCTAATAAGGGAACTGGGCAGGTGGGGATAATTAAAAGGAGTGCTTAGAAGAGTATTGTCTAAGTTGGCACCAGAGTTGGGGAGTTTTAAGAGGTTTAGAAGCCTGGCTGTCAATACCCACAACAGTTATGGAGGCAAGGGAAACAGGCCCTTGAAAAGAAGGTAATGTGGAGTGGGTAGCCTCCGTATTGATTAAGAAGGGGACGGGCTTACCTTCCACTGTGAGAGTTACCTGAAGCTCGGCGTCCGTGATGGTCTAGGGGGCTTCCGAGGCGATCAGGCAGTGTCAGTCTTCAGCCGCTAAGCCGAGAAGATCTGGGAAGGAGTCAGTCAGAGAGCCTTGGGCCAGAGTTCCAGGGACTCTGGGAGTGGCTGCCAGGTGAGTTGGACAGTCCAATTTCCAGTGGGGTCCCACAAAGATGGGACGCAGCTTAGGAGGAATCCTGGGCTGCAGGCATTCCTTGGCCTTGTGGCCAGATTTCTGAAGCAAGCTCCTGGGGGAGGAGGTTCTGGAGGAATGCCTGGCCGCTGTGGTTCAGACATTTGGAAGTTCTTGTGTGCTGGAGATGTGGCTGGGGTTTGTCTCACAGTGGAGGCAAGGAATTGCAACTTTTTTCTATTATTGTATACCTTGAAGGCGAGGTTAATTAAATCTTGTTGTGGGGTTTGAGGGCCAGAATTTAATTTTTGGAGTTTTATTTAATGTCGGGAGCAGATTGGGTAATAAAATGTATTTTGAGAATAAGACGGCCTTTTGACCTTTTAGGGTCTAGGGCTGTAAAGTGTCTCAGGGTTGCTGCCAAAGGAGTCATGAACTGGGCTGGATTTTTATATTTGATGAAAAAGAGCCTAAACGCTATCTGATTTGGGATAAAGAAAAAGGAGCATTAACCTTGACTATGCCTTTAGCTCCAGCCACCTTTTTAAGAGTAAATTGCTGGGCAGGTGGGGGAGGGCTAGTCATGGAATGAAACTGTAAGCCGGACCAGGTGTGAGGAGGGGAGGTGATAAAAGGATTATAGGGTGGAGGAGCGGAGGCTGAGGAAGAATTGGGACCTAGCTCGGCCTGGCGAGGAGCAGCCTGGGGAGGAGGGGAGAGGTCAGATGGGTCTGTAGAAAAGGAAGATTAGAAAGACTCAGCGATGCTTGGGGTTGGGACTGAGGGGACAGGTGGGAGGGAAAGAAGGAAGATTTGGGATCTGTTGCATTGGGAACAGAGACTAGAGAGGGACCAATGTGTAAAAGAATGCCTGGACGTCAGGCACCTCAGACCATTTGCCCATTTTATGACAAGAATTATTTAGATCTTGCAGGATGGAAAAATTGAAAGTGCCATTTTCTGGCTATTTGGAACTACTGTCGAGTTTGTATTGGGGTCAAGTGGCATTGCAGAAGAAAATAAGATGCTTAGATTTTAGGTCATTTGAGAGTTGAAGAGGTTTTAAGTTCTTAAGAACACAGGCAAAGGGAGAAGGAGGAATGGAGGGTGGAAGGTTGCCCATAGTGAAGGAGGCAAGCCCAGAGAAAAGAGAGAGTAGAGACATGGAGGGAAGGGGTTTGGGGGTTCTTACCCTCCAGAAAAGTGGGAAAGGGGTCGGGGCACAGAGATACGAGGTCGGGGCATAGAAATAAGGGATTGGGGCACAGAGATATAAGAGGTTGGGGCACAGAAATAAGGGATCGGGGCACAGAGATATATGGGGTTAGGGTACTTGCCCCTCCCCTAGAAAAGCAGGACTTGCCGCTAAGGGTGAAGGAGAAGGGGTTGGGGGTTTCTTGCCCCCCAGAAAGGTGGAAAAGGGGTAGAGACACAGAGAGAAGGGGTTGGGGTACTTGCCCCTCCCCCAGAAAAGTGGGACTTGCTGCTAAGGGTGAAGGACCAAGGCAGGCGTCCCTGCGTGGTCTGACACCTCTGAAACGTGGGTGAATAATCAGAGAGGTGTCCCTGCAATGATTAAACACCAAGGGAAGGCTGCCTTCCCAGTCTATCACCAGCGCCGGAGTTTTGGGTCTACGGATAAAATGTGTCTCCTTTGTCTCTACCAGAAAATGAAAGGAATTGAAATTAAAAGAAGGGAGAGATTGAAGTGTGGTGCCGAGATTGAAAGGAGAAAGAGGTTGAGGGATAGTGAAGGAGGTTGGAGAAGAGAGTAAAAAGAGGCCGCTTACCGGATTTGAAATTGGTGAGATGTTTCTTGGGCTGGTCGGTCTGAGGACCTGAGGTCATAAGTGGATCTTTCTTACCGAGCAAAGAACAGGAGGACAGGGGATTGATCTCCCAAGGGAGGTCCCCTGATCTGAGTCACAGCACCAAATTTCACTCGCATCCGTGTGAAGAGACCACCAAACAGGCTTTGTGTGAGCAACATGGCTGTTTATTTCACAGGGGGGCAGGCAGGCTGAGTCCGAAAAGACAGTCATCGAAGGGAGATAGGGGTGGGGCCGTTTTATAAGATTTGGGCAGATAAAGAAAAATTACAGTCAAAGGGGATTTGTTCTCTGGTGGGCAGGGTTGGGGGTCGCAAGGTGCTCAGTGGGGGTGTTTTTGAGCCATCATGAGCCAGGAAAAAGACTTTCACAAGGTAATGTCATCACTTAAGGCAAGGACCAGCCATTTACATTTCTTTTGAGGTGGAATGTCATCAGTTAAGGCGGGGCAGGGCATTTTCACTTCTTTTGTGATTCTTCAGTTACTTCAGGCCATCTGGGCATATAGGTGCAAGTCACAGGGGATGCGATGGCTTGGCTTGGGCTCAGAGGCCTGACAGATACTAATGATAGAGTTCAAAGACTGATGAATGTGTACCCATATAATAACAACTCAATTAAGATTTAGATCATTTCCATCACCCCAGCAAGCTCCCTTGTGATTCGTTTCCCATCACTCTCCATTCTCCCTTCCAATCACCCCACGCAACTACTATTCTGATTTCTATCATCAGATTTTTGTTTTGCCTCTTCTGAAACTTTAGGTAAATGGAATCATACTTTTTGTTGGGCTTTTTTCTTTCAACACGATTTTGAGATTCATCCATGTTGCCTGTGTCAGTGATTTGTTTCTTCTTATGGCATGAGTGTATCAGTTTGCTAACCTTTTGCTTGTTCATAGGCATTTTGGCTATTTCCAGTTTGGCCTGTTATAAATAAAGTTGCTATAAACATTTCTGTACAAACTTTTGTAGAAATAAGTTTTCATTTCTTTTGGGTAAATAGCTGGAAGTAGAATGGTTGGGTCACTGGGTTGTATATGTTTACCTTTATAAAAAATTACCAAATACTTTTCCAAAGTGATGATACCATTTTTCACTTCTACCTGCAACATATTAGAGTATCAGTTGTTTTACAGCATAACTAATACTTGGTAGACAAATCTTTTAATTTTAGCCATTGTGGCAGATAGGCAGGAATAGTTTATTGTAGTTTTAATTTGCATTTTCCTGGCAACTGATAATGTTGAAAACATTTTATGTACATGTTGGTTATTTTTATATCTTTTATGAAGTGTCTTTCCCTATTGTTTTTATTTGGTTGCCTGTTTTATTACTGGGCTGTACAAGTTTTAGAAATTTCCTAAATACAATCCTAAATTCATAATTATGAAATTATGAATTCATGTTATGAATTCATAAATTATGAAATTATGAATTATGAAATTATGAAATCCTAAATTCATATTATGAAATTTCCTAAATTCATAATACGTAGGTATTATGAATTCTTTTACCCTGTCTGTGGCTAGCTTATTCATTTTACTAGTAATGTCTTTTGATGAGCAATTTTGAATTTTGATGAATTCTCATTTTTCAAAATTTCCTCTGGTCCATTCTATCTGTCTTGTGTGAAAATTTTTTGTCTACCTTATGTTTGTGAAAATATAAGGCAATTTCTTTTATAAAAGCATTATAGTTTTATCTTTAATGTTATGTCAATGATTCATCTCAAAATAATTTGTATGTAGAGTTTGAAGTAGGAGTCAAGGATCAATTTTCTTCCTATATGGATACACGATTGTTTCAGTCCCATTTGTTGAAAAGACTTTCCTTTGGTCACCAAATATATTGTTTTGGCACATACGTAAAAACCAGTTCACCATAAGATGGTGGGTCTCTTTCAAGACTCTTATATATTTGTCTATTCTTATGTCATTGCAACACTTATTTGATATTGTAGCTTTATAGTAGTAAATCTTGAAATTAGATAGTGTAAGTCTTCCAGCTTTATTCTACTTTTTCAAGATGTTTTGGCTATCTTAGCTCTTTTCATTTTTACATAAATTTTGAAAATTAGCTTGTCAGTTTCTACAAAAACTTGTTAGGATTTTTATTGAGATTCCGTGAATCTAAAGATCAATTTAGTGAGAAGTTACATCTTAATACTATTTATCTCAATCAATAAACATGGGTCATCTCACTATTTATTTGAGTCTTCATTAATTTCTCTCAACATTATTTGGTAGTATTCAGAGTAAATGTGTTGGACAGCTTATATTCAACTTATTCCTGGGTATTTTATGGTTTTTTGATACTATTATAAATGGTGCTTTTGAATTTCATTTTTCATTTGTTGTTGCTAGTATATAGAAACACAATGGTTTTTATTGTCCTTGTATCCTGCAAATATACTAAATTTTCTTACTAGATTTAATAGATTATTTTGGATTACTTAGCAATTTTTATGTATACAATTATATTGTCTGCAGATAAGGACAATTTTATTTCTCCCACTCCAGTGTTTATGCATTTTATTTCTTTCTCTTACCTTATTGCATTGCCAAGGGCCTCTGGTACAATGTTTAATAAAAGTAGTGAGAGTGAACATGCTTACTTTTTTACTAATCTTAGAAGGGGGAAAGCATTCAGTCTTTAATCATTAAGTATAATGTTAGTTATAGGTTTTTCATAGATGCCTTTTCCTTTATTAGACTGAGGAAATTTCCTTTTGTTACTAGTTTGCTGAGAGTTTTAATCATGAATGGGCGTCAAAATTTGCATTAGCTTTTCCACATCGATTGTGATGTTTGTTGATTTTTTTGAATATTGAACCAACCTTACATTCTTGGATTAAATCCCACTGGGAGGGATATAGATATACATATATATAAGTATATGTAGTAATGTATATAGTAATAAATAGTAATATAGTATAAATAGTAATACTATAAATAGTAATATATAGTAATATAAATATATATTAGTATGTGTATATATAGTAATATAGATATATAGTAAGATAATATAGTAATATAGATATATATTACTATATATACATATACCCATAAATACTATATATACTATATGACTATATATACATATACCTATAAATAATAATAGAAATAGTAATAAATAGTAATATCATATAAATAGTAATATATAGTAATATAAATAGATATGTATCTCTCTATATTAGAATATGTATAAATAAATATGTATCTATTTATATTAGTATATATACTAATTTATATATCTCTAATATATATTTACTAATATTACTAATATTTACTAATAATATTAGTAAATCAAGTATATATAAAATAAAAATTGTATTATATATAAAACTATTTTTTGCATCAACATTTATGGGAAATATTGTTCTGTAATTTATTTTTTAGCAATGATTCTTGTCTGGTTTTGTTGTAAAGATTATGATGGCCTCATAAAATTAGTTGAGAACTGGTCCCACTTTCTTTCATTTCTTAAAGAGTTTGTGTAACATTGGTATAATTTTTCCTTAGCTCATTGATATAATTCACTAGCGAGGTCATTTGGGCTCCTAGTGTTCTTTATAGGAAGGTTTTTAATCATGAGTTTCATTTTTATATTAGATAGAGGACTATTCAGATTTTCTATTTTCTTTTAGCACTTTTGAACACAAATTTTTGTTTTTTAAAAATTCATTTTATCTAGATTGGTGAATTTATTAGCATAATGTTGTTTAGAATTTTTTTTTATCTTTTTAGTATCTGGTAGATCTTTTTTTATTGCTAATATTTATTTTATTTCTTTTCCCCCCACTATCAGAGAGTCAAGCTAGAGGTTTATCTTGCTTGAAAATTTTTCAGTTATTTGGATCTGTGTGCTGACATTTTTCATGAATCAAAGTTGGAAAAAAAATTAGCTATTAGTTCTTCATTTTTTTCTACCCCATCCTCTCTCTCACATCTTTTTTTCTGGCTGCAATCACATATATTAGACTTCTTGAAACTCACATATATTAGATGCTTTTGATGCATTGTTCAACTTTTTCTAATTTTCTTTTCTTTCTGTGCTTTATTTTGTCTTTAAGTTTACTGATGTATTATTTCATTCTGTTCAATCAGCTATTAATCTCATATAATATTATTTTATTTAATATACTATATTTTTTCAGTTATTTATATTTTTTGTAACTTTTCCAAATTGCTTCTAAAATTCCCCGTAGTTTCACCCATTATATTATATGCCCTATACACTGTAACATATTAATCATAGTTATTTTAACTTCCTTGTCCATTTTTTGGTAAATTTCTTTTAACTGACTTTTCCCTTGACTACAGGTCATATTTTCCTATATAGTGATTTTTGTTATATTTTGGATACTCTGGGCAATGCATTGTTGAGATGTTGGATTTTTTATTTTTCTCTGAAGAGTGTTAATTTATATTCTAGTATGCAGCTAAATTACTGGCAGTTTATTTCAGTAAGTGGAGGCTTGGTTTCTCTTTTCGAGGGTAGGTCTATTTTTTGTATTTTCCTTAGTCCTACAGGGAATTCCTTAGTTTTGGGAAAGTAGTTTTTACTCTGAGACATGGCTCTTCTGGGATTTCAATAGAAAGACCAGGGTGTTTACCAAGACCCTCTGACTTAGAAGGATGTGCATCCAAATCTCTCTCTTTCCTGTGTTGGGCAGCAGCTGAAAATTCTGGTTACACCTTTCAGACTTACAAATATTATTTACCCTTGAACTCTTTGGCGTTTCAACTATGCACAGCTTAGGCATCTTTCAGGGTTTGGAGATAATTTATTTGCAATTTTAAAGCTTTCCATTTTTATTCTTTCTTTCTAAAATGTCTCCCCAGTTTTATAACTTTTCCGGAAGTACCATTCACCTTTTTCAGACTCTTTATACCTAAAAGACTGTACCTTTCTGCTTCATTTCTAGACATCATGTGCAGTGTGGACCTGAGGAGTTAACTCAGATGATAAGCTTATTAAGCATATATTTCATTTAATACGGTTCCAGTTTTTCAAAGGTCATACCCCCTTCAATTTCTACCTTCTTTTGGTCACTCCCCATTACCTTCAAAATTTTTAAAATATTTTGTCCAGAGTTTATAATTGCAAGAAGACTAGTGCTATATAAGCTACCAAAACTGAAACTCCAAAGAAGCATTTTTTTTGTTTACCCTTGGTAATTTATCTACATCTATATCTATAATTAATTACAACCTTATATCACTTCATGATGGGAATATGTTCTGAGAAATGTGTCATTAGGTGATTTAGTTATTGTGTGAACATCATAGAGTGTACTTACACAAACCTAGATGGTGTAGCTTACTAAACACCTAGGTTATGTGATGTGGCCTATTGCTCCCAGCTACAAATCTGTTGATGTACTGAATATTCTAGGCAATTGTAACACAATGGCAAGTATTTGCACATCTAAACATTGTTAAACATAAAAAGGTACAATAAAAATATGGTTTAAAAGGTAAAAAATGGTACGTCTGTAGGGTACTTATCATGAATGGAGCTTGCAGGACTGGAAGTTGATCTGGGTGAGTCAGTGAGTGAGTGGTGAATGAATGTGAAGGCCTGGGACATTATTGTGCACTACTGGAGACTTATAAACACTGTACACTTAGGCTACTCTAAGTTTATAGAATTGTTTTTCTTCAGTAATAAATAGCTTACTATAACTTTTTCACTTTATGTTTAATTTTTTAAACTTTTTGACATTTTTATAATAACACTTAGTTTAAAACACAAACACATTGTATAGCTATACCAAAATATTTTCTTTCTTTATATCCATATTCTGTAAGTTTTTTTATTTTTCTATTTCTATTTTTATTTTTCACTTAAAAATTTTTTTTTTGTTACACACACACACACACACACACACACACACACACGTACAACATCAGCCTAGGCCTACAGAGGGTCAAAATCATTGATATCACTGTCTTCTACCTCTGCATCCCCATTTCAGGGGGAATAACCCGCATGCAGCTGTCATCTCCTGTGATAGCAATGATTTCTTCTGGAATGCCTCCTGAAAGACCTTCTTGAGGCTGTTTCACAGTTAACTTTTTTTTTTAAAGTATTAGGCGTATAATTGTTTTTAAAAAAATTATTTTTATTTCAATAGCTTTGGGGTACAGGTGGTTTTGGTTACATGGATAAGTTCTTTAGTGGCGATTTCTGAGATTTTGGTGCAAACATTCACCTGAGCAGTATACATGCAATATGTAGTCTTTTATCCCTCACTCCCCTCTGACTGTTATTCTCCTCAGTTCCCAAAGTCCACATCATTCTTATGTCTTTGCATCCTCATAATTTAGCTCCCACTTTTAAGTGAGAACATAGGGTATTTGGTTTTCCATTCCTGAGTTACTTAGAATAATGGCTTCCAGCTCCATTCAAGTTGCTGCAAAAGACTTTTCATTCCTTTTTATGGCCAAATAGTATTCCATAGTGAATATGTACTACATTTTCTTTATCCACTCCTTGGTTGATGGGCACTTAGGCTGGTTCCATATCCTTACAACTGTGAATTGTGATGCTATAAACATGTGTGTGCATATCTCTTTTTCATATGATGACTTTTCCTTTGGGTAGGTGCCCAGTGGGATTGCTGAATGGAACGGTAATTCTACTTGTAGTTGTTTAAGGAATTTCCATACTGTTTTCCAAAGTGGTTGTACTAGTGGAGTGTACTCTAAAATAAAGATTAATAGTATAGTAAATACATAAACTAGTAACATAGTCATTTATTACCATTATCAAGTATTATGTACTATACATAATTGTATGTGCTATACTTTAATATGACTGGCAGCACAGTAGGTTTGTTTACACCAGCATCACCACAAACATGTGAGTAATGCCCTGGGCTACAAGGTTACCATGGCTAAGAAATCATTAGGTGATAGAAATTTTTCAGCTCCATAATAACTTTACAGGGACCACCATAGTATGTGTGGTCCACTGTTGACTGAAATGTCATTATGTGGGACATGACAGTGTTTATGTTTATATTTAACTAAATGTCCTTTAATAATTTCCAGGGTATATGAATGAACTCTTTACCATGACACCATAAAGAGGAGTTCCTCATTTGTCCTTGCAGATTTGGATTTATTAAGATTGTGATAAAATGTCTCTCTTGGTTTTATCTAAAGCTGAGTTTATTATTTCTTTCCAAAACATGGTTTTTCTCTCATGTTTCTTATTTCAGTAATTAGTACCCAGTCACTTAACACAGAAACCAGAGATTCATCCTTATATTTTCTCCTTTCTTTAATCCTAACATCTGAGAGGCAGTAAGAGCAAGAACTTAGAGCATAGGCTATGCCTGGCTTTCATCCCTGCTCTTTCTAGTACTAGTTGCATGGTCTTGTATTAACTCACATAAAATGCTTAGAATAATTCCTGGTATGTAATAAGTGCTAAATAAATGTCCTATTTATTACCACAAATAAAAAATAAATCAATAAGTCAATCATAAATCAATCATTACTTATCAGCATTTGAATCTTTCAATTTCTTTGCCACCTTCCAGTCTAAATTCCTACTCCCACCTAAATTGCTGTAACAAGCATCTAATTATTCTTCTCCATTTCTACTCCTCAACTTCAGTTCATTTCCCATCCTACTGCCAGACTGAGCTTTTCAAAATGAACTTATCATGTTACTCTGCTATGTAATATCCATTAGTGTCTTCCATTTGCTTTCAGTATAAATTCCTATGTAAATCCTTACCGTATAATCCTTACCATATATAACAGTGTCGTATAGCCTCTGTTTTCCTACCAGGCCTCGTATTGCAACAGTCTCCTCTCTTGTTTCCACACTCCACCCACATTGTTGTTGTTGTTGCTTTCTTTCTTTTTTTAAATAATTGTTCCTAGAACTCCCCAATTTCTTATTCATTTTAGGACACTTGCACTCATTGCCTCTCTCAAGTTTCAGCTTCATTGTTCCCTCATCAGAGTAAGCTATTTCTAACCCTCCCTTTGAATACAACCTGGTTCAACTAATCTAAAACTTTGGTTTTTGAGGAGGTTAATAAAATTGATGTCTTTAACCAGACTGACCAAAGAAAAAGAGAAAAGATGGCAAACCAACAATATAGAAATGAAAGAGAGAACTGCAGACCATGAAGTCAGTAAAAGGATAATAAATAAATTTTATAAGAAATTTTATGGCAATACATTTGACAAATTGGATGAAATGAACAAATTTCTTTACAAATTTCTTTTTTAATTAATCTTCTTTAAATTTTTTTTTTTTTTAATTTCCATAGGTTTTTGGGGAATAGGCAGTATTTAGCAATTTGTGAGATTTTGGTGTACCCATCACCTGAGTAGTGCAGGCTGAACCCAATTTGTAGTCTCTTATCCCTCACCCACTTCTCACCCTTTCCCCCGTCCTCAGAGTCCATTGTGTACAGATACAAATTCTGAAGGCTTAAGAATTTTCTCAAGAAAAACAACATGAATAGTCCTATATCTATTTTTAAAATTAAGTTCATAGTAAAACTTTTTCAACAAAGAATTCTCCCATTCCAGACAGTGTCACTGTCAAGTATTTAAAGAAGTAATATTATTCTTCTACCAACTTTTCCATAAAATACAAGAGCTGAGAATACTTTCCAACTCATCCTATGAGGTTTGCATAGTTTCAGAAAGGAAATATGCTGTAATTATTATCTTCATTCTTCCTCATGTAATACGTGTTTTTTTCTGACTGCCTTCAAGATTTTCACTTTATCTTTGTTTTTCAGTGGTTTGAATATGATGTGTCCAAGTGAAGGGTTTTTAAGTGGTGGTAGGATGGTGATTCGTAGTGTTCTCTGAGTTTCTTGAATCTGTAGTCTGATTTTTTTTATTATTTTTGGAAAATGTTGGCCATTATTTCTTCAAATATTTCTCATTCCCTATTCTTTCTTGTGTACACTGGGATTCCAATTACACATGTGTTAGACCTCTTGATATTGTTTCATAGCTCTTAGATGTTCTGCTCTGTATTTTTAATTATTTTTTCCTTTAATATTTCAGATAGGGTGACTTGTATTTACTCATCTTTAAGTTCATTAATTGTTTTTCCTCCATGGGCTTGGCAATGTTGAATCTACTGAGGAACCTGTCAAAGAAATTCTTCATCACTTATGATTTTTCACTGTTGCATTTCTATTTGGGTCTTTCTATTAGTTTTCATCACTCTGCTAAAATTTCCCATTTGTCCATGCATGTTGTCCACATTTTCCACTAGAACTTTTAATACAGTAATTTATTTTAAATTCTTTGTCTGACGGTTTCAACAATTGGATCACATCTCCTTTGCTTCTTAACAGTGGGTTTTTTTTTTTTATAGTCTTATAATTTTTGGTTGATTGAAACCAGGCATTGTGTTTAGGACAATAGAGACGCTGGTAAATTGTATTTATGCCTGAGTAATGGGCATGCCTCTCTATTGTTGTGGTGGGGTACGTTAAGTCAGTGTAGGCAGAAGTTGAAATGGGTTTGTTTGTTTTGCTGTGGTTACCTTCATTGTACTACAGTCTTCAAATTTCCTCCAGGGCTATCTTGTAGTTAAGTTGGGGGTTGAATCTTTCGGATATTTCTCAATGATCATGTTCTGCCTCAACTTTTGGTCTTCCCTAGGAGCCCATAACTTTGAGTAGGTTTTCTCTCTGTCCTTGCCCCTCCTTCAGTGGTAGACTACTTTTACTTGATACTTAATGCTAGCTAGCCTGGTGTTGGGGCTGAGATAAAAGGGCCTTTTCTGTTGTCCTTTTTTTATTCCTAGTCTTAGGCAGGCCCTGTGAACCTGGGTCTCAAGAGTGGAATTTTCCAAATGATTCTGCCCCTCTTTCATATGATATCCATACTCCCTGCTATCCGTATGATAGCCTTATACCTTTGGTAGATCTTGTGGGGAAAAAGTTTTCTGCCTTTCCCTCAGTCGTAAGAGATCTTGAATGGTCAGAGCCCAGGATGGTTCCTTCCTCCTTTCCCAGTGGTACGAGTTTTTGGTTTTGTTTTCCTGTCTGCTTCTCCTAGCTGCAGTTGGGCCCTACCTGTGCCCTGCCTTTTCCCCATGCTCTTAAGGCATTTATTCGGTAAGAGAGATAGCGGGAAAGGCTCTAGATGGGGCTTTTTGCCTCTCCGGCAGTGGAGGCTACCCCTCCAGTCTCCCAAGCACATGGGCCAAGGGAAGTTTTCTGTGGTCTCTCGCCCTGCCCCTTTGGCATTATACTCTCTCATTAGTTAGTACGTGGTGATGGTGGTGGAGAAGAGCCTGTGAAGTTGTACAAACACTCTTTATGTCTGTGGCTCCCAGGGGCTCCTATACTTTCAGGTAAGTTCACACTGAGCTGTTAGCAATTCATCATAAACTTTAAGCTAAAATCTTTTTATCCCTTTGTGTGGCATCCTATTTTCCTCCCATACTCTACTCCACCTGGCCAGGGTTTATGTTTGACTCTCCTCAGAGGCATTTGTCTTTTTTAAACTTTGAGGCTGGTTTGTTACCTTGAGAACTTAGCTCTCTTATGTTCAAGAAAAGTTAAATGATTTTTCTGAAAGGTTTAAAGGGCAGCTATAGTCCTCCTCATCAGTCTGTTTTTTAGGTATTATGCAATGAAAAGAACATGTTTTTATGTCCATGGAACTTTCAAGTTTTCATATTTTCCCCAATTTTTTCCATTTCCTTTCTTATTTTCCCCTTTGATTCTTTTTCATTATTTTCCACATTTCTTCCCCCACCAAATGTCCTTGACTTGTCCTTTTATTTCCTAGCCATTTCATCTGTGTAGTTTTCTTAATACCAGTGGCTCTTTTCTTTGAGTCTATGCCTTTGTCATTATTCTTTTACAATTTTCTTTAAATACTCTTCCTGTCTTTTTTTTTTCTCATATGTTGTGTCTTTCCTATTGTGGGGAAAGAATTTATAAAAGGGAACTTAGAATTTACCTGGTAGATATTTAAAATTGCATTTTAATCTTTAATGTAAAATATCTCTAATTATTGAGTGCCTGATATGACTTCATGAAATTTAAGTGTCTCCAAATACCCTCCATCTGTTTTGAGCCCTGCTGCATTTGTTGGGTTGTATTTCCAGAAGGCTGCTAGGCTTTTGAACTTGGAATTTCAAGTACCTCAAGTCTCATATGTCCAAAACGACGTTGATCTCATTCTCTCTAAGTTTGTTCTATCATTCTAGTCACCACGTTAGAATCTGCAAGGTCATTATCATCTCTTCACTCAAATTCCTTATCATAGCAATTCTATCTTTTAAATTTCCTTTGAATCTGCCTGTACTGCTATTACCTCACTCCCCAAATGTATTAGTCCATTTTCACGCTGCTGATAAAGACACACCTGAGACTGGGTAATTTATAAAGAAAAAGAGGTTGAATGGACACACAGTTCCATGCAGCTGGGGAGGCCTCACAATCACGGTGGAAGACAAAGACACATCTTACGTGGCAGCAGACGAGAGAGAATGAGAACCAAGCAAAAGGGGCTTCCTCTTATAAAACCATCAGATCTCGTGAGACTTATTCACTACCACGAGAATAGCATGGGAGAAACTGCCCCTGTGATTCAATTATCTCCCACCAGGTCCCTCCCACAACTCGTGGGAATTATGGGAGCTACAATTCAAGATGAGATTTGGGTGGGGACATAGCCAAACCATATCACCAAGTTAATCATTTCTTGTTAATATTATTCATATCTCCCTACTGAGATTTCTGTAACAGAATTAAGGTCATTGGAGTTTCTGCATTGCCAGATCTACTGGTTCACAGTCTTCATTCACTTTAAGCATTGGTCAGCGTTTGGCATTATTCTTCATAACAAGCACTTGAACAGTCAAATAATATTATGTAAAAAATATTTACTGTGACTTACACCATTGTCTCCCCCTGCTACAAGATCTTACCATGTACTGTCCCCTGTGTTTATAATATTCTTCCCACTCCCCACCTTTGCCCCTCCCCACTATTCTCCCTTTCTGAATCCCCAGTAATTAGTAGAGTTATTTGCATATAGTTGGTGTTTAATAATGCTTATTAAATAAATGGATAACTAATATTCCAGTCAAACTGCAGTAGTTTTAAAATTTTGTATGTAGAAGCAAAAACATCTTTATGAAAGAAATCTTACTTGGAACCCTAACACATAAATAAGAAAAAGCAGATCATTCTAGTTACAGCTTGCAGAGAGGGTTCTGGGGACAGGGTTAGCACACGGGTGGGGAGTGGTGGGCACACAGGAAGCTTGAGTCTCAGAAGCCTGCTGAATCCTTGGTTAAGCTCCAAGGTTTCTCCTTTCCCTGGACCCCAAGACAGCTTGGAAGAATCAGGGAGCTCCCTAGAATGCAGCTGGAACACCTCTGCTTCAGGCAATTATTCTGAAAAAAATAGAGGTGGGAGATTGTGTGTGTGTGTGTGTGTGTGTGTGTGTGTGTGTGAGATACATCCCTGTTGACCCAATAGTGAATTCAGGAAGCTTTAATCAAACTGAGGGCAGTCACCATTCTCAGGCATATTTCTATGTTGGCTCTTAAATACATAAATTGCTTATCTAGTCAATAGAGAAGATCCTTTCCCTTTTGCCAGCTCTTGTTTTATACCTCCTTGGTCAGAAGTACTTAAAGAGCAAATGCATAAATGATTATTGAGAGTAATGTGCTATTCTGCATGCAAAACAAAGCAAATACCTTGTGAAATGGCATTGTTTTGGGGCAGTAATATATATATAGTAGCATTTCATTAATTCCTTTTCATTTATGCACTTCACTCTGTGCAGGTTACTGACAGTTGACTTAAAATATGTATTGCTTTAGCTGGTAAGCGTACATAAAATCACTAAATCAAATTTGCCAGGAACATCAACTCAGAAAAATTAAACATGTGGACAGTCACCAAGGACAAAAGGCCAGCACACTTCCATATATTTTCTCTTCTTGAGTTTTTGCTAAGCTACGAATTCTTCCAACTTTAAACACAACTGTGAAGTTTCTGTTGGAATCAGCTCTCATTTTTAGTGGCTGCTTCCTTGTGCATCAGAGGAACCAAAGTAAATTTTTATAGGAAAAGAAGTGTTTAAAAATCTCTTTTAAAAAGGTACACGGAAATCAACAGTGTATTTTATAACAAAAATAATCAATGGGCTTCTTGTGTTTTTTTGTGTATCTTGCCTGAGCCACCACATTTTACTTCTGACAAGACTCTTTGGCAGTCAAAAAGGGGGTGCCAGTATTCACATATTAACAAACTGTGAAATGTCCTTTTCATCCCTAGTTTTCTTGCAATGTCACTGCCTCTCTTTTTTACCTTTGTAAAGTTACAACTTCTGAAACTTCGTTGCATAGAATGTGAAGTTAGGTGAATAAATGTGTTTGTAAAAATCAGTAAAAAGAAAAGATGATTTATCCTCTCTACTTCTTAGCTATACTTCGTGGTAGCCCAGGTCTCAATAAGGTTCTAAGTACACTAGGGCTTGCAAACCTGTTCTTAGCGAATGAACCAGTGGGGATGAGAATGTTAACTTAATTTGAGTTACTGTGGATCAACATCACTCTGTTAAACAAGTGCTGGACATACTTATTTTGCTGTAAAGCACAAGTTCTATTTAACTTCCCATGCTCTAGACACTGTGCTAGGTTCTGGAGTTATAGAAATGAAAGAACAGCCACTGCCTTTCGAGCACTCATAATTCACTGCTGGGAGAGAGGGGTGGGCAGATAAGCTTTTACAGGGCAGCGTGGCAGGTACTATACCAGAGATCATGCACAGGATACCACTGGTTAGGATCATTCCAGGATGTGCAGGCCTCCAGGGATATATTTGTTTAGAGACCAGTCTACATAAGCAATTTGATTTAAAAGTATATTATAAAATCTCAGGCCCAGATAAGGTATATTGACTTACTGATGAAAACTTAGAATATTGGGTAGAGAAGTACTTAGATATTTGTTTTTGGTCTAATCAGTACACTTGAGGATTCTTTGTAGTGGCCAGGCACCATTGCCTCATGTTCTTTATTGTCCAATGTGCCATTTCCGGAGAATTTGATATTCTCACCATGAGGAAAAGATTGCTACATTGTTATTACTCACAATGCCATGGCTCTTAGGGAACTTTTTGTATTAAAATAAAATATAATAGATCTTTTGTCCTCTGTAGGTCCCTAATATCAATTATTTAATGATACCTTCAGTAGGACTCAGGATGCTGTATCAACTTTCAGGCCACTTGTGAAGACTGACTTCCCAAAAGTTATTACTGTGATTCACAGATGATGACCACAAATTTAAGTTTTACCCACAATTTGCAGGAAAATGTGAATGATAATTCATCTTCTGATCATGTAAATTTTACTGCTCTGAATGTCATAGTATAAACAGAACAACACATCTTCCAAACATATGTTCTCTTTAGGCTACAATCACTGCATTTTTAGAATATGCTTTCTCTTCAATGTTGATTACATCTATGCCCTCTGTACATCTTTACTAGTGAGGCAAAGAGGAGCAACAGCCCACTGGCAGAATGAGAAGAGTGATCCTGTTAGGGCAAGGGATGCCCATTCCTCATGTTCCTTATTCAGCATGCTTAAGAGGACTCAGAAGACTGTGATATCAACACATTGATTGGAAGCAAGAGAGGACGTCAATGAGAAGAACTTGTTAACTTTCTTCTGCAAAATGATGAAAGCCCTCAGAGGAGATAGGTTCAGCCACTCTTGCAGAAGTATCTGACACAGGTTATGAAAATTTGGAGATGGAGTGACCTCCTTGGGTCCAGGAGTTGGGGGAGGAGGGCACATTGAATAAAGGATTCCTGCTGCCATCTCTACCACCTTCAGGTGGTATGGACTATAGGCAGCAGCACGGTTAGAAGAGAGATAAGTGAGAACAGAAAGAAGAGTCCACACAGAGGGCTCTAGTGCAAGGGTTGGTGGTGGACAGTCAGAATCTCAGAGACCTGAACTTGTCCTGGATCCTGAGTGACAGTCATCTCCAATCAGCATGTCAGTAACATGTGGTTGCGAGAGCTCATGCTATCCTGTGGAAAAAAATATTGCACTGGTGAGTAAGAACAATTTGTTCAGTAGGCCACCCTCCTGCAAACAGAACTCAGCCACGGGGTCCCACAGAATTCCTCAGGGCATGTGGTCTATCCTCTCCATGGGATAGTGGATGAGACAGTGCCCTTAAGAAAAACAATGGGGACCAGGGCACACACACATTCAACTTCAGGCTTGAGACTTTGCACCCAAAGGGTATTGCTGGCCCTAGCTCATCCCAGGTCCTGGAAGGTAATTTAGAAAATCTCAAAGAAGGCAGACTTACTTTTACAAAGCACAGGATCCCCTGAGGCATAGGGCCTGGAATGTAACTCTGATTGCCTAAATTTAGTGTCATGTTGTTTGATACAAAGACAAAGAGGTAGGCATTCAATCATCCTGGAGAAAAAGGAGACAACCTTTCTGAAGAGGTCCTCTTTTAGTTGTCTCTTGAAGGGTGGTATTGCATTAGGTAGCTAGACAAGGGAGAAAAAGTATTGCAAGCAAAGAGGACAAGAGGTATAAAGCATAGAGACTGTGAAGCCGCATGTTACATTTGGGAAGCTGTAAGTAAATCATTGTAGCTGTAGTGAAGAGGTCATGTAGGGCTTTGTTATTCCAGGTGTGATCTGCAGTAGCTCACCAGTAGCATCAATATCATTTGGGAGCTTACTGAAATGCAGAATTTCGGGTCCCACCCTAGGCTTATGAGCCAGATCCAGGATTTGCATTTTAACAAGATCCTACTCCCCTTCATTCATGTGAAATTTGATGCTTGAGAAGCTTCGCAGTTCCCTAAAATGGAAATGCAATAGTGAACTGGAGCCAGATGCTAGAGTTTGGATTTTACTCTGTAGCTAAGAACAGCTCATTGTATTTCAAGCAAAGCATTAAGATGATCATATTCTGCTTTTAGAAGAGTTGAGTAGCAACAGTGTGAAGAGAACTGCAGAAGGGTAGGCTGTGGGAGTGAGATGATGGAGAAAACTACTGCCATGGCCTAGGCAAGGCAAGAGGAGAGGATGAATTATGGCAGTGATATGGAAAGTGGGAATGCTATTTAGCAAATAGAATTGCAAAACACGCTGGCATGTGGGTGAGGTAGATTGAGGAGACTAGGATGATATGCAAGAATCTTAGTAACTGGGCAGATAACCATGAGAAAGTGCGTATAAGATGAACAGATTTTTGTGGAAGAAGATGAAGACCTTGAGGTGTGTGAGGTACATTTAAGAAGAAATGTTCAGAAGACATTATGTGTATGGGGACAGGGCTCAGAGAAGAGTGTAGGCTGAAGGTTCAAATTCGGGAGTCATCAGCATACAGGTAATAATTAATATCAAGGCAGAGGATGAGGTCACCAGAAAGAAGAGAACAGTAGTTTAGAACAAAGCATCAGACAATACTAAGATTTAGTGGTAAATAAAAAACAAATCTGCCAGAAAGAGTTCAGAAAATTAGGAGGAAAACTAGAAAAGACTGGACACAGGAACTAGGGGAAAGTTTTCAAAGAGGTTTCAATATAATCAAACACTGCAGCAAGGTCAATAAGTAAGAACTACAGGGGTCTTGAAATTGGTTCATGGAGACACTGTAGAGCATCGTTCCAGTGGCGTACTAGCAATGGAAAGTGGTATGTATGGATTAAGAGAAATGAGAAGGCTATGAGAGCCAATATAGATTAACTCGAAAACAGTGGCCTTCAAAATGTGGTTCCTCAATCAGTAGCATCAGCATCCTCATGTTCCAGGAAATGCAAACTGCAGA
This sequence comes from Homo sapiens, assembly GCF_000001405.40. NCBI lineage: Eukaryota > Metazoa > Chordata > Mammalia > Primates > Hominidae > Homo > Homo sapiens. The sequence goes on along the minus strand of NC_000002.12, from coordinate 199,163,083 downwards.
ACGGCAAAGAAAAAACCTTTAGAATTGCAAAATTTTTGTATTTTTAAAAGGAAAGATTTTTATTCACAGAAGCCTGGACTTCTTTTAGCATATAATTTTGTTGAAATATAAATAAAATTATATTTTATTTATATTTTCATATTATATATGAATATATGAATATATAATATGAAAACATACAAATCAAAAGTTTACAGCTGCATGAATTTTCATGAAGAAAGCACACCTCTGTAAGTGCACCAGGATCAAGAAGGAGAATATTATTGGCACCTGCAGAAGCCACCTTCATCTCTCTCATTCTCGAGGATACAGTACAATGACTTCTAATACCATGGATTAGTTTTGCCTGTAGAATAGGCAACATGTAGAACATACTTGTTTGTAACTAGTTCGATATTACATTTGTTAGAGTTATTCTTGTTGTATTTGGTCTTAGTTTGTTCATTTTCTTTGGTGTATAGTATGCCATCTTATGCATATACTATAACATTTGAATGGACATTTGAATGCTGTCCAGTTTGGAGCTATTACAAATATTAGGTTGGTGCAAAATTAATTGTGGTTTTTGCCATTAAAAGTAATTTGCACCAACCTAATAGTGCTGCTAGTAACATTCCTCTGAAGGTCTTTTGCTAAATATATGTCTATATTCTAGAGAGATAAATAGAATTCTGGAATTCTAGGTCGTAGGGTAATGTATATCTGCTCAGCTTAGTAGATACTATCAATTTTCAAAGTGGTTGTATCAATTTACACTACTACCAGCAGAATATAGGACTTCTAGTTTCTGTATATCCTCACAAACACTTAGAACTGTTTATTTTTCTCAAATGGCCCTGCTGGTTAGAATGCAGTGGCATTGGATTTCCCCAATAACTTGTGAAGTTGATCCTGCTTTTCTATTTTAATTGACCATTTTTATAGCTTCTTTGAAGTTTCTGTTTAAAGTGTTTGCCCACTGTTCTATTGGATTGTCTGCCTCTTTTCTTACAGGGCCTGGGTTTTTGAATTTCTAAAATCTTAACTTTCTATACCTTAGAGCATGTACTTTATTGCTAAGCAAAATGTGTCAACAAATAGCACACAAGATAAGCTACCTGACTGAGGTTTAGTCCCCTTAAGCAAAGGCTAACTGATAATCTAAAATACAGCAGCAGCAACAACAGCAATAATGCTAATAAATGGTGGAAGCTACAATTTAATATATTCTTACACTATATGAAACACTGCTATTTTCTGAGAGAAACATCCTAATATGATAAGAAAAAAATGTAGGGGGAACGTTGACGGTTAGAAGAGACAAAAACAACCACATTTATTCCTAGAAAAACTGAAAACCACATATGGACACACACAGAAAGAATATGGGATTATTTAAATCTCAATGTCGATTTTTAAGACGTCATTATTATAGGAAATCAGATAAACAGATTATTTAAGTTTTCAAGTAATGAATGAACCCATGTTGTCCCCAATTTACTAATTATCTTCTTGCATCATAGCTTAATTGTTCCCTAATGAATGCCTTGCCATTTTCAAATATTGATTAATGACGTTTAAAAATTCATAATTTTCTGACTTCTTTGTGTAGATTGGTTTAGATACACAGACTCCAGTTACACATTCTGGGTGGGGCACCCCCAAATCTAATAAGGACATTGTTAATAAAACTATTACACAACCCATGCTAATTCTGGAAAGAGATGCAGGAAAGAATTACAAACTCAGTGAATGAAAAACAGTCTCCTACATTTACATGTTTATCCTTGCATTTTTTATGTTAAAGGCCAACAAAAAAGAGAAAAAAAATCTGGCTTGGTAATTGCTTTCAGCTCCCTTAATACCAATATGTTTAGCTCCTTGCACTGGGGTGTCATCAACTGCTGAAGGGCCATACTATTTTAGATTTGCAGCTCTATTTTCTCCTAGTTGTATAAAGGCATTGTTTTTAATTAAAAAAAAAACATTTCATTTTAGGGACTTAGATTCCTGTCCTTTAATCTGTCTGAGTTGTCTAGGTCTAGTTTGCATGGAACCCACTTACACTTGCTTATTTTTAGGCCATTAGTGGGTACCATTTTCTATATTAGATTACCAGCACTCTGGAGGGTAAAGACCATCCAATCCACATTCTCCATGATTTCGAAATGGGCTGAGCACATCTGCCTCTGTGGGTTAAGCACACATTCTGAACTTGGCCTTGACCTCATTAGCACATAGTCCAAATCACTGAATTCCCATTAATGACTGACCAGTTGATTCACTGATGACTAATTTATCCAGTATTTCCTTCTTTGCTGGCCTCAGGTTGGAATTCATAAGCCCTCTGGAGAGAAAAAACAATTATTGAAACTAGATTCTCTCTTTCTTTCTTTTCAACATCATTATCAATTCTTCCCAGAGAGCACTCCTGAGTACCACTTTTGAGTTCAGCAGACACTGATTTGAATCCTTCCTTTGCCATACACTTAGCAGCAGTGCGACCTGGGATAGGTTAGTCAAAGAAATTGACCCTGAAGAAGGCTCTGCATATGGGGGAAGAGTGTAAATTTGTTAATATGTACAGAACACTTGGTGCAATGTCTTTCATGTGGTAAACACTAAAAAAAGGTGGCTAGCAATGCTGTTATTATGATTATACTCACAATAACCTTGGAATAAAATTACAGCCCTTTAAAAATGGAAGAGAGTAGAAAGATAATGTGAAGAAACAATCTGAGGTCCGGAGACATAAAGTGACTTTTTCAAGGTTACATAGTTTATGAATAGCAGAACTGAGACTGAAACCAAAATTTTCTGATTCCTGGACCAAAGCCCTTCCCATCTCGGCAGATGGCTTTCCTACGTAATACGACTGAGGTCTCCCATAGTTAGAAGCAACACCCAAAGCTTATGCTATTAAATAAAGAAGATATAACAGACAAGTTGAATGCTATGTTAAAATACAGCTTCCTGCAAGGGATCTGAGAGACAAGGCCAGATTAGATGAGAGGTCAAAGAAATGCCTGTTTTGTGGGGCCTCAAGCACAAGAGAGCCTAATAATAGAGACAGGGTGATTTAAAACCCTGCTTATGGAAGTAATTAATTAATTTCAGGAAAATGTCCATATCACTGCCAATGGCCACCATCTGATCACAACTAATTATCTTTCATAAAATATAGATATTCTTTCTGTGGGTTTTTGTTTATTTGTTTTCAAAAATTTTGCTGGAGACATGCCACTGTACTCATTTCTACTTTGGTTTGCTCCCTGGGAGCAACTGAGTTGAATCTCCAATCCCTGGTAAAACAAAATTGACATTTTTCTTCCAGTTTCTAATTTCCCACCACAATAGTAGACGCAAATATATGCATTTAGCCTGGAATTAAACCCTGAGAGACTCTAACTAGCACCCTAACTTGGGAAATTGTCTCATGGATGCTGAATGGCAAAAGGTCAGAGATAGAGTATAAGACTGTGGATGGGTTTATTATGTAATAGCAATGTGATGCACAGTTAATACTTTACTGGTATTTCTTAGATCATCAATATACATATTTTAGATAGTTGATGTTTGTGGAAATGTATACTTGCTGAGTGTACTGAATTATTTTATTGGCACACACATTGTTTAATAGGTGGTTGCATATGAAATTTAAAGTAGTTTTTTCTAATTCTGTGAAGAAAGTCAATGGTAGTTTGATGGGAATAACACTGAATTTGTAAATTACTTTGGGCAGTATGGCCATTTTCACGATTTTGATTATTCCTATCCATGAGGATGGAATGTTTCTCCATTTGTTTGTGTCCTCTCTTATTTCTTTGAGTAGTGGTTTGTAGTTCTCCTTGAAAATGTCCTTCACATCCCTTGTTAGCTGTATTCCTAGGTATTTTATTCTCTTTGTAGCAATTGTGCATGAGAGTTCATTCATGATTTGGCTCTCTGCTTGCCTATTGTTGGTGTAAAAGAATGCTTGTGATTTTTACACATTGATTTTGTATCCTGAGACTTTGCTGAAGTTGCTTATCAGTTCAAGAAGTTTTCTGGCTGAGAAGATGGGGTTTTCTAAGTATAAAATCATGTCATCTGCAAACAGAGACAACTTGACTTCCTCTCTTCTTATTTGAATACCATTTATTTCTTTCTCTTGCCTGATTGCCCTGACCAGAACTTCTAATACCATGTTCAATATGAGTGGTGAGAGAGGGCATCCTTGTCTTGTAACAGTTTTCAAAGGGAATGCTTCCAGCTCTTGCCCATTCAATATGATATTGGCTGTGGGTTTGTCATAAATAGCTCTTATTATTTTGAGATATGTTTCATCAACCTATTTTACTGAGAGTTTTTAACATAAAGGGATGTTAAATTTTTTCTGCATCTATTGAAATAATGATGTGGTTTTTGTCTTTGGTTCTGTTCATGTGATGGATTACATTTATTGATCTGTGTATGTTGAACCAGCCTTGTATCCCAGGGATGAAGTCAACTTGATCATGGTGGATAGGTTTTTTGATGTGCTGCTGGATTAAGTTTGCCAGTATTTTATTGAGGATTTTTGCATCGATGTTCATCAGGGATATTGACCTGAAGTCTTCCTTTTTTTGTTGTGTCTCTTCCTGGTTTTGGTACCAGGATGATGCTGGCTTCATAAAATTAGTTAGGGAGGAGTCCCTACTTTTCAATTGTTTGGAATAGTTTCAGAAGGAATGGTACCAGCTTCTTTTTGTATTTCTGGTAGAATTCATCTGTGAATCCATCTGGTCCTGGGCTTTTTTTGGTTGGTAGGCTATTAATTACTGCCTTAATTTTAGAGTTTGTTATTGATCTATTCAAGGATTCAACTTCCTCCCAGTTTAGTCTCGGTAGGCTGTATATGTCCAGAAATTTATTCGTTTCTTCTAGATTTTCTAGTTTATCTGTGTAGAGGTGTTTATAGTATTCTCTGATGGTAGTTTGTATTTCCATGGGGTCTGTGGTGCTATCCCCTTTATCATTTTGTATTGTGTCTATTTGATTCTTCTCTCTCTTCTTCTTTAATTTGTCTAGCTAGTGGTCTATTTTGTTATTTTTTTCAAAAAAAACAGCTCCTGGATTCATTGATTTTTTGGAGGGTTTTTCCTGTCTCTATCTCCTTCAATTCTTCTCTGATCTTAGTTATTTCTTTTCTTCTGCTAGCTTTTGTATTAGTTTGCTCTTGCCTCTCTAGCTCTTTTTATTGTGATGATAGGGTGTTGATTTGAGATCTTTCTAGCTTTCTGATGTGGACAATTATTGCTATGAATTTCCCTCTTAACACTGCTTTAGTTATGCTCCAGAGATTCTGGTACACTGTCTCTTTATTTTCATTGGTTTCAAAGAACTTCTTGATTCTGCTTTAATTTGATTTTTTAACCAGGAGTCATTCAGGAGCAGGTTGTTTAATTTCCATAAAAGTGTATAGTTTTGAGTGAATTCTTAATCCTGAGTTCTAATTTGATTGCACTGTGATCGGAGAGACTGTTTGTTATGATTTCAGTTCTTTTGCATTTGCTGAGGAGTGTTTTACTTCCAATTATGTGGTCAGTTTTAGAATAAGTGTCATGTGGCACTGAGAAGATTGTATATTCTTTGATTTGGGATAGAGAGTTCTGTAGATGTCTGCTAGGTCCACTTGATCCAGAGCTGAGTTCAAGTCCTGAATATCCTTGTTAATTTTCTGTCTTGTTGATCTAATACTGACAGTGGGGTGTTAAAGTCTCCCACTAGTATTGTGTGGGAGTCTAAGTCTCTTTGTAAATCTCTAAGAACTTGTTTCATGCATCTGGGTGCTCCTGTATTGGGTGCATATATATTTATAATAGTTAGCTCTTCTTGTTGAATTGTTCCCTTTACCATTAGGTAATGACCTTCTTTTCTGTTTTGATCTTTGTTGGTTTAAAGTCTATTTTGTCAGAAACTAGGATTGCAACCCCTGCTCTTTTTTTGATTTCTATTTGCTTGGTAAATTTTCCTCCATCCCTTTATTTTAAGCCTAAGTTTGTCTTTGCATGTAAGATGGGTCTTCTGAATACAGCACACCAATGGGTCTTGACTCCTTATCCAATTTGCCAGTCTGTGTCTTTTAATTGGAGAATTTAGCCCATTTACATTTAGGGTTAGTATTGTTATGTGTGAATTTAATCCTGTCATCATGATGCTATTTGGTTATTTTGCACAGCAGTTGATGCAGTTTGTTCATAGTGTCATTGGTCTTTATATTTTGGTGTGTTTTTGCCGTGACTAGTACTGGTTTTACCTTTCCAAATTTACTGTTTCTTTCAGGAGCTCTTGCAGGGCAGGTCTGGTGGTAATGAAATCACTCAACATTTGCTTGTCTGGAAAAGATTTTATTTCTCCTAAACTTATGAAGCTTAGTTTGACTGGATATAACATTCTGGGTTGAAAATTCTTTTCTTTAAGAACGTTGAATATTGGCTTCTGATCTCTTCTGGCTTGTAGAGTTTCTGCTGAGAGGTCCACAGTTAGTCTGATGGGCTTCCCTTTGTAGGTGACCTGACCTTTCTCTCTGGCTGCCCTTAACAGTTTTTCCTTTATTTTGACCTTGGAGAATCTGATGATTATGTATCTTGGGGTTGCTCTTCTCCTAGAGTATCTTAATGGTGTTCTCTGTATTTCCTGAATTTGTATGTTGGCCTGTTTTCCTAGGTTGTGGAAGTTCTTCTGGATAATATCTTTAAGTGTGTTTTCCAGCTTTTTTCCATTCTCCTCATCTCTTTCTGGTACTTCAATCAATCATAGATCAGGTCTTTTTATGAAGTCCCATATTTCTTGGAGGCTTTGTTCATTCATTTTCATTCTTTTTTCTTTATTCTTGTCTCATGTTTCATTTCAGTAAGGTGGTCTTCAAACTCTGATATCCTTTTTACTGCTTGGTCGATTTGGCTGTTAATACTTGAGTATGCTTCACAAAGTTCTCATGCTGTTTTTCAGCTCCATCACATCGTGTATGTTCCTCTCTAAACTGGTTATTCTAGTCAGCAATTCCTCTAGCCTTTTATCAAGGTTCTTAGCTTCTTTGCATTGGGTTAGAACATGCTCCTTTAGCTCATCGTAGTTTTTTATTACCCATCTTCTGAAGCCTACTTCTGTCAACTTGTCCATCTGATCCTCCTTCTAGTTCTGTACCCTTGATGATGAAAAGACATTGTGATCATTTGGAGGAGAAGAGGACTCTGGCCTTTTGGGTTTTCATCATTTTTCATTGATTCTTCCTCATCTTTGTGAGTTTGTCTAGTTTCCGTCTTTGAGACTGCTGACCCTTGGTTGAGGTTTTTGTGGGGGCCCTATTTTTGTTGTTGGTGTTGTTGCTTCCTGCTTGTTTGTTTTTCTTTCATAGTCAGGTCCTTCTTCTGTAGGGCTGCTGCCATTTGCTGGGGGTTCACTTCAGGCCTTATTCATCTGATTTGCTCCTGTGCCTGGAGATGTCACTCAAGGAGGCTGGAGAACAGCAAAGATGAGTGCCTGTTCCCTCTTCTGGGACCTCTGATCTTGAGGGGCACCAACCTGATGCCAGTAGGATTGCTCCTGTATAGGGTGTCTGACAACCCCTATTGGAGGGTCTCAGTTGTGTGGCATGGGGAGCAGGATCCATTTAATGAAGCACTTTGTCCCTTGGTGGAGAGCGTGTGCTTCGCTCTGGGGAAACCCACTTGTCTGGGCTGCCTGGATTCCTCAGAACTACCAGGAAGAGAGGCTAGGTCTGCTGGTCTGCAGAGACTGCAACCACCCCTGCCCATAGAGGCTCAGGCCCAGGGAGATCCAAATTCTGTCCCTGAGCCTCTGGCTGGAGTTATTGGAGATCCTGCAGGGAAGCCCTGCCCAGTGAGGAAGGATGGGTCAGGGTTAGCCCTGAAGAGGCACTCCAGCTGCAGACTGCCACAGCCAATGTGTTCAGTTGTGGGGACAAGTCTTGGGATGAAGCCATCCAGCTTCCTTGGCTCCAGCAGGGAAAGAGTGCAGCCTAGAGTTATAGAAATTGGTGCCTCCCTTCCCCAAACCAGGGAGCTTAGCATGCCAGGTAGTTGTGAGTCCCAGTGCTGGCCTCCCCTCCTGCAGTTCAGCAGGCTTAAGAAGATTCCAGCTGAGAGGCTGTAAGAGTCTGCACATTCCAGGGTTAGGATGCTATGCCCTGGTAGTGTGGGTTTGCGAGTGGTCTCTTCCAATCTGTGTGTTTCACACTTCCATGGAAAAAGTACAATTTCTCCAGCTGGGTAGCATGCTCACTCACTGCCTCCCTTGGTTGCGGGGAGGAGGTTCCACTTCCTCATGTGGCTGTTGCAGCACACTGTTCTTCCTTCTCTCAATGGGTCATGCCAGCCTTCTAGTCAATTTTGATGACAGAACCTGGATACCTTGGTTGCCGGTGAAGGATTCATGCTTATGTTTTTTTTCCAATGGGAGCCTCTGAACGCCCCTTCTTCTAGTCGGCCATCTTGGCCCTGCCCCCTTCTTTTCTTAATAGATTCCAAATTAACCCAAGTGTTCCTTGTTCCTTTCTGCCCACACAAGCTAGTGGTCTAATTATTTTCCAAATATGTACACTGGGGCTGAAATAGTAACAACATGAGCTATCTATGTTACTTATGTATCCATCACTTTAAACAGCACTTTCTATGTACCTGGCACTGTTTTAAATACAAAGATAAACTCATGTAGACCTCAGCACAACTTTATAAGACAGGGACTGCTATAATCTCTGTTGTACAGATGAGGAATCAGAGGTGCAGAGAGGATAAATAACGTCCAGAGGTCGCACAGCTCATACATGGGAGAAGAAATGTTCAAATTCAGCGGCCTGGCTTCAGAGTCTCTGCTTTTAAAGATGAGTGAACTGAGACAGAAAGGAGTGAAGCAGATTGGTTAAGAGCCAGCACTTCCTTCTAGTATCGGTATGATTGACCACCACCACGCACTTTGGCCACTTGATCACTATAATCTCAGAAGCAGTATGATTCTGCAAAACAAAACAAGTTATGTTCCTCATTCAACCAATATTTATTGATTGCTCCCTTCATCTTAGGGTCTGTGTTAGGCTCCAAGAATTCAAAGAAAAATAAGGTTTTCCTGCCTTCTGAGAGTTCCCAGTCTATAGAGGAGAAAGTAACAAATAAGTTCAACACAAGACATGATAGTTAAGTCTAGGTAGGTCTTTCACAAAAGAAGTGAAATAAAGACACAGGGATAATTTCGATTGGAAGGGGAAAAGGAAGGAAGCTTCAGTGATGGCGCTTTCTCTGCTTGACTTTAAAGGATAAGAAATAATGTTTGTGCAATATTAACTAATGATTCTTCTTGATAGTTCCTAACCCAATTTCTCACTCCTCACCCTTAATCTAGGTCGCTCTCTGCTTATGCCTCAAGAAAAGATGTATTTACAGAAAAAAAAAGAGGAATACAGGAATTTCCTCCTGCTTCCTCATTTTCAGAATCTTGGCTCTTACAAAGAATGGGGAGAAAACTCCAAGCATGAGAAGTCTCCTAGATTACATCGTTTTCCTAACCCTAATGTCTCTCTATCATCCCAAACATACTTACCACAAAAATTTCATGAACTTTGTTAAGGGAGAAGTGGAGAGAAAGAAAGAGAGAAAGTTGAGAGGTTTGGGAGGGAGAGAGAAAGAAAAGGAGGGAAAGAGGGGAATGAGAGAGAGTGAGAGAGAGAAATACAGACATGCACTCTGCTCTTGATCTGGGAAGGCCAAACATTTCTTTAGAGTCTTGGAGCAGAGGAATCATCTGTTTCCTAGTTCAAGCTCTTTGATGGTCAAAGGCTCAAGGATAACATGGCTACAGGGTATATGGCAGATAGGGCTTAACATAACCTCATGAAGAGAGTCTCCTGACTTCAGTGTAGCACAAGAAAGTGCTGCCATTTCCCCACTCCAAAGAAAGGCCTGGGAGTGGTGGTGAATCCCACCAGAGGAGAGGAGTATGGTGGAGCAGATTTAAGGATTGAGCACAAGGACAGCATGGAACGAGGAATATCCTCAGCAAATGCTGCTTTGAATTGTCAGGTGACATTGAACACCATCTCTTTCTCCTCTCTTTTCATCAATGCATTGGTACTATTTTAGATTCTTGGAAATTAGCATGACTTTAGGAAGATGGAAGAACTCCAGATTAAAATGCCATTGAGTTTCCAAAAATCTAGTGGATGGGGGTGGGGTGGAGTTTGAAACAGAAATTAAGATGTTTGGACAGATAAGGACAGTTACATTTCTTGTACAGCCAAGGTCATGGACTAACATCCTTGCTATAGGCAGATTATTTTCTCTTTATTCCTGTTACATAACTTATTCATTTATTGAACAGTAGCTTATGAAGGATCTCTGGAAGCCAGACCCTGGTACAAGGTTGATATGAGAACACAATCTTGGATGTAACACATTCTTGAGAGTCAGATTTTAGTATGGAAATTATAATAAAAAAACAACAACAGTAGGCCACCTTTTGTAGGAAGAGAACAAAATTACCATGATGTTTAGACTCTCATACTTTAAAGGTAAACCTTTGGCATTTTTGAGCCTTCTGGGAAAAAACAGAAGTTAATAGGACTTGTTAAAAGAAAGCAAAGTTTTCTTCCTTGTACCACTTCACTGTTATTCATTAATCTCTTCTTATTAAGTGTTAACTTGCAAAATTAACAATCCAGTGTTTTAATGGGGAAAGGAACAAAGAAGTTGAAAATGGAGCATTGAAATTGCTAGTGGAAATTTTAAAATTGGAATCATTGACTGGATTGCATTTAAAATTGATATTATAATAGCCACCTTAACTTCTACACAATTTACTTTGACACATTTTTGTTATGGGACTATTTTGGAAAATTCTGATTTGGGCCAAATGTAGATTCTGTGAACTCTAAGCAATATTTATTCAGGCTCCCTCTTCATGAACTTCAATTTCTGTATCCATAGAGAGACTCACCCTCTCCTGCCACCCACTACGCCACCACCCTGAAATCTTATCCGTCTCCAGACGCAGAAGCCATTTCCTGGGCTCTATTTTTTCTATGCATGTTTGTTGTTCCAGCAACAAAATTGAAGTTCAGAAAGTGAATGTCTCCAGTTGTATTCCTTGTAAGCAGACCCTGAGATGAGGGCTTGCGCAAAAGTGATTTTTTTAGGAAGCACCCCTGGGAAAACCAGGCAGGATGGGTGGGGAAGTGAAACCAAGAAGGGAAGGAGGGTCAGGGAGGGTATGCTGCGTAGACAGGTGGCATTGAGCACAACCTCTCTCTCCCCTCTCCTCATCAATGCATTGGTACTATCTTAGGTTCCTGGAAATAAGCATGACCTCAGGAAGAGGGAAGAACCCCAGATTAAAATGCCATTGAGTTTCCAAAAACCTAGTGGATGGGGGTGAGGTGGAGTTTGAAACAGAAATTAAGATGGGTGGACAGGTAAGGACAGTTACATTTCTTGCACAGCCTATTCATGTAGAGTCCCTCCGGAATAACTTTGGCTCAGTTACTCAGGGGAGATCTGGAGATGGTGTAGGTCACACCTCAGACAACATTTCTTAATAATTTTACAGAATTAAGTCCTAATTTCCGAGGCCATCCACTGTGGGGAGTGAATTAATTTCTCTTCTATGCATCCAGAATGGTATCAGTCCTGTCCCATCCTTGGGGGAATTGAGAAAATCATCACTGAAATCATGTTGTGTCTTCTGTGATTCAGATGAGGAACACTGATTGAGAAAAGCAGCGAAGGTATCCGAATCTGGGTGGTGGAGGAGCTGTACTCCCATTTCCATCAGTCTTGGTTAAAGGCTGCCACTCAGGGATGACACAAATTCCTAGGTCCTTCAGGCTTTTTCTGCCAGCAGACTAAGTGGGCTCTCACAGCCTAAGGGCAGCTGTTGGATGAAGACATGGGTATAGGCTGTGTGGGTGAAAGCACAGTGGGAGCCATCGTACATGAAAATGATGATTGAATCCAAAGACATTTGGATGGAACACTGACGGCGTCTGCTCCAGTCTAACCCTCTGCCACACAGATCTACTCATGCCTTATGTTAACTTTATTCCATTGTTTCTTCAGGATAGAGCTGGTCATAATTTCTAAAAAAAGAAAAACTCAAAGCCTTTAAGAAGAAGGTCTGTGCAATGAGCTACAACCCCTCCTGTTGCAGATAGATATTGATCACTTATTTCCCATCCCACTCATCCTAGATTTTGTTTACCCTTGGCCAGCACTTATGCAGATCTGGTGGCTTGCCTAGTGGGTGATCCAGATATTCATACCTGTAGGGGCTGGGATGTGATTACTATGCTTTTGCTGTAATTGCTTGTTTGTAGTTGAAACTGGGCAAAAGACCCAGAGATGTCTGAGTGGGTTCTGAGTTCCAGATGGTCTTCTTCTTGGCACATTATGTAGCAGCAATTCTACCCTCTCATTATAATCAGGATTATTGCCCCTGGCAGTTCAGCAACTTTTTGCTGTATCTGTCTACTGGCACTAGTGGTCCAAAAGGACCTAAAAGTTGTAGCATTAGGTTTAGTGGGGCCCTTGTTTCCTCTGGTGGAATTGTTTTCCTCCTCACCCCTAGGCAAGAACCATGGCCTCTAGACACACCAAAACTAACATTGCAGGAATGGAAGCCTAAATTCCCCCCAAGCAGGCACTGGATATGATGGTGAGAGGAGACACTTCTACTTTACTACTTGGTTCCTGGACCCATATGCTCTGCTTATTGGGGACAACACCATACAGTGATTACTGGCTCAACTTGAATAATGAAGCTGTAATCCCACAGGTTATCATTTCTAAGATAGTGTCTTAATTGAATCCATAAGAAGCCATTCTAAAATTCTATATAAAAAGCAGCTTTGAAATGATATAGTATATGACAGGATCAGTGGATCTTGTGATATGGTGCCCACTTTTGCATCTTCTTTGATGTAAAGTGGGTCAATTGGTTTGAAATGATGTGAAGTAGTTTCAGTCAAATGAGACCCCAGGTGTGTAAATCGGACACTCTGTGATCCCTCAGATAGTGGTGCTGGCCAAAGTTCTTCTGTTAGGAAATGCAAATCCATCTCCAGAATATGTGCTTATCCTAGTCAGGACAAAATACTGTAATTTTATTCTTTCTGTAGTAGAAGGGATTGGATGTAATAAATTTTTCACCAAGAGGCTGGTCTGTCTCCTCAAGGTATGGTGTCATATCAAGGGCTCAGCTTTTGTCTCTGCTGTTGACAGGGTGGACATTTAGCAGTAACTGTAGCTGGATCAGCCTTGGAGCATAGGAGTTCATGCTATTGGATTGATGCAGAGTCTCCATCTCTGCAACTATTCTATTCTATTCTATTCTATTCTATTCTATTCTATTCTATTCTATTCTATTCTATTCTATTCTATTCTATTCTATTCTATTCTATTCTTCTCTTTTCTATTCTATTCCTATTTTATCCATGGTTCATTTTTGGGGGTCATTGCTGAAGCACTAGAATGACTCTGGACAGAGACTAGCTGGCATCTTTCAGATGACTCTGTCTACTTCATTGTTGTATTCATCCATTTTCATACTGCTGGGAAGAAATACCTGAGACTGGGTAATTTATAGAGAAAAAGAGGTTTAATGGACTTACAGTTCCGCATGGCTGGGGAGGCCTCATAACCATGGTGGAAGGCAAAGGAGGAAAAAAGGCACACCTTACATGGCAGCAGGCAAGACAGCATGTGCAGGGAACTGCTCTTTATAAAACCATCAGATCTCACGGGACTTATTCACTATCACAAGGACAGCATGAGAAAAACCCACCCCCATGACTCAATTACCTCCCACTGAGTCCCTTCCACAACACATGGAGATTATGGGAGCTACAATTCAAGATGAGATTTGGGTGGGGACACAGTCAAACCATATCAATTGTGTAGTGCCTACCCTACATTGGATTCTGTGGTGAACACTTAGATGTAAAGCAAAGATTGTTACACTTAGTAACCTACAGGTATATGGTTATATCTACATGACTTTCACCCAGCTTTTTCTTTCCCTATCCTCCAATCTTTTTCCTTCTAGTTTCTGATCAACCAGTCAATTTATTTGCTACACTAAAGAACTCATTTATATTTTTACCTTTGGCCACGTCTTTCTCTCCACAAAGTAGATGACCGAGTGTACTGCTTAAAGTTCTGCCCAAATGAGAAGTATTTTCCCTACCACAAGGCCACCCATTAGTGGGAAGAAAGTTAACATAGTCCTGCGATAGGATAAAAAAATGTGTACTGTTGTTTATTCCAAGTGAATGAGAACTGCTTCTAACATTTCGTATAGAGAAGTGTTAGAAATAATTTATTAGCCAGATGCATAACTACATACCAAATACCAGAGTTAGTATTAACCTGTTGTAGTAAACGTATCATGGTCATTGCAGCTTGGTTAAACTTTCAGTGATCCACTGTCATCTGCCATGATTTGTTGATTTTTGTGTATGTCACATTGGTGACTCAAGAGGAAATGTGTTGGGAAATCTTTGTTAAATCTTTGAGAGTGGCATTAATCCCTGCCACTTCATTTGAATATAATGTAGTTTCTGGTCTTCAATCTTGGCCAAGTTGAGGGGTAGGGAGTAGTCTTAGGGGATTTCATTTGGTCTTTTCTCCCATCATGACCTTTACACCACAGGTTAATGAGCCAAGGTAAGTGTTCTTCAAACTGCTGAATATATAAGCTCATTCTGAGATTTCTCTCTCATTTAATGTGAGACATCATTTATTCCAGACTTCCAGGAACCACTCTATCAGTGTGTTAGGATTGACTCCAGATGCTTTTGCCAGAATATTGAATCATGAACATTAAGTCATGGAAAAATGTCCCTATATCACTAAACGCTCCCTTACAATGCCTCATGTTCTACCCAGCACCTTTTATTGAGTCTAGTACCCTCAAAATCCTCTCTGAACCATGTTTATTTGGTTTCTACCAATACATATTAGCTAGGTACTGAAGCAATTTTGGTGAATAATTCATTCTCTTCTGTTTCAGTCTGTTTAGGGTATATACTAAAATACTGTAGATGGGGTAGCCAATAAACAACAGAAATTTATTTGTCTCAGTTCTGGAGGCTGGGAAGACCAAGATTAAGGTGCCAACAGATTCGATGTCTGGTAAGGGCTCATTTCCTGGTTCACAGATGGCACCTTCTCACTGTGTCCTCACATGGTAGAAGGGCAAGGCAGCTCTCTGGGGCTTCTTTTATTTAAAAAAATGGGCTTAGAAAAGGTTAGAAAACCCCGTTTCTCCTCATGGTGTAATCACCTTACAAAGTCCCCACCTTCTAATACCATCACACAGGTGATTAGATTTCAACATTTAAATTTTAGAGGGACATAAACATTCAGACCATAGCATGTCTTGTATTTTTCCAGTTGATCCATGTTGAGACTTGACCCTAGTCATGGGTTTAGTGGTCTGCAGGGAGGTGGGAGTGGATATTGAGGAGACCAAAGATCCAGTCCTAATTCACAGATAAACTTCTTATCAATTACCCTATTATAGCATGCTAAGGGTAATCTTCTCCTGATTTACCTCCAACAATGGAATTAATTCCTGTTGCCATCTGGTCAGCAACTGATCCAACTCAAGAATCCTTTCCTGAGAGTCCACTTCCTATGACCACATCTAGTACCAGCTGTCTTAGATTAGATTCTCCAGAAGTAGAATCTGAGGCAGAGCCATATGGAAGTGATTTATTAGGAAATGTTTCTAGGAAAAATTGGGAAGGGAGTGGGGATGTGTGACCAGGAAGGGAGAGAGGCCATGCCAGGGTGTTTTAAAGAGGGTAACTAGCTCAGTCTCCTGGAGGATCTCAGAAAACAGTATAGATCACACTTCAAAATGTCCTGATTAGGGGGAAGGGAGTTGGAGTATCACCCTGCCACAATCGGTCAATGTTTAAGAGCGCACCCGAGGTGACATGAATTCTGGCACTTCTGACTGTCTGTGCATGCAGACAAAGAGAATTCTGGCAGCCAGGACAGCCCTCCAACAAGGAGATGCAAGTTCTGGCTGTGAGCAGTAAAACACATTTGGAGCTGTTGTGCATGAGCGTTTTAAGGAGATCAGAGCAGGTATGGGGAGAGCACTGACAGTATCTGCCACTGTCATCTGTGTATAAGCACTGAGGAAAAAAAGATTCATGTGCAACTAGATAGCAGTCCTGTAGAAGAGAGAGTACATTTATCTTCCCATACTATTTATATTTTGACTATCTTTACAATGAACGTAGGCATGTATTGACTTTATTCTTAGTAGTCAAATTTTGTTTCAATGAGTAGGAGACATGAATCCGTAGTCCTAGTCTGGTGGACTGATTAAGAAAAGAACTGACCCTTATCTATTCCCTGGTGAATCGTTGAGTGGAAATAATCCTCCAGTAAGACTAAGGGGGAAACAGTCACTTCTTTAAATCCACTTCTCTTGTCTAGATACATTGATCTTTGGTAAAGAGTTCGATAATTGAGCTATAGTATTTCTACATTTGGGCTGATAAATTGTTATGTTGTAAATACAGCTTTCAGATGATCTCTTTTGTAATATGAAAACTGTTTGTAACATGAAGAAAAATCTCTTATATTTTTAGACAGTTTTAATTTAAATAGCATGTTTTCTTAAAACAGAGACACATCAATATTCTTCTGAAAATGTGAAAGAAAGAGGTTTTAGCCTATCAGTTTGAATGAGACTTTGGGTGTAAATGAGTCATTATAGCTAATGAGAAGTGTGCTTACACTATGCGTTGTCGTTGCTCTTGAGATATCTGACCATTTTATTGTTTCTGGCCTGGGGCGAGCACAAATGAATGAACAATGGTTGGGATGTCGATGATGTCAATTTGTGCCAGTCCACCTCTCCCATTCTCTTCTATTTTGATATTTAAATAAGTATTGGGGCAGGAATTCCAAATATCATATCTTCATGTTGGATAAAAGAGGTTTTCATTCTGAGTTGGCTCAGTGAGTGGTCTCTTGGGTTGAAGCAGAACCATCTGCTACTTCTGTTTTGATTTTCACAGTCGAATGTACACCTTACTACATAAACATAATCTATGTATTCTTAATAAAATGACACCCTATTTATTTAATGAAAATTCGGAAGGTGACAGATAAATGGCCAGTCATATGATCAAAAGGGGGTTTTTCATTTGGTTTAAAGCTCATATTCTTGTTGAGAACTTAGCTTTTAAATTTATTTATAAAGAAATGTAATTAAATTGATTTTTTCCTGCTAATCCAGAAACATAAAATGGAAGATATCAATGATTACTTTTTTAAATATGTCACCACCTCATGCTATTCCACCCTCTTCTGCTTTCTGCTTATGTATTTAAGAACTCCACAAAGATGTTCTCTTATCAATGAACTGTGTTAGGAAAAACATATGTAAATTATGTCTTGCTGGAAAACACATACCTTTCTGTATTGTACTAAAAGTTTTGCCAGTGTTTTGCAGGTGGCAAACATATTGCTTGCAAAAGTACATTTATAAAGTAATAACATAATTTTTCATTTGAGACAACTATTTGAAATTGCAATGTTTCTCTGTGTGGTAATTTGAAAAAGTGTTTTAATGTATGATTTTACTTAGGTATATGAAATTATATGCTTAACTAATTAATACATTCTCATAAGTTCTCTTAGGCTATTTTTACATCGGATGACCAAATTTTGATCACTTACATAAATGACCAAGACATTCAGTTTGAGCTTTTATTTTCTCACTCTCCAGGTTTTCTAGTTTTGGCCTTATTTGTAGTTTAACTCTACATGGGAAAACAAACCCTTTCAAAATAGTTTCTTTTCACTCTATTCTTGGATTTTTTTCCCTTCCCAGTGAGTCTTTCTGATAGTTTTCAGAAATTCCCATGTGCCCAAATAAACAGGAGGTTATTCTTAGTATATTAATAGTTATTATCATGGGAGAAGAATAATCTTAATATTAATAAGAATAATTTCCACTCACTGTTGAAATAAATTTATTTTTAAAAATTGATTCAATGACTGATATTTATAGAATGTTAATTTTTTAAAAAGGGCAACTCTGTGTGGAGTTCGAAAGCTTTTGGCATCCTTGCCTGCCCTACACAATAAGAACCCAGAAACCATTCTGCACATCAAATGGAAACCCAATCTTATAAACCTAAATAATAACTCCTAGTACTGATGCTCTATTATTAAGCTTTGCTGAGTCAAAGCACTTAAATAGAATTAACAAATAAAATTTTCAAAGACTCCCATGAGGTAGGTAAATGTTTTCTTGCTTATTTCTTCAGAGACCACAGTTCAGGGTACTTGCCAAAGCTAAAAGGTCATTGTTGCTGAGCTCAAGAGTGCCAAGAATTTTCTGGTTGCTAATCCAGTTCTTAGATGATTATAATTAGAGCTTGATATAAACTATGCCTAGTTTTGCATTTGGTTCAAATTAACATTAAAATTTCTTGACCCATTTAAATTATTTTACACTTAATGGAATTGTAGAGTTGGAAATGTTTTGAAAATGATCTAGTCCAAACTCTTCATTTTATAGATGTTGAAAAACTAAAGCTTGGGAATGCAAAACCCCGCTCAAGCTCCCGGTCTTCTCACCAATGGGCTGCTGTGCAAAGATTTGATGACCACATCTTGATATGGAAACCTCCCAGAGTTTCCAGGAGATGGCATTAGATCTGTAAAGTAGTGGGTAACAAAGAAAAGGAGGAGAAAAAGTGTTCTAGAGGAAGAGGTGGTGGGAGGTTGTTTTGTTCTGTTTTGTGTCTGATCAAGCTTCTTTCTGTGCTGAATGACACCATGCCCAAGGAAGCACATGTTCTGTTTCTTGGAAAAATTCCTTGGCTCAGAGCCATCACCACAGACCTTCTTAGACACCCAAAATGGGCAAAGAATATTTGCTTGAAAGAATATTTGTAATCCTTCCCTTGAAAAGTCAAGGGTGGTAGAAGGTGAAGAAAAAGGGAGCGGTTGTAAGGGGGAAGATATGAGTGCAGATGTAGCAAATAAGGGGCAGATGAGACATGAAGATGAGTTCTGGCTTCCCAAATATGGCATGCCCTGTATGGTTTGAGAGAGACACACACTCTCTCCAAACTCAAGAAGTACTCTGAGAAGTCTTTGTATTTTTTTGTAATAATATTTTAAGTAACTTTTAAGCATTTTCTTAATGCCATTGCTCATATCAAATTGCCTATTTGAAAGATCTAGCTTGATGTTTATTAGGTATCTCAAAAGCAACATGTCCAATACTAAACTTCCAATCCCCCTGAAGCCTACTTCTCTCAATGTCCTTCCTAACCTAGGAAATAGCAACTCCGTTCTTCTAGCTGCTTAGGCCAGAAGTCTTGCAATCATCTTTAAATCTTCTCTCACACCTCACATCCAATTGTTCACTGAGTCATCTGACTCATCTCCTCATCCGTGTGTTACATAGAGCCCGTGATTACCTTGCCCTTCCCAGACCATGACTGCTGTCTTTGTTTACTATGAAAATTGGGAAAAGGCATATCAAGAGTGGTCCCAGTGAATTACGTGTTTTCCAAGCCAATTTCTCCCTGCCTTCATTGTATAAGGAGCAACCTTACCTCCTCCTGATGATCATGATCAGCTACTACCATGAGGATGATATTGACTTTTCTTAAATGCTGGTCTCTTCATGCAAGGAGCTCAAAGTAACAGAGTGGGAGCCATAGCTTAGAATTTTGTAGGATTTTTGCAATGTATCCTGGTAGAAATGTTCAACATCTCTAAACTTCCAAGCCCAGAGATGTGGACGTGAATAGCAAAATTCTCCAAATGGGTCACCAAGAATTACATTAAGCTGAGGCATTCTAACTTCTATCTATCTTTTTGTTCCCAGATCCATTTATTGTATCTATTGATATGTTATGAAATATGATAGTTATTGATTTAGCAGGTAACATAGATGGAATAACAAGGACCATATTAACCTTCTCTCCTGAAACAAACATACCAGACAAATACATCAGACAGTTTTTAAGACACTGATGTCAAAAACAAAGGAAAGTGATCCCTGAGAGGCAGAAAATAAACATGATGGGTTATGTGATTTCCCCTGCTTACTGCCTTGAGACAGTTTTCAGTTGGTACAGGGAAGGGGAACAGACAGACAGCCATGCAAACTCCCTGAGTTGAAGCAATAAAGCCAAGAATCTAGATAGATCAAGGCAGCTAGAATTTATAAGACAGAAGATCCAAGAGGAGAGAGCTTCATAGAAAGAACATGCTGGAGGTCTGCAGAGGGTCCCCTTTCAGTATCCAGTGGAGTATTAAGCAGTGCAGGTATATGTTGGGAAAAGAACCATCTGAAAAGGTTGGAGATAATAATGTCTGGTGCTCACATGGGGCCAGAAATAGTACTTGCTCACACCAGACAGACTGGAAAAACTCATAATTAACAGGACATTATGTAGACTTTTCAGGAAGGTCTTGCCTTTAGTAGTGGAAAATAATAAGTCCTATACTGAGCATTGTTGTGGACATCCTAACAAGTCATAAAAGTAAGACCTGAAATAATCAAGTTGTTTCCAAGTCACTTAGCTGCAGCCCAGATCAAAGTTCAAGATTTACAGAAATTGAAAATTATCCAGCACCTAACTAGGTAAAATTCACGTCTGACATCCAAACAAAGATTGCAAGGCATAAAAAGAGGTAAGAAAACACAACCCATAATGGGGAGAAAAATCAATCAAATGAACATAGACATTAAAATTAGCAGAGGAGGACCCTGAAACAGTCATTATAATTGTATCCCATACAGATATGAAATATGTTTTAAAATACAAATAAAATTTCTAGAGATGAAAACAATGAGAAGAAAAATAACCTGGGTGAGACTGACAGAAGATTAAACATCGCAGAAAAAATGATTAGTGAACCTAAAGACATAGCAACTGAAACTGTCCAAAAAATTTTTAAAATGAAGAGAACATCAGTGAGCTGTGGAACTGTTATGGGATCTATAGGGTGTTGATTTTCTGGCCAGAAACTTCTGTGGCTGGTGGCACCTTTGCCTAAGTTCTTGACCTGTGAGTTCTCATCCTGTGTCCAGGAAGAATGAGATATGCAGAAAAGTGGAAGGTGAACAAGATGAAGAGGAGCTTTATTGAGTGTTAGAACAGCTCAAAGGAGACCCACGGTGGGTAGCTCCTCTCTGCAAGCAGGTAATCTCATGGAGTATTCAGCTTTCAGCAGAGAGGAGGCCCTGGAGAGGGTGGCTCCTCTCTACTGGCAGGTCATCTGGCTGTCTGCAGCTCTCAGTGGAGAGGGTAGCTCCTTACTGCAGCTGGTTGTCCCAACTTCTCTCCGCCCTCTCCATCCTCTGCCTGCTCTGGCTGAGCCTAGGGCCTCAGCAGGGAGGAAATGTGTACAGATTGATCCAGGGGTGGCCATGTGTGCCTTGGAAAAGGCACCATAAGTCCCCACCCTAGTCCACAGGGCTGGCAGCTGGGCCCCCAGCCTTCAAGCTTTCCCTGGCCTGAAGTTGGGCCTTACTGGGGACCGCTCCCTTCTGCCCAGGAACCTATCTGCCTCTTGCTGCCTTTGATGACACCCAGGTTCTGCCGGACTTCTCCAAGGTTAGGGTGGGGAGGGCACCAATAGCAGGGAGAAGCCAGGCAGCAGAAGCAGGCACTTTCAAGCCTGCAAAAGTAGGGAGACTTCTTGGGCCCCCATGAGGGCAGGGATGCCTGAGTCTGCATCTGTGGTTTGTAGGGTTGTGTGGGGCTCCTGCCTGCTCCATGGAGTGGGAGGCTCTGGCCTGCAGTGGAAGTTTGGGCGACTGCAGTGGCACCCAGGGAGCTCCTGCCACACCTCTGAAGGGCCACTGCCATCAGAACAACTTCAAGTGACCTAATATATGAGTGGTTGGAGCCCCCAAATAAAGAGGATGGAGAAGAAAAATATTTGAAGAAATAATGGTCAAAAACTATCCAAACTTAATTAGGATTATGAAACCACATATCTAAGAAATTCAGTAAATTCCAAGCAAAATAAACATAAGGAAAGCAACATCAAAGCAGGTCATAATCAAATTGGTCAAAACCAGTGATAATGAGAACATCTTAAAAAGGAGCTAGGAAAAAAAGACATGTTGCATACAGAGGAAGATAAGTAAAGATTACATGGGATTTCTTGTTGGAGGCTACAAAAGCAAGAAGACAGTGAAGCAACATGTTTAAATTACTGAAAGAAAATAATAATTGTCAACCTAGAATTCTCTACCTGGCAAAAATATTTCTCAAGAAAAGGGTAATAAGATGCTTATGCACATACAAAGGCTAAAAGAATTCATCACCAGCAGACCTACACTACAAGAAATGTTAAATGAAGTCTTTCATCTGGAAGGAAAATTAGGCCAGATAAAAATTCAGATCTATACAAAGGAAGAACGAGAACCCGAAATGGTAATTACATGGTATGTAAGTGGTATTCCAATTTTTATTTAAATCTTTTTAAAGATCATAGGCTAATAAAAATAGTAGTCTATCATGGGGTTTATAACATATGTAAAAAATAAAATGCATGACAACCATAGCATAAAGTCCAGAAATCGATGTACATTATTGCAGGGCTCTCATGATGAACATGAAGTGGCACAATATCACTTGAAGGTAGGCTGTGATAAGTGACAGGTGTAGGTGATAAACTCTAAAGTAACCACTACAATAACAAAATAAAGCATTATAGTTAATACACCAACAAAATGAAAGCATAAAAATATTGATCCAAAAGAGGCAGACAAAAAGGAAAAAGGCAACTAAGAACAGATAGGATAAATAAAAGACAACAAGACAAACTCAAACCTAAACATATCAGTAAATACATTGAATGTAAATACCAGGTTTAGGCCCAGGTAGGGCCAAGGATTTCAAGAATGTTGCATGACCAGGTGGACCAGAATCACATGTCATCCACCATTGTTGCACCAGTGACTCTTCTTTGGCTCAAACCAATGGTAAAATGTGCATGTCCCTCTAAGCAACTGAAAGTGGAAGAAAAAAGGTTAACTTTGGTATTGTTGGGTGCAAGCCCAATATGTACAAACCTCTACTCAGGGGTGGCCTTGAAGTACATAATTAAGGGAAATCCCCTCAATTGGCAGAACTTCATATGATGCATTTGATTATCCACTTTGTGTGAAAGAAAAGTAGCTCAAGAGTATTTGTGTGTACAAGCAAATGGCTTGGCTTATATATGAGGGTCAGGAAGGCAAGATATTAGGAAGATCAGAGATCAGGACAACTGGGTAAGAGACATATGGATAGGCCTAAGGGATTGGGCACGAGTTATGAAAATGATCTAAATGATGAAGCAGACAAAATAACTCAGTAGATTGACTTCAAACAGCTTCTGTCATTGGCCACCCAAAAGCTGGTATAATGGGTATATGAATGGAGTTGCCAGGAAGGCAGAGGCAGAAGCTATGCATACAATCAGCAGCATGAGCTCCCACTCACCAAGGCCATCCAAGTTACTGCCACTGCCAAATGCCCAACCTGACAACAACAGAAACCAATGCTAAGTCTCTGGTATACAACAACTTCTCCAGGAGACTAACTAGGTACTTGGTGATAATTTGATTACATTGGTCCCTCCTACTCTACAAAGGAGAGTGATTTATCTTCACCAGATTAACACACATTTCAGTTGTGAATTTGTCTTTCTTGCTTGACTCAGCCAGTGCTACTTTCTAATGTCTTTCAGAGTGCCTTAACAACAAACACAGGATCCTGAGTAATATTCCCTTAGACTCAGGGTTCCACTTTACAACAAAGGAGGTGCAATGTTGGGCATATGACCAAGGGATTCACTGTCCCTCTCACATACACATTATCAGGAAACTGCCACCTATTAGAGCTGTAGAATGGCCTTTATTTATTTTTAATAGTCTTGTTGAGATATAATTGACATGTAGTAAACTGTACATGTTTAAAGTATACAATTTTATAAGTTTAGACGTATGTATACAATCAGGAAAACATCACAATTATAATTGTGATGATTATAAATAATAAATTATAAATAAATAATAAAGATAATCATAAATAAAGATAATAAACAGATAATAACATCCAAAAATTTTCTTGTGCCACTTTGCAATCTCTCCCTCCTACCCTTCCTGCCCTCCAAACAACCACTGATCTGCATCTTGTCACTATATGTTAGTTTGTATTATCTAGAGTTTTATGTAAATGGAATCATACAGTATATATCCTTTTCCGTCTGTCCTCTTACACATAGAATAATTTGAGATTTATCCATGTTGTTCCTTCCATCAACAGTTCGTTCTTTTTATCACTAAGTTGTGTTTTCATTTTAATTCAGTTAAAATATTTTATAATTTCTTTTTTTGATTTCTTCTTTGATCCTTTAGTTATTTAGAAATGTATTATTTAATTTTCAAATATCTGGAGACTATAATTTCTTTTGATTGTAGAGGGTGACTAAGTCTCTTGTTTGCTATTCACGTATTTTGCCACCAGCATTCTTTTAACCGACTTCACACCTTTTTTTTCAGGACCTTATGGCTGCTACTCCAACTTTGCTGTTCTTTATGATAATGGGGCCCATCTTGCTTGTGGTGTTGTGTGTCATCACCTGGCCTCTCTTATTTCAGGATCCTTTTATTTCCATTGCTATCAGTGAGCCAAGTTCTGTAACATTATCTTTCATTTTTAGTGTAGACTGCAGAGAAGAACCATCTCTGAGCTTCTTAATGATGCCATGGCCCCACGAAGCAGCGCATTCTTTATCCTTTTGATAAAGGTTTTCCCATGGAACATAGTGGACTTGGGTTAGCTAACCTTCACTAGTTTTTCATCTCTGGGATTTTCTCTTCTCTGAGTCTTTCATTTCCTTCACTTACTATGGGTCACCTATTTCTTCAAACTTACATAAGCCACCCTAAAAGCCTGTTGGCATTGTCTTCCAGAATGTTTGGCCACTCCATATTGATAAGCCCTTTCTTATCCCATTTCATCTTCCGTATCTGTTAGTTCACATCCTCAGGGTCAAGTTCTGTGATCTCCTGTATCTTACTGATATATGTTGGCAGCTCCTTTGGGAAACAGTCCATTTCTTCTTCAGCAGGTTCAGCACATTTCCCATCTGGTTATATTGTGACTTAGTCCTAGTTTTTGGACTGGGGCCAGGAAGGTAAGTAGGGGTAAGTCACGGTGGGAAAGGTGCATGCAAAAAACACTTTGCGATGCCTTTAATTAGGAAGGGAACAGTGGCTTTGTAACATGGAGCAGTGGTCTACTTTGCAAGTCCAGAGAGCTCAGAGGAATATGGGGATTGAAGATTTGAAAGCATCAACCCTGATGTCCTTATCAAGTCTCAAGATCCTACTCTTTCTTAACTAGGCTTTTGATCTTGGTATAGGTGATTTTCCAGGATTGAGAATTCAACTTTCTCTGTAGCTCTGCTGACCTTATGATTAAGTCTCTTGAGCCTGAATCCTCGGCTTTTTCTGTCCTCCTGCTTCAAGAGATGGAAGTCTGTTTGTATACTGCCACAAAGGTTTTCTGGCTTTCATACTGTACTTTTAATTCATTGTAAATCTCTCTGTCTTTCAACATCTTTCTTTAATACCCCCATAGCTCTCATTAATAACTATCAGATTTCATACCTTTTATATTTACTATTTCCTCCAGTCTTTCAAATGCCTGACATACTCCACCACCAGTGTATTTCCATCCTCTGGTATCCAATTCCAGCTGGTCACTGGTGAAAGTTTTAGTAATTGCGTAGCTACACCATGCTGTGGGCTTTAAGTACTCAACCTACTGCCAGTGGCAGGTCTTTATGACCACCAGATTAGCAAGAGATGCGTCTCTAAAATCCTATTGTAGAATCTGCTTTCTAGGACCATTGCTCACGCCAACTTTTGTAGGTTTGATTCCCTAGAAAGTAAACGATGATTTACAGATTTGCACATAGACGGTTATGGGAGACTGCTCTTGAGAAATAAATGTATAAGAGAATGAGGGAAGCAGGAGAGAGAAGAGAAAAAGCTGAACTGAAATGCAGTTGCAAGAGAGGCCTCAGTGAATCACACAGAAGTCTAAAGCTAAAATGGTGTCACCTATGATTTGATGCAGGCTCTGCCTAAGGAGGGAGCAGACCTGGAGCATTGCCAGCAGTACTATCTGGGGTGAGTCACATTCCTTCAGCCTAGGGAAATTTGTGTTGGGGAACTCAGCTGTGCACCCTTAGCAGGCACCACTCCAGGCAGCTGAGGGAATAAGACCCTTGGTCCTGCAGTGTGGTATCTGGATGGTGTGTCCACACCACCCACTATAAAATTTTAGGGCTTTCTGGCCCTTGCTTAATATTAACATTTACCAGAACATTCATATTCTTCATGAAGTTTTAACCAGAAAAAAATTCAGACGTCACTCACCCAATCTATCTTACACTCAAGGATATCATAAAAGATTTAAACATTTAAATTTGGAGGCCAAATTCCTCAGGGAAATAAAGACAGAGTTTGTCTGCCATTTCTCCATTTTTTTCTGTGTAGAATTTATACCGAACAATTAAATGACATTGAGTCAACATAACTCACTGAGCAATGAATATGCATCGAGTTACCATGACTCAAATATTCCTAACTGCATCATGAATTGTTTATTGAACAACTTATTCTAGAAGCTTGGTTTTGCCGGGGATAAACCTCATGCTTGCTGGTTTTCAGTTTCTAGAATCCTGTCTCATTCTGGGTCTAGGAATAAGTAGAGTGTTAGTTCAGTTCAGTTCAGGCCTTTCGCCTTTTTTTCTCTTCTCTAAAATTCCTCATAGATCATTGGTGGTAATCATATTTTTGATGTCTTAATAACAGTGCCAAGACTTTTTCTGCCGCTACCTCCTTCTCATCAGCTCAGCTAAGTGTATTCTATTCAAAGAACTTCCCACTATCCTCTGCTTAGGCCAAGCTCCTCTTACGGCCCAAGACAATTTTCAGTAGTGTGATTTTTATCTTGTCATCCTTATGTCATACAAAAGAAAAGAGGTTGAGGCTATCACTTATTAGAAGACTGAAAAGTGATGCATCCTAACCCTGATAGTAAATAAGCAAGTTTTTGTTAGATTAGTATAAACACAATCAATAAAACATTAATTATTCCCATGGTATCCAGAAATACCAATAATAAGCCTGGAATTCATAAGAAAACCCATCCTCAAAGGCTATAGAAAGTCACAAACCTGCAACGAAGGAGTGCTCACGAGAAATTATTCAAAATGAGCACACCAAGAGTTTATTTGTTTGTATTTTTGTTTGGACACAGAAATCATTATTAGCTCTTATTGATCCTTGATTTATGGCACAAATGTGAGAGTGACTACATTTCTGGAAGGTTTAAATAATAATTTATGAGAAATATGAGCCACTTAATTATTTAATATTAAAAAGCTCAGAAGGCCAGGCATGGTGGCTCATGCCTGTAATCCCAGCACTTTGGGAGGTTGAGGCAGGCAGGTCACTTGAGGGTCAGGAGTTGAAGACCAGCCTGGCCAACATAGTGAAACCCTGTATCTACTAAAATTACAAAAATTAGCTGGGTGTGGTGGTGTGTGCCTGTAGTTCTAGCTACTCTGGAGGCTGAGGCAGGAGAATCACTTGAATCTGGTAGGTGGAGGTTGCAGTGAGCCAAGATCACACCACTGCACTCCAGGCAGGGTGACAGAGCAAGACTCTGTCTCAAAAAAAAAAAAAAAAAAAAAATCAGCAGGTTATAAAGTGGCACTACTTTAAAAAATCGGAATTATAAGTGTGAGTGTTGCACTACTAATTTTTTTCCATCTTTAAGTTTTGTCTTTGGCAGGGGCTCACAGACATCTAAATTACCTGTCTTTCGACCTACAGCCAGTAAGACTACAAAGTTCACAGTCTTGTTCTCACAGAGCAGGAAAAACTGGGTTTCTTTATTCTTTATTGAATTCCTTATTCTGACTTTAGTCGTCAGGGACAAAAAGCTCTTCAGTTCCATGAATGTCTCTTGCATACAGCTGTGAAAATTTTCACACATCAGGAGAAATCAGCAACATGTACTGCTGAAAGAAGGGGAAAAAATAGTGACTGCTCAGTGAAGCTTAAAGGAAACACACCCCAATGTTTGTGTAGGCAAATGAATGAACACAGACCCTGGGGTCCCAAATACACCATTTTTGTGGATTACTATGCACGATTTGTCCACACTGACAAGATGATTAACCATTTTGCATCTGTGAATTCATGACCCCAAACAGATGAAAGGTAAACATGGCTGTGTTGACAAATGAAATGGCTTGGTTGTAAAATTCTGGTGCAAATGAAGGCGTTATAAAAAAAAAGAAAGAAAGAAAAAGAAAAATCTGCAGGGAATAAATTCATATTTGTTCTCTTGTCAGTCACCAGGACAACCTTATTCTCTCAAAGAGTGATGGTTATGACATTCATTAATATGGAGATAAGTGGGAGAGATATTCAGGGGTAGAATTTTAGGGTGAAATTCTATCCCTGAATCGTAAGTAGTAAAGAAGTAAAGAGGATAGTAAGAAGTAAGGAGGGGCTCAATATAGGAAAGAAAAACTTTAAATAAGGGCCAACCCTCACCTACAAAGTAGGTGAGCAGTGAAATGACCCTTGATTCAATATTTAAGACAACTTTACCATATATTCTGGCCTTAAAGAAATTGTGTACATTCTTTAGAGTATACCTTTTCCATCTCAGAGAGGAAAAATGTGGAGTACAGAAAGCTGGACTGCAATTCCTCAAGCAGAATCTGCTGGAAAGAGTCATAATTTCCTGTTATTTTTCACTACAGGCGATACATCATAATCCTAGGAAATTCATTTAAGAAGTGATAATTAGAATAGTGTGATCATGGAAATGGGGTGAGTTATAAACTGTAGAATGCTAGCTAATAGGTAAAACTAAATCATAGGTAAGAACACTTCCAAAGAATGAAGTGGACCTTGCCTCACCAATCTTAGATGTTTAATCCACACAAAACACCATAAACTTTTCCCCTGAACGACAATAGAATGGAAATGTTATGATTTCTACTTTATTCTAAAGTGACTATAGTGTAGTCTATAATTCTAGTTATGTAAATATATAGACCAATGTTTCCCCAAATTTAGTGTGTATACACATCATCAAAGGACTTAGTAAAAATGCAAGTTCTGGCCTGGGAGTTTACATTTCTAACAAGTTTCCAGATGACACAGATGTGAGGAGTCCAGAGGCCCACCCCACTTTTAGGAGCAAAGATTGAGAAAACTTGAAACAATTCCGAAGACAGTCTCAGGGATGCTAATTAACAGCTGAACAATTAGATCTGTGAGGAAAGGTAACAGCTTCTGGGAAAAATGATGAATCTGGAGAGAGAAAAAATAATAAGTTAACAAGAGGATCAAAGAATGAAAAGGGCTTTTAGCACATTTTCTTATTCCACAGGCAGCAGGATTACAAGTGAGTTTCCATGATAACATAAAAGGTCTATGCAATATCTGGAAAAATTTTTTGACAGTGAGAGGTGCTGAATACTAAAACAAATTACTAGGAGAAGCTGAAAAATCTCATACCAAGAGTTTGGAATGATTTGATAATGCTCCTTCCTCAGGAATGAAGGATTTTCATCATCACCTCTTAAAAACCCCCTCCAGGTGAATGTGTATAGGATGTCCACATCAACACGGTAATTTTTATAATATATTTGTATTGAAAATAATTTGGAATCAATTGTAAATATCAGAGCTGCTAGCAGACATCATCTACAACATCATTTTTATCTACTTGATTGATTTATTTTATGGTATTGGGAGATCTCTCTTGGAGAAAGACATTTATTAGATTATTTCACTTCGTACGTGAGAGTCCCTACATAGACTTCATGCTTCTTATTTTCCCAGTGGCTAACTAGGGGAAAAGGAAAAGTGTAAAAAAATTACAACTTAAATTTTATCATTTTTAAAAAGCAAAACTTCATAATTCATGGGTAAAAAGTACAAGATATAGTCCCATTTTTAAAATGCATGCACAAAAAAGAAAAATGTTCAGGGTGATAGCTTCGTGTTTTGTCTAATTCTTAGGGTCGTTTTCTTATTCTTCACAGAAAACTTTTTGTTTACAAAAGAGCTTTGTATTCAAATGGTGCTTTGAGAGTTGTAAAAAGGAGTAAGAGGCCGGGCGCAGTGGCTCACGCCTGTAATCCCAGCACTTTGGGAGGCCAAGGCGGGCAGATCATGAGGTCAGGAGATCGAGACCATCCTGGCTAACACAGTGAAACCCCATCTCTACTAAAAATACAAAAAAATTAGCCGGGCATGGTGGCGGGCGCCTGTAGTCCCAGTTACTTGGGAGGCTGAGGCAGGAGAATGGTGTGAACCTGGGAGGCGGAGCTTGCAGTGAGCCGAGATCGCGCCACTGCACTCCAGCCTGGGTAGAGCGAGACTCTGTCTCAAAAAAAAAAAAAAAAAAAAAAGGAGTAAGAAATCATCATATTGTATTTGTTCCCATAATTTATTACTGATACCTCTTATGA
The DNA here is from genome assembly GCF_000001405.40 of Homo sapiens. NCBI lineage: Eukaryota > Metazoa > Chordata > Mammalia > Primates > Hominidae > Homo > Homo sapiens. Next base: position 199,132,511 of record NC_000002.12, on the reverse strand, counting down.
TCCTTGTCTTGATGACGCAGGGCTTCATGGGCCAATACCACAGAAGAAGGCCACATAAGAAAAAATGAGTAATAAGAGCTAACGTGTATATAGTGCTTCCTATTTGCCAGACCCTATTCTACATGCAGTTTGCATGTTGTTTAACAGGTATAAAGATATAGACAAGCTTCACTAACAAAAGAAAAATAATCAAATAAAACATATTCATGCTTCCAAAGAAAGAGAAAAGAAATAGACAAAAAGAATTTAAGGAGTAGGGATACTTGGGATAGCTATTTTTGGATCTCTGGTGAAAGTCAGTGATATTGACAGCTAGAAGGCAATAGTACACAACGGTGCTATAGAAGATTTGAAAGCAAAGTTGTATGGAATGAATACAAATGTTTCTAGCACATTCCAGCAATTAGCATCCCTGACCATGGGTCCCAAAATAAATGCTGACTAGCACATTGAACCTCACTGTAAATTCACTCAAGTTATTCTGTATGCATTTCTACCTCAACAATTCAACGTTAAGTGTGGACACATTTTTGGAAATGATCTTTTTAAAGAATGGGCTGTGGCCTTCAGAGTAGGAAGTATCTCCCCTCTCTCAACTTCTCTTCTTCCGGAACCCCAATGCTATGTACCACTGTAATTTACTAAAGGTTAAATACTAGTTATAATTCTGCAAATACAAAGGTTTGTCATTAAGTCCTAAACTGTGTATTTTTATGTAGTAACAAAGGTCTAATTGGGTAAAAGTCAAACTGATCAGAGAAAAACTCCATTATCTTAGAAAGTAGGAGTAAGAGGGAGTGAGGAAGCACTTTGAACTATCCTGTAAGCAGTCAACAAGGGAAATCCATAACCTTTTGGGGTTTTTACCTCTCTTTGGATGTAAGGGACTGTAGCACATTTATTTTTTTTCCTCGATGGAGTTAGGGAGATTGAGGAGATTGAGAGAGGCATGGACATCTGCTTTCAAAAAGTACTTGAAAGCTACCCATGCAACAGTGTGACGGGGGACATCCGTGCCCTGAGAGAGCCAGCACATTGCAGTCAGGCTGATGGAAAGGAGTTAGAGAACTAGAAACAGGTCAAAACCAGCAGCTATGCTGGAGGCCCCCGTCTCTGCTCACTGGCTTTCTGCTTTCAGTTAGCTGGGAATCTGATTCAGGATTTGGAGAAAGCCTGAGAGTCATTTCCAAAGTGTCATTAACTAGCTATCTCAGAGTGCACTTGGTGCTTAGAGGAACAGATTTCAATTACAAGGCTCCACCTCTAATTTAGAGCTGCTTAACTTTAACACATAAAGCATGATTTTCTGAACCAAAATAAAAATAGATCCTGCTAAAATAAGTTGTTAGAAAAATTAGCAAAACGCCTCAGAACTCCCACTTTAGGGGGAAAGAAAAAGGTCCTTACAATTAGCATTATTAATAATTCCTTAGTTGTGAGGTCTCAGTGCTTGCCTAATTGCAGAGATTTAGAACCTTTCAAACTCTACATGTTAAAAATAATAGCTAGAGACTCCTTTGCCACCAGCATGTGGGTGGTAGGAGGAAGTGGAAAAAATAAAAACTCACAATGCCTAATGATTTATTAATGAGTTTCATCTCTTTTTTTGGAATTCAGACCATTAATTACATGTGTGTCTAATCACTCACTGGTGGATGGAATGTTTTCCGCCATCCACTCAAGAGACAGACACACTTCATTATTTGCAAAAGAGAAACTTAACAAGTTTAAGTTTCCCTTAAACTCCTTTAGCCATTTTCAAACCTCCACATTTGCAGACAAGCTGGCAAACAAAAGTTGTCCTTGAAGCTTTCCATCTGGGCCCCCTAACTTCGATTAGGAATTAAAAGCAGGGTTTATTTGTTTGTTTTGTTTTTAAGAGCCCTCTGCTAAGCCTGATGGGTCACTGCTTTGCTGGGTAGAAGGACCCAGAAGAGCCCATTGATGTTTTTATCATCCCAGAGGTGAAGAAAAAAACAATTACCCAGGATTTCGTCAGTCATTCAGTACATGTGAAATTAATGAAGTAAGAATTGGATAGATAATTTCAACATGTGAATTGTGTAAGGATCTCCAAGAAGTAATCTATTCTTCAGACAGGCCCATGCTTTACTGTTCTGTGTCTACAGTTAAGGACTTTAAAGGAGGTAATTTTAAAATAACACTTGCTCAGAAAACTTACACCAGGCCTTGTTGATGTTTTAAATAGCATAACAAACTTGATCTTTAGTAAGTCAAAACTCCATCTTGGGTACTTCAAGCCCCTTTGTTTGTATTCCCTATATAATTACCTCATTTTTCATTACTCTCCAGGTGGAATTGTTACTTCTGTTAAGTATATTTATTTGTGTGTTCATTCAACTTTCAGGCTATTCCTGGGGATTTACTTCCACCACCCTTGCTTCCGCCGTGCTTAATTGACTTTTACCTGCCAGGCCCAGCTTTAGGTAATGGAGATAAAGCAGTAGAAAACAAGTTCTCTGCCCTGAGGAAGTTAGATTCTGTTGGGTTGAGCATACAACTCCCTGCTCTTCACCAAAATAGCTTATTCCCACTTTTGAAATTCTGGTGGCCTTGTTCTTCAACTCATGAGGTCTTTCCTGACCTCCAAATAATTAACTAACAGATAACAGAAGCAACTAACTTTCGTGTCCCTAGCACAGACAACAATGACTGGCATATGGTAAGTGCTCTATTAATGTTTATACAATGAATGAATGATTCTATCCAACCAAGCTACTTTTCGAGATTATGTATATAGCTATATTAATAACTTAGATTTATTTGGAACTTTCAGCTTGTCAAATGTTCTTACGTATCTCCTTTGATCTTCACTATTTTTCTAATGTATTCATAGTAAGCGAAGGAGTTATAACCAGTCAGATGAAGAAACTGGAGCTCTTCCTGACTAAATAACTTATTCAGGCTTAAACAGCTATTGGGCAAGAAAGTCAGGATCTGAAAGTACTCCTCTTTCCACCACACCATGTAACTTATTTCTGTAACTTCTTTAATATTATTTGTTTCCTTCCTTCACGCCAATTGTTCTCAAATGTTTTTCATCAGAATCACTTTGTGGGGATGCGTTGTTAAAACACAGATTTTGGACTCCAACCCTAGAGTTTCTGATTCAGAAGGTATAAAGTATAGTCTGATAGTTTGTATTTTTCACAAGTTCCCAGGTGATCCTGATGTTGCTGGTCTAAGGACCACACTGAGAACCAGCATCTCAGACTATAAACTCTTTAAAAGCAAGCATTGTTTCCTAAGTCTTCCTTATGGGTTATCTATGCTGACTTACTGCCACATAACTGCTCTGCTGTGTCACCTTTACCAACTCATTCGCTGTCAAGGAGGTGGTTTTTTTCCCCCTCATTCTGGATCTAAGTTGCTCATGCAGTTTAAATGGATTTCACTTGTTTTGTGGCAGAGATTCAGAACAGCTGTGTGGGTTCCTCTTCTACTTATTTAGTGAGTGTTTCTCAACTTGTTTTTCAACAAGTGTGGTCCGAAAACCACATGCAACAGCATCATCAGGGTGCGTACTAGAAATACCCATTCCTAGGGCCCAATTCAGAACCACTGAGTCAGACTCTCTGGGGCTGGGGGCTGGTAGTAAGCCTGTTTAACAAGTGCCTGTGGAGAGTCATGTATGTTCCAGAGTTGCAAACCTTTGTATTAAAACTGTTTTTAAGATACCCTTTTCATTTGTATCTCCTGGATGAAGAACTTGAGCTTCAAGTTTCTCTTCTAAAGTTAATTTTCCAGATCTTCTCTGAACCCTCTCCAACTTGTTTGAGTAGCAGGGGATGAATTTTTGGGCATATTCTCAAAGAATGCTGCATGCTGTTCCCATGTGTGGGTTTCTGCCCAGTATTTACAGAGAAGTTTTTTAATAGGCAGTGTTTTGGAAAGTGACTACTGAAGATGTGAAATGGACTAGGCAAGGAAAATAAAGTTGCTTTAACTTTTTTGAATTTCATATTTCATCTTCAGCCTGAAACTTGGCTCTTTATAATTATTATCTTAAATGAAACTGACATGCCACAAGCACTACTTAAATATTTTTAAATTCATTTTTAGATTTGGGTCCTTAACTTGCCCCAATCCCCTTCATCATTGACTATGCCTTCATGAATTTTAGTTGAGAAGAATAACATTGTTTCAGGGAAATTTTTCCATTTTAGAGTAGACCGTTACTCATTAGGCTAAATCCATGAGTTGATGTTTTTCAAGTCAGTGTTTTCAAGAGTGGAAAATGTCTTCTTGGTTTAGGAATCTGTCTAAGGTGGCCTAATAATTCTGGAGCAAATACAAGTTTTAAATTGGTCTGAAGTAGCTAATCTGAGGAATTGCTTCCTAGGTCTTAAAGCGTTGAAAGTAAAACTTTTTCTCTTGGCTTGTGTCACAAATATTACCTTATTCTCCGCTGACTCAAGCATTCAGAAGACGGCATCACTGGCTGTAAAGGCCTTGGAGGATGGCAACAGTAGAGGCAGTGGCATTTTCTAGAGACTTGGAACCATAGAGTTTGAGACATGGAAAGAGTCTTCCTGGACATTGAGTTCCACACCTTCATTTTGTAGATGAGAAATCTGAGACCAGATAAGATGATTTGTCCAGGTCACCAGGATTCATATTCAGACTAGTTGATTTGACCAGTGTCTTTCTATCCCACAGTACCTTCTTACTGGGAGAAAAAAAGACTACCTCAAATCAGATAACACCAGTTTTGAGTTTTTTATTTATTTATTTATTTATTTTTTCCCCACAAGAAGATTTTCTTTGTGCAGTGCTTCATCCTAATGTCATCTGTGAGGTCCTGTATTAAGTACAGTAACAAATTGCCACAAGTTTAATGTCTTAAAACAACACGAGTTTATCTTATAGTTCTGGATATCAGAAACTCACAACGAACCTCACTGGGCTAAAATTAAGATTCCAGCAGAGCTATGTTTCTTTGGGAGTCTCAACAAGATAATCTGTTTCCTTACTTTTTCCAGCTCCTAGATGCTGCCCACATTCCTTGGCTGGTGGTTCTCTTTCAGTTTCAGAGCCAGCAATGGCTAGTGGAGTCCTCACATCCTATCTAACACTGATCCTCCTGCTGCTCTCTTCCACACTTAATGACCCTTGTGATTACATCGGACATCTTTGGATAATCCAGGATACACCCCTGCCCACCCCCACCCTTACCCCCTCCCCCATTTTCTGTTCAGCTGATTAGCAATTTTAATTCCTTTTGCAACTTTAATTGACCTTTGTCTTGTAACATATATTCACAGGCTCCAGGGATTAGGATGTGAACATCTTGGGGAGTGGGGGTTGGCGGAGAGCATTATTATGCCTGCGGTAGGTCCCACTGAAGAAACAGCTAATTATGATTTAAATTCTTAAAGTGTAGTCTTTGAACTAGCAGCATCAACATCACCTGGAAACTTGTTAGATATGCAAATCTTAGGTTCTACCCAGATCTGAATCAGAAACCCTGGGGCTGGGACCCAGCAATCTGTCGTTTAACAAGCCCTCTGGGTGATTCTAATGCATGATAATGTTTGAGAATCTGTTGTTTTAAGTAACGTAAGAACCCAGAATAAAAATTTAAGTGAGTTCTTTATGTTGACTTAATACTGTTCATTGATGAAGAACTTTATATTTTACTTGCATTTTTACTTAGAATTTAAGGTTCTAGGAGCCTTAAGTATTCTGGATGTGCTTTAGAGCTTCTGAAGGTGCTTGGAGACCAAACAATGCATGCTATTGCCGTTTTTTTCTCAAGTCCACATTGATCCGGGCAGCTTGATTTTTATTATTTATTATTTGCTTTGTTTTGGAGGTGGCAAAGTTATATAAAATTTCGTCTGGAAAAAGTTAACCACTGCTAAAAATATTTCCGAAGACAACTAAAAATGTCGAATATCATTTACGGCTTCATGAGTTAGGTTCAGGAGGGTTACTCCCCACATTTTCATTTGTTGACTTCTGCTGCAGGTCTAGCCGAGTAAGACAAAATGCATAGCAACAGAGATGCCTTGGACCTAAAGCCTTGGTAACCCTTTGTTAACATACTTAGATAAGAGAAATTTTCGAGACTGTCTATTCACCTTTAAAACAAACAAAAGACTCTGTCTTTGCTTTGTTGCGTGCAGACTAAAGCTCTGAGGTAGTGATTGACTTCCCCAAGCCCCACATCTAGAAAGAGGAGTTAATATGACATTATATATCTTATGGAGGAGCCATCAGCAGATCATCTGTGGCAGATTGTGGAATTTGAGTGAAAAGATGAACCACTATAAAAGCCAAAAAGCAAAAAACAACACAAAACCCCAATAAACAAAAGGTTGGTCCAACTGCTGTTTGCCTGAAGCTGGCATCTGAGAAGAACTTTCCCAGAAACAAACAACACCTGAAATTACCATGTGTAAATATGATGGGAAGGAATAACTATGACAGAAACTTGAAAAATCCAGGGTCTTACTGTTTGCTTCTTGCAGCTTTGCATGTGTGTAGTTTCTTCTCTAATATGCAGAACTCTTTAAAGTAAAAGCAACAAGGGAACTTCTCTAGGACTCTCATTCCCTTCTTGGATTTCTGCCTGTCCACCATGATTTCTCCTGTCCACACCATATCTGCAAGGTGGGCCATCCTGAATTCATCATGTTGTCTTTATTCTATCATTTTAAGACTTTGTAGATTTACATTAAACCCTTCAAAGATTTTCCTAATTGAGAATTCAAAATCTAGAAATATTAATTGAAATATTATATGACAGGCACTGCACTCAATCCTGGGATTACAGGATTGAGCCAAACAGATATAATTCCTCGCTTTGCTAAGCTTAAAAAAGGCCATATACATATTTCCCTATTTCCCTGAACTCCTATATTGGATTATTCAAATACTTCTTTTTTTTTTTTTTTTTTTTTGCTTTCTACGGGCCAATTACTCTAACCTTGTGACATTACCTATTGACTGTTTTCACATTTATCTCTGATATGCACAAACTTTCAAAGCTAACAATATATTGGTCTGAAATCATATGTTATTTTAAGGAACATTATTTACATTATATTTCCAAGTGCCTTCAGGCTGTTTCTATTTTTATGTGGGCTGCTTCCTCTCCTTTGTTTTCTGAGTCTAATTAAGCTTGAGAGGTATCATGAAATAGGTCAGACATATTTGGATTTGAATTTTTGCTTCTCTGTCTCTGTCCCTCTCTCTTTCCCTATATATATGCATAAATTTGGAAATTTTAATGTACTATCTCTGAGCCTCAGTACTCTCAGTTAAAATGGGGATGATATTACCATGTAAGGTGGTGATGAAGATTAAAATATGTGTGTATATGAGTGTACTTATGTATGTGTATAAATATATACATATTATACTTTTAAATGGAGAGATATTTATTTAAAACCATGACTGGCATATAATGGGTTCTCATTAAGTATCATTTGCAACTCTTCCTAGTCAATTATTCTTATTAAATGAGGACTCTTTTGGTTCCCTTTCTCCTCAGGCCTACCACTGGAGTCTGTGTAAAGGTCCTTGCATTAGCTTCCTATAGTTTTTTCTCTTTAATCCTGCACTTGTAATTCCCCAGGTGCTTTCACCATGTTACTCCCCTGCCTAGGTGCATACTCAAACATGAGAGGACTTCCGAAAGTTCATGGAAAATGCATATTATGGAAAACTATGCATGGATTTAAAAAAAATTTTTGCACCAAAATAAACTCATACTAACTTGTTATAACATATCTGAACAAAATGTAGTTTGAGGCACTGAGAAGAAGACATCTGTTTGAAAAGAACCCCATCAGAACAACATGAATTCTGCTAAAATTAAAGCAAGAACGAATATCAAATTTATGGTGAAGCTTGGGTGGAAGAATGTAAAATTATTGGTGCTTTATGAAAAGTTTATGGGGACAATGCCCCCAGGAAATCAGCAGTTTAAAAATGGATAACTCGTTTTAAGAAGGGATGAGATGATCTTGAAGACGAAATCTGCAGTGACAGACCAACTACATCAATTTGAGAGTGAAAATTCATTTTGTTTAAGCCGTAGTTGAGAAGGACTACTGATTAACAGCAGAAACAATAACCAGCATCAAAGACATCTCAGCTGGTTCAGTTAACACAATTCTAGCTGAAAAATTAAAGTTGAACACACTTCCCATTCAATGGGTGTCAAAAACCATTGTGCTCAGATGAGTTGCAGGCAAGGACAGAGCTTTCAATGGAAATTTTAAATAAATGGGATCAAGATCCTGAAGCATTTCTTTTTTATTTTTATTAATTTTTTTTTTTAAGAGACAGATTCTCTGTCACCCAGCTGGAGTAGGTGGAACTGCAGGCATGCGCCAGCATGCTCAGCTAATGAGATCCTGAAGCATTTCTTCAAAAAATTGCAGCAGGAGATGAAACATGGCTTTTACCAGTATGATCCTAAAGGCAAAGCCTAATCAAAGCAAAGACTACCAAGACATGGACGTGGTCCAATCAAAGCAAAAGCAGACCAGCCAAGACCAATGGTTGTGGCAACAGTTTTTTGAGATGCTCAAGGCATTGTGCTTGTTGACAGGAGGGCCAAATAATAATAGCATCTGCCTATCATGAAAGCATTTTGTGAAAGTTAACCAAAGCATTAGCAGAAAAATGTCCAGGAGAGATTCACCAGAGAGTCCTCCACCATGACAATGCTTCTGCTCATGCCTCTCATCAAATAAAGGCAATTTTGTGAGAGTTTTGAGGAATCATTAGGTATCCACCTTACAGTCTTGATTTGGCTCCATCTGACTTCTTTTTGTTTCCTCCTCAAAAAATCTGTGAAAGGTACCCATTTTTCTTTAGTTACTAGTATAAAAAAGACTGCATTGACGTGGTTAAATTCCCAGGACCCCCAGTTCTTTAGGGATGGACTAAATGGCTGGTCCATTTTGTAAGCTAAATAGCTTACAAAAGTGTCTTGAACTTGATGAAGTTTATGTTGAGAAATAAAGCTTATATTCTAAATTTTTATCTTTTAGTTAAATTTTTCCATGAATATTTTGAAGTCCCCTCATTCTTATCATCCCGTGTAGTACATCGTTTGGTGTTGTTGGTGCTTTACTTTGATCTTACCCATGATGAGACTGTTTCACTCACTTTTTCTCACAAAACCCGTGTATTCTGGTGATACTTGCTGCTTTTCTTTCCCTCGATGTGCCATGCACAGTTTTGCTCAAGCCTTTGTTTACATTGAGGTAAGATTTTAAGTTGTATATGAGTCAACTTTAATTTTAAAAGAAGATGCTTAAGAGTTCACTTATATGGTGCCTATACTTAATATAGTTTATTCAATCTCTTTGGTTATAAGCTACAGAAATCAAACTAGCTTAGGCCAAAAAAGTAAATTATTATTTCATAGACTCCAAATTCAATTTTCGCAACTAAATTGCAGGAGGTCAGGGATTTGCAGAGTCTTTAGAACAGCTAGAACCAGAGACAAGGCATGCCTCTGAGCTCCCTCCATCTCTCATCCCTGCTTCTCATGGCCTTCTGCTTTCATGCTTTCCCCATAGACTTGTTTCTTCCACATCTTTAGCCTCTCATCAAAGGCCCCTCTGAAGAGAGGAGGCTGATTCTCTTTCAAGGAAAAGAACTGACTGGTGTAGATTAGGTCAGGTGTCCACTTCTGGCTGCAGGGTCATGTAAAACTATGGAAGTTCCCACTGTAGTTCTCTCTCTCTCTCTCTCTCTCTCTCTCTCTCTCTCTGTGTGTGTGTGTGTGTGTGTGTGTGTGTGTATGGTGGGGTATGGCTGGGAGCAGTTCCCAGGTGAAGAGAGGGAAGAATGTTTGGTGTCAGTACTGTAGAAGTATTATTATTAACACCACCTTTGGAAGCTTTAGGATGGATTTGCGCTTTTCCAAGTCTGTTTTAGAGGTAATCCTATTTTCACACATCTCCTTTAATATTAATGAAAGAAGTTTTATACTGATATTGATGGCCCACTACCATGCCTAAAAAAGACTTGTGTTATGCTACCATAATTCTACTTGCAAGGGCTTTATGAAAGTGAGCTTGTGATTATAATTATTGTTATTTATCTTTTGGATGTACCACTGACATATGTACATAATATGCATAGTGGTGTCACACAGTTTAAACTTAAAGTATCGCCTGTTTTGAAATATATACTTCTTTATCAAAAGTAACTCAGGAAATTGTCTTCTATATTTACCACTGCCTATACCTCGTTCACTGCTTAACACCAACCAGCCCGGCAATAATACTTCCTGACAGTTTTTATAACTACTTCAGCCTTTATTTTAGATGGCACTTTTTGGTAGATTGAACATTTCAAAGAACGAGAATGGTAAATATAGAACCATCCAAATATTTGTTCTCCAAAATTGAATCACATTTATTAGGTAAGGAAAGTTGTTTCTAGTCACATACTGAACTTCCGTTTAGCTTTACAATGCCTTTTTCATCTTGATAAAGTTCTTGAAATTTAAAAAAATCTTTATCAAGTTGATGTCTGTCACAATTAAAAAGTAAAGAAAAGAAATTCAGGCATCTTCTTCCGACTTCTACTGACCCCGAGGGTTTCTCTGTAAGTTTAATAACTGAAATGAAATGTTAGTACTTAACAGTTGGAATCCTCTTCGATTTTGGTTACCATACTAAATAAGCTGCTGACACAGCATGAGAGCTTGTAAAGGATAAAAAAGATCGTCTCTGGTCTGAGCTAAGACACCCTCTCCTACTGCTTTGCCCTACATATGTCTGTGTGGGGCTAAACATCTGGTAGACCACTTATTATTTGTGAATGAGGGCAATTATCCATGGCACAGGTGTGTTATCCTCTGAAAGATCTTATTTCATTCTAATATGGACATGTCTGCAAATAATTTATGAGGTGCACTTACTTTATAGTCATCTTTCCCATGGAGAATAATTGCTAACCTGCCTTTCTCCATTTTTCCTTTTCTTTCTTTTTAAATGAAGAGTTGGACTGTGACATCTTTTAGCTAGGATGGTAATTGTAGCACCTTTGGTGAAAACATGAATACTACATAAAGTACTGGTTTTTCCCTGTAAACATTAGAGTAGAAGCTATAATTTCCAGCATAATCTATTATCAAGATCACATTATTCTTATAGGGAAAAGACCCTTGGTAGCAATTTCCTTCAGTTTTTTGGTCCCTCTCTCTCTCTCTCTCTCATCAGTATATTAGAAGTCTGGTGGTCAGCATCATACTCATTCACTTTTTTTCACATTAAAAAATGCGCAGATTCTATTAACTTCTTTCTTGTTCTTCCTTTTTTCGTTGTGCATCATTTGGATCTGTGAGCAATTCCTTAAAAGTCAAGGAGCTTTTAATTTTTTTTAAATAAAAAATTATCATTTGCATTTGCATGTTAGCAAATAATTAATATAGTTCATTTACAGACATGGCAGGACTTTGGACTCATTCCCTAACAGGAGGCATCCTTCTTAAAGTCCATTTGAGTTATTTGAAATTCAAAACAATGGAATCTTTTCTCTCTACACAGGCTGTGTTGTTCTATATAAAGTACCTCCAACAGATATTTATATATTGAGATATTTATAATGTAAAAGGAAACAGAATGTATGGGTTAAAATCAGTGCCTAGTAGTCAGATTATTTTGGGCAAATCATTTAACCTCCCTGAATGCAGCAAACTGGTTAAACATACGGACTCTGGAAGTACAGACCTGGGTTTGAGTGCTGGCTCTGTCCCATCATCCACTATGTGACCTCTCTTAAGCTTCAGTTTTCTAACTATATCATGGGGATTAATACCATGTCAAAGGAAGATAAATTTGTGTAAAATGCTTAGCACAGTGCCTTATAGAAGAAAGCATTAAATATGTTAGGTTATTATTACTATTATTAAGTGTTCAGTGCATATTAACCATTACCACAAGTAAGTATAAAATGAAAATAATACTTGCCCTGCCTATCTCAGAGGTTATGATAAGTATCAAATGGTAGCATATGTATAAAGCAGTACATAAATGTAAGATACTATTTTGATATTTTATAAGCTATAACTACCCTGTGTAAAAGAATCCTTGCTTTTAGTAGTGCCAAAATTTTGGAAATTTTTTCTTGTTCACTGTTGTATCCATAGCACTTAGCATGGTGCCAGGCACATGGTAAGAGTTCCAGAAATTCTTATTGAATGAGGTTATTATGTTGCTTACTTTGCCACTTTTTGAAGCTTGAAACAAATTCTAATCCTTTCTTTTACCAGTGAGGATTTTTCGTCTTACTTGGTTGGAAATCACTGGGAAAAAATTGAGGTTAAATTCTGGGTTTTTCTGTTTGAGGATGCGGAGAAGGATTCAAACGGAATGTAATACGTTATCTTTAAAGGTGAAACAAAAGCGAATTGAAAGGCAGCTTCACCCTCACTGTCTCCCATCTCAATAAGTATTGAGTGGAATTGATTAGGGAGGGAAATAAAAGTGGAGCATGATCTGGGCTGAATCATCTGGTAGAGGATCTGGCTGAGTCAGAGGCAGGGTAAAGAGTAAGGCTGCTTTGATTAAAAAAAAATTGAGAAAAACGCAACTGATTGTAAGGATGACTTTTTCTCTTACCCTCATTTCTTTTTCTCAAAAGAGAGTAATAAATGGAGCATTAAAATAAAATTATAACAAAATCAAAGGAAAAGAGGTGGAAGAGAAAAAGAGAGAAACAATTTTCTACTAGCCAAAGAATAATACAATCTTTAATTTCTTGCAGTGAATATAAATGCCTTGGGTATTTGTTATCTCACAGACCTAGAATATTCTGAAAACTTTGGTCCCTCATCCTCTCCATAACTTTTTGCCTACCAAGCCATTCTCCTGCCTCCTTGAAGTTTATCTGAAGAGCTGAATAGAAAGGATATGGTGTCCATTTTGATTTTTATTCCAGGCAGTGTTTCTGTCCTTGAATGAAGAGATCAGTGGAAGCCTACAGCTTGCTTAACTTAGATTAAATCACAGTATTCATTAAGTAGTCTAGTGGTTCTTAACCTGGACTGGGCATCATATTTACTTAGGAAACTTTTTAATAATATAGATTCATCACAAACTCTCTTATTCAGTAAATTGGGGGAATATGTGGTGAAAAGATTTGGGGGTTTGTATTTTTAAAAGATTGTGATGCAGGTGATTTTGTTTATGAAAACCAGATTTGGTTAAACCTAGCTATTTTACAAGAAAGGAATTTTGAATCAAGAGAAGGCAAGTGACTTCGTTAAGAGTGTGCTGTCCTGGTATTGAGTAAGATGCCAATGGCCCAAGATAAGGGTTAGAAATACGCATAGCACAAAAATCTGTATTTATAAGGACAATTGAGATTCTGCATCTGACCAAAGGCCAGAGCCCCTAGCAGATAATCAGTAAGTCCTCAAGTTGAACTTTTCCTCTCTGTTCTTCACTCGGATCTCCCAGTCATTTGCTCCCACACAGCATGTGGCAGCATTGCTGGAATAAGTAGGAGCTCAAGCGTAGTGAAAAAGAAATTAATGCCTCACCTGCTGGAAACACATGTAAGAAATGGTGAGGCTCTCATGTCTCCTTACATAACCTGTATTCTTATTAGTTGGGGCTTTGACTGCAAACGTAAATATTAGTTATCTTTCTCCCATTAATTATTGTCACACAGATTTAAAGGGTCAGAGATTTGGAAGTTAATGCCTCATTCAGTGTGGGAAAAGTAACACTGTGCACTTTGGCTGCTGTTTTTCTTTCTGGCTGACTGCAGACCAATTGTTTCTGCCCCATCTCAGCTGGCTGGCAAAATGCTTATTTGCATAGGGCAGCTATTTTCATGGTGGGAAGGGGCGGCATCAAACTCACTTTTGATTTCCAGAGAGGCTGTGGATCTTAGAACTTATATCCATTACATCCATCATGTTTTATGCCTGTTCTTTTTCTGTGATTAGGACATCTTCGTGTGTTCTTTCAGTATGACCATCTGGCTTTCTCTGTGGCAAAAGATATTATTTCCTGCAAACTAACCAAGGAAAGCCCAAAGTTTTTGTGTTGCTTTGTTGAGAGGCAAATGATGCAGCATGAGGTAGTGAGGTAAGAAACCTGGGTTCTATTCTCAGTGAGCCACGAGGCTTGGGCATGCCGATTAAACTTCCAGAGCCTTGGATTCATCATAAAATGAGAATAGTCATAGGCATGTGGCCTATCATCTAGACAGGTGACATAGTAAAGAAAACAATTATAATTGGTAGTAATTAAGAAAACTATATTCAGTCTTGATCATTCCCATTGATTGCTATTTCAATGGAAATTGAATTTTGTCATTGGACTCTTTGGGGAAATGGTCTTCTTGTATAGGGCCTTTATTAAAAATCAAGTCCAAAGTCAATTATAGACTTGAAAGTATTGAGGAGCTAGTTCCTAACAGGTGGTGAGTTCGTATGAAGATACCACCAAGCACGAGGACAGATCAGCAGGAAAGCATCATCTGGCAGTCAGTCAGGGAACAGTGGCTGGATATGCTCACCTGGCAGTGGACAGGTGGAAAGGCAGCAGGAGAGCAACACCATTGGCTCCGATGCTTGACATTAATCACATTCCTATGGAAATGCTGCAATTTTTACAGCACACCCGTGGAAGGGAACTGTCATATTCTATTGGATGTTCACTTACACTTTACTTAAGAGTAAAACAAACAAGCTAAACCAACAAACAGTTTGTCTCAGCAACATCCCAAAACAGAATGGAAATAATATTACGTTTATTGTGGTGGTTCAAACCTTGAGAATACGATAATGTTTTAAAGCACAGGCCTCTCTTTTGTGGTAAGAAAAATTATTGCTGAAAAAATATCAGCTAGTATATGGCCTGTTTACTTCTTGAAGAGCTACTCTTGGTTGTAGACATGAGTTTAATCTCCTTCTGGGTGCATCTGGGGTGTTGCTTCTAACAAAGGGATTTTGCTTCTTGGTCGCAGAAGCAGAGTGGTAGCTATGAGTAGAAGGATAGAATGTTATAATTCGCTCAGGCAATGCAACTCTATGGACTGCTCCTAAACTCTGGTTCATACCTCCTTTCCAAGGAGGAAGGGTAGATTCACTTGAAGAGCTATGGAAATTAGCTGGATAAGTATTTAATAAAAGTTTATTAATGAATGAAGTAATGAGTGTCATTTCTACTTCTTACTTCCTGGAGTACCTACTGTCTTCAGGCTTCTATCCCAATATCCATTATACTTGTTAGTGAATGACAAGTCCATTAGCAGATGGTCCCAAGTTTGCTTTGTAGTTCAACATCACCAAGGAAATGGGCTCCTTTGATTCTTGTGCTTTGTCATACTCAATAATTTGTGAGTATCTCCCCTCATGGTCTCAAGATGAACTTTTGCGGCCTCCAAGCTATTATGTTATCACAAATATTTCTTCTTTTTTCTATTCTGTTTTTTTTTTTTTTTTTTTTGAGAGTTGGAGTTTCACTCTTGTTGTCCAGGCTGGAGGGCAATGGCATGGTCTCGGCTCTCTGCAACCTCTGCCTCCTGGGTTCAAGCAATTCTCCTGCCTCAGCCTCCCAAGTAGTGGGATTACAGGCACCTGCCACCATTCCTGGCTAATTTTTTGTATTTTTAGTAGAGACGGGGTTTCACCATGTTGGTCAGGCTGGTCTCAAACTCCTGACCTCAGATGATGCACCCACCCCGGCCTCCCAAAGTGCTGGGATTACAGGCATGAGCCACCGTGCTCAGCCAAATATTTGTTCTTTATAAAGCAGGAGACACGGTTGGTGGTTGCTTCTCCTCTCCCACTTATTATGGAAGAAAATTGCTCCCAGAAATCTCCAACAGCTACTTTGGCTTAAATCTCATTGACCAGGACTGGCTTACAGGTGTGTATCTTACTAGTTACTTGAGAAGGAGAATTGGATTCTCATGACTGCATTACATCAATCCTGATTCATATACAGAGGTTAGGCAAATCCTCTCTCCCACAACAAAATTGTTGTTTATAGAGGAAGTAGGAAATAGTTACTATCTCTAATCTGCACAATCCTTGATGGCAGAACCTACATTATCCTGTCTAGTTATCCGTGAGCATCTAGCAAAGTGCTTGGTCCATAGTAGAGCCTCAGTAAATTATTAAATAAATGGCAAATGGATGGATCCAGAGACCAAGTCAATAACAAATAATTGAGTCCTATATAGGTTACTTTTTTTTTTTCCAATTAACTATTCCAGGCAGGTAATACATATCATTTCTAACTCTTTGATAACCATAAGGTAAGTTTTCAGATCCGCATTTCACATATTGAGAAACTAAGGCAAAGAGGTCTTAAGCAACTTGCCTAGGGTTATAAACCTTGAAAGTGAAAATCTATGTGGTTCCCAAATTAGTCTTCTTCCATAATACCATAGTGCCTCTTTATGTTGGAAGATGAAAGTTTTTGGTTCTCCTTGGCTTGCCTGAGATGACCATTTTATTTAATGTCCTCAAGGCCTAGAGTATCTGTGGTAGAAACTGAAGTCTTCAGGTTGTATCTTCTCTAAGCACCTGTATTTGTATATGAATCAAACTGAATGGGAAGAGAACAAGCAAAGTGAAAAGGTTGCTGGTGAAAGGCACATGATCTATCAGTTTCTGATGAGTAATTTTCTTACTGATCTTTCAACCTGTCAAAGACACTTGCCTAGCTCCTAAGTTTGAGCCAATGTAAAACAAACTAGTGAAATGATAGGAGAGGATATATAGAATGAGTACTCTTATTCCTGATCAATATAGACAAAGGCAATTTAGAGTTAGTACTTTGGGGCTTTCATGACAAAATTACTATCATTTCTCACCTAGACCATTGCAAAGGCTGTAACTATGCCCTACATTCGCTTGGGTCTTTCTCCAAATGGTGGCCCAAGTAGTTTTTCAGAATCAAATCTTTTGTCACTCACCAATTTAAAAGGTTCATTGGCTTTTTATTGTATTTAGAATTAAGACTAATGAGACTTAAATACTTGAACTCTCTCTTAGGCCTGGCCTGCCTTAGCGCTCTATCCTCATCCTGCACCACCTCCCACTACTCTCGGCCCTGGCTGACTTCCATCTCTCTTTAGGCCCTTCACTCACTAGGCTCCCTCCTAGTGAGGATTTTCCTACACTCATCCCTGACTGGAATGCTCTCTCCTGAGGCAGGTTAACTTACTCAGCCTTCAGGGGTCAAGTATCAGTGCCCTAGCAGCCCCACCCACACCCTCAGTTGAAGTTTCTTTATTCTGTGTTCTCTTAGAACCCTGTTTCCTTTTGTTTTTTCTAAGATTCATTTCACTTTGTGATTATATACTGATTTACATGACTGTTGGTTTGATGTCTGCCTCCTCTTCTTATTTTTTAAATAGCTTTATTGAGATTTAATTCATCTATAATACAATTCATTCATTTACAGTGTACACTCTAATGGTTTTTATTTGTTCACAGAATTGTGCACTCATCACCACAATCAATTTTAGAACATTTTCACTACCCCCAAAAGAAATCCTATAACCATTGGTAGTCATTTCCCATTTCTCTCCTCCTCCTTTACCTATTCTCTCCTCACAGCATTCCCCCAGTCTCCCCAGCCCCAGGCAAGCACTTATCTACTTTCTGTCTCTCTATATTTGCCTATTCTGAACATTAAAAAACAATTCTTCCTAATTGTAATTATATATCCTTTGACCAACGTCTTTCCATCCCTTTCTACCCTCTGACTTCCAATGCTCTAGTAACTACCATTTTACTCTCTACTGCCTCCCCTCCTGAGTCAGTAAGGGGTAACAGGGGCATAGACGGTGGAGCCAAACAGCCTGTGTTCAAAGTGTAGCTCTAATACTTAACAGCTGTGTGACCCTTGACAAGTTACTTTCCATTCCTCACTTTCCTTAACTGTAAAATGGGAAATATAATAGTATCTACCTCTTGTAGGATTGTGAGGATTTAATAGATTAATATAGATGTAAAGTACATAGAACAGTGACTGACACACTTTACATACTATTTAAAATGACTAGCTGTGTAAGAATAAGGAATATGTCTAATAAGCTAATCATTGTAATCTCACCATAACCCTCACCAGAGAGCACAGTACCTGCACGTAGTAGATGCATAGCAAACATTTGTTAGATGAATGGATAAAGATAGAAATGTTTATTCTAACACAAATGTCTTTTTTTTTTCAGTAATTGTTACAACCTTTCCATAGGACACAATAAATAAGGCATGGCTGGCATTTATAGCTTGAAAATGCTAGATCTTAATATCCATCCAGGCTATTTGAAAACCTAACTAAATCTTTAAGTTTTGGCTTGATACTGAATGAAATTGGTGCTTGAATCAGGATAGGCTTCCAGCCCACATATATACAGTAATCTCTGAGCCCTGTTATAGCTCAAAAATAGGTCCCAGCTTACTTTTATTTTAGCAGACTTGTCAATTATATTTGACATTCTGGGTGAATCTTTTTCCTTTCCTTCCATTGGAGAGTTTCCAAATTTGTGCTATCTAATTGGTTGGCCTTCAAAAATTTACTGAATTTCTTGGAGGGACTATTGGTATATAGGTATTTTCAATGTTTTCACTCTGTCTTTGGCTTCATCCTTTTTCTCTGTAACATGTATGGTCTCAGCTTGCAGACCCATTAAACTCCTATGTGAAGGGGATAGGCAAACCAAGGACATTTATCACCCCACAACCAGCAGGTAGAGGAGACTGGGCTGTTGGTTTATTCATTGACTTATTCATTCTTCTTTATTCATGAATTTTATCTGTATGCAAGTAGGAATTCTGAGCCAAAGATCATGAAGACCATGAGATAGAAAGTAGGCCAAAGACTGGTGATTGAACCTTGGTACAGGATTCAGGTTGCAGGTGGTGAGGTGGGAGGGCCAGGTTGGGGAGAAAAGGAGAATGAGAGTGAGAAGAAAGGGGCCAGAGGATGAGTAAAGAAAAAAAATACAAATAAAGTTTTTTTAGAAACATCTTTTAAAAATGTATCCCAGGACAGACAAGCTTTTCTTTTACTGGCAATAATGCATTTGAAATGCATTATTCAGAGAACACAATATTACCAGAGTCAACATGTATGGTGACAACTTTGCCTTGTTGCAGAAAGAAAAAAAATAGCGATGTGGAAGTGCTTCAAGTAAATGAAAATGAATCCAGTTCATAATCAAGTAAAAATGTTACGGGTCCAGAGCCAGAGAATATTCTTATAGTGGGCTTTTTTCAGCACCCTAAATTTAACCAGATGGAATGCTTTTTAAAGAACCACCCTATTCAAACTTTGGAAGTGAAGAATTTGTCTTTTAATGGTAAAGTTGCATTCCATCAAAAGACAGAACACATCATCCTCAGCTTACTTATTACCCAGAAATAAATTATAATTTAATTGATTTTATTTCATGGTCTATGATGAATACCTAGATTTCAGAAAATTTATTTCAGACATGACCAAGTAGAGGTATACAAACAACATGAGTTGAGACACTTGAAAAATGTGAACTCCATTCCTGGTATACTGAAAGCCATGTAACCACAAATTCTTGTTGGTTTTAATATGAATATCCTATTTCACAAACCCCAAATAGTGAGGTTAGAGAGAGAATACTCACTACCCTGAATATGGAAAAATTAATGCAGCTGAATTATTAGTAAGGGCAGATCTAGTTGCTGAAATGCAAATAGGTCAACAGCAAGTTAATACAATCCAACAGAGATTCAAAATTCTTGGTTTGAAAGGAGTCCCATATGCTACTGAAATAGCATCATAATTTTCTGATAGCTAAGACAAGTGGAAGCGGTAGTGGTAGAATTAGTGCCCATGTTGCTCTAATTTCTATACAATGGGTTACGCTTTTGTCAGTCACCAGGTTGATTTAGACATCTGTTGGTAATAGTGGTAAAGACACAATTTTAACAGTCAACAAATACTTATTGAATGCCAACTATGTGTCAAGCACTGTGGTAGGTGCTGGGAATGTGAGGGGTGGTAGATAAAAAGGGAACTAAGGCACTTGCTTATTCTTGTGGAATTAACAAACCTACTGAGGGTTATCCAGATATGGAAACAGTCATATTGTGCTTCAGGCATTACTTGAGATATACACAGAATGCAGTGTGGCCTAGAGAGGGCAGCTACTCCTGCCCTACTGTGAGTGAGAGAAGGTTTGCCCAAAAAGAATGTATTTGAATTGGACCTTTGCAAGTGATTAGGATTTTGTTGGGCTAAGAAGGAGGAGGCAGAAAGAGCATGCAGGCACAAGAGGAGTGTTTCCAAAGTCCAGGAGGTTTGATAACTCACCTGGGACTGGAAGGTAAGTTGATTTGGCTGGATCCGCGTGAAGTATAACATTATTGCATGTAAGCCTTGTCTTAGTTTGGGCTGCTATAACAAAGTTCCATATAGGCTTGGTGGCTTATAAACCATAGGAATTTATTTCCCACAGTTTTGGAGACTAGAAGTGCAAGATCAGGGTGCCGACATAGTCAAGTTCTGGTGAGGACCATCTTCCAGGTCACAGACTGCTGACTTCTGGTTACATCCTCACATAGCAGAACGAGGACCCGTTTTCTAGGGTCTCCTTTATGCAGATGCTAATCATATTCATGGGGGCTCCACCCTCATGACCTAATTTCCTTCCAAAGGCCACCTCCTAATACCATTACACTGGTGGCTAGGTTTCAACATATGGATTTTGGGAAACATAAACGTTCAGTCTATCACAAGACAATCCTATAAGGTGGTTAGGCATTACTATCTCTAGTATATGGATGAGAAAGTTGAGGCTAAGGGAGGTTAAGCAACTTAATGAACATCATGCAGCTTGGGGTCATCTCCACAACTTCAGTTTCACAATCATGAGTAATAGTTTTATAGAGCACAGCTGAATTTTGCTCAATGATGTTAAAATGCTAATATGGGAGAACATATGATATCTAAATAAGAATAATGCTAACAAGATAAACTTCCAAATACTCGAGAGCCAATTATTCATTACATATAAACCTGCCTTCTGCCACCCAGCACACTTTGGTTTACCCACTTTTGTCAGGAAATGACCTTTTTTTGGAATATATTGAGATGAGAGGCTTCTTTCTGAGGTTTCCTTGGGAAGTAAGTGGTGTACTTAAACTTAAGTCCGTCTGAATGGCTCACTATAATATATTGATGCACCCTAAAGGATAACATTATTGCATCTTTATTTTATTTTATAGACAGGATCTCACTGTGTTACCCAGGCTAGAAAGCAGCTGTGCAATCACAGCTCACTGTAACCTTGAACCCCTGGGCTCAAGCTATCCTTTTGCCTCAGCCTCCCGAGTAGTAAGGACTACAGACACGCATGACTATACGTGGCTATTTTTTAAATTTTATATTTTGTAGAGATGGGGTCTTGCTATTTGACCAGGCTGGTCTTGAACTCCTGGCCTCAAGTGATCCTCCAATTTCAGCCTCCTGAGTAGCTGGGACTATAAGTGAACCCCACTATGCCCAGCTCCTAAAAAGAATTTTAGTCTGTATCATGGAAGACGGCCTGAGAGATGGATAGGGGCTCCTGGCTTAGGAGCATGAAAGAAGATTCCTCACAGTTCAGAGGAGAGGATGAAACATGATTTAGTGTGTGAAAGAAGTAAAACACAAAGTCTTTTGATTTGTCATCTAGGAAAGGGAATAATAAAGCAAAGCCCGGGAAAGGAAATATAGTCAAAGGAATAGGAATTATAATAAACTCTTAAAACAAAAGTGGCTTAATGAGGTCAGGGAAGGAGACAGGACAAAAGGGAAAATATGTTAGGAGAATAGACTCCATTAAGTGATCATTAAAGGAAGAAAGAAATCCCTCTGGGAAAAATGGATGACCTATTCAAGAAAAAGAAAGGCAGGCTCAATCCCTGGAATAAGATGCACTACGCTCCAAATGGTGTTTTTGACCCTTGGAATTCAACGTGATAGTCAAATTGTGCTTTGCTACTGACAAGATTCTCCAAATTTAGATAATTTATACAATGTATAATTATAAAACACTGTCCTAAGAATTGTAATTCTATCACATTTCCATTTGAGACATTGTATAATCACTAAAATAAGAGCAATAAAACAAAGGAGAAAAAATTCAAAATTGTTTTAGAAGACAAAAATTCTTTTGTTCTGTGTTTCTGGAACATTTTGGTAAATGTGTCAATAGCAAGGCATATACATTAATTATATCACCTACAAACAATAAAATGGAAGAACATATAAAACTAACTTAAGGTACATTTAAAATAACCTACCATGATAAAGCATTACCTTAAAAATTATACTGCCTTTTTTTGAGCCATTGTATTATAACTTAAATGTGATTTGCAATAAAACTAAAGGAAGAAAATATCAAAATTACATTAGAGAGACAGAAAAGCATCATCCTGTGGCTCTGGATTTCTAGAAGGAGACTCACTGGGAGGGGGGACCAATTCAAAAGGTGACCAACTTCTGTTTATGGATTGTGTGGCAGAAGGCTAAATCCAACAGTTGCTGTTGAGACACTTTTTGTTGGTGGTGGAGGAGGTGCTGGGCTAGGGAAGTCCCTCAGTGAAGGTGATTTCTGGGAGATTCCTCTTCTCAGGAGTTTTCCCCTGAGATTCATCTGATGGGTTGGGGAGAGGGAGGACTCTGGGCCAGTAGTGTCATGTTCAGTTGTTTGTGTGTGTGTATGGGGGGGGTGTTGAATCTAAAGACAGTCCCAAGTATCTGCCCTAGGACAGCACATGAGCACTAGGACAAACTCTGTCTTATGGAGAAATTGCTGCATCAGGACAGAGCTGGCCAGATGGATGGTCCTGATCCTGTGGTCCTGACCCAGGGGCGATGCTATCTGGTCAAAATCTGACACTGGACCCTGGATCCTCTCACAGCCTGATGTTCCTCCTTCCTTAGGGACTTTGTTGTCTAGGAGATTCCCTGGTAGTCCTCCGTACCCAAATGCCCTATTTGGAACATTGAATACATAACAATATTTTTAAGGCATTTAAATTATTCCTTAATAGTTTTTTTGTCCAATATGTGTATTTTCTTTTCTAAGTTAACATGATTTTTTTCAACCTACAAAGCTGAATTTCATAATAGTGAGTGATGACCTTTTCTGAAAGAATTTTGGCATATATTTTATAGGTGTCCAGCTCTTTACATACATGGCTGATCTTTTCATCTTCCTTGAAAAGATGCTCTTCTATTTTTCCAGGATAAATTCTCTGTAAGTTGGATATTTAGTTAAATTTCATTTCCTCAGTGCAGTTCAGAAGGGAATTGACATTTTTGCTTTCCCTTTCTGACTGCAGCTAAGCTTTCTGAGTTTGGAGACTTAATATGTTCCTTAAGTGCATCAGTTATTTATTTTATTCAGTTAATTTAGTATACATTTGATTTCTGTTATCTCTGAGTTCTTACAAATTTAACTCAGCTTTATCAATCAGTTTCTTCAAAACTCCTTTGGATTCATCATCTAAGAGGTCTCCACTTTCTAATGGATTCATTATATCCAATTCTAAGTTCTCACTATCCAAGAACAGCAACCCAAATCTTGCATCCAAAGAGTTCACCCTGAGTCTTCATCTGATTTTCTTTACCATTTTGATTTTTTTCAATCTCACTTATACTTTCCTATTTTTTTGATAAGTTTGCTCACTCATCTTTTCCATTCTTCAGCTTCTTATGAAAGTAGCTTTGTACTTCCCAAAATATTAGAATGTTCACTTAAAGCATCCTTTAGTATTGTTTCTCTCAAGTTGTGCTTCATTACTTGTGATATATTTTTAAGGCAGTTTTTTTTTGCAGCTACTTGAAATGGAATGAATTTTTATGTATCTTTTAAATTCTGAACATTTTTTATAATGTTAGCCATTAGATTAACCTGTTATAAGTATTTAGATTTAACTTTTTCGCAAAACCTATATTGTAAGCCTAAGTCCTACTTCATATTATAGCTTAATTACTATTCACAAAATTAAAAGAGAAAAAAATCAAAATTACTTTAGTGGAGAGAAAAAAAATATTTTCTGTGGCTCTGGATTTTCAGAGGTAGACTCATTGCAAAACAAGATGTACAAATTAAGTGAGGTGTCCAATATCATTAGTCAGAGGAACGCAAATTAAAACCACAATGACATACCATTTCATATCTAGTAGAATAACTAAAATTTTTTTAAAAATTGAATTCTCCAAATGTTACTTAGAATGTTGAAAAACTGGCACTCCCATATATTGCTGATAGGACTTAAAATTGTACAGCCACTTCAGAAAAAAAAACAAAAAAAAACAGCAGTTTTTAAATAAGGGTAAACAATAGACTAGCCATTCTAGGAATTTACCCAAGAGAAATGAATACATATGTCCACATAAGGACTTGAACAAGACTGTTCACAGCAGCTGTATTCATTATAGCTCTAAAATAGAAAAACCCCAAATGTCCATCAAATGAAGAATGGGTAGGCAACTTTCTATATATTCCATACAATGTATAAAATATTTCATACAGGCATTTCATGCAATGAAATACTACTTAGCAATAAAAAAGGAATGAGCTTCTGATTTACACAACATGGATGAATTTCAAAAGCATTACGTTGGCTGAAAGAAGCCAAACACAAGAGTATATATTATACCATTCAATAAGCTCAAGAACAGGCAAAACAAATCTGTGATAGTAGAAATCAGAATAGCGAGTACCTGCACAGGAGGGTTGGGTGACAGAGTATGAGCTGGTAGCTCTTTCTGGGGTGAAGGAAACCATCTATAACTTGATTGTGGTCACATGGGATTTTACATTGCTTTCATATCTCATTGAATTGTACATTTGTACATTTTACCTTACTAAAAAAAGTGGACAGGGATTACTTTTGCTGAGAGGGTGCAGTCAAAGCATTCTAAAGCCATGTGACTGCATCTGGATGAGAACTTGCTTCTTAAGGATGCTTTGATGTCTGGGGAAGAGCAATTGAGGAAGTATTAACAGAGCTTGAGCACTCTTGCTTTCAAGAAACAGGGTTGTTCACAGCTTTCAGCTGCTCTTCTGGTACCTTGACAGCATCTCCTGCTGCTACTGACAACCAAGATTTAAAGGGGGGAATTTATGTGGGAAAGACAGTCTCACATAAATTCCTCAAAATTCCCCCAAAATTAAGGTCCTGTGGGAGTGGGTGGTAGAGGAAACAGTGGAATGGAAGAAAATGAGAACAAATATGGTATTTCGCTTAAGGGAAGGAAAAAGCTTGTTAGAATATTTATGTAAACAGAGATTTTGCTTAGAATTGAAAGAAATTGAAATGTGGATACATGGAGCATGAGGCAACAAAGAAACTAGGGGCAGGCAGATTAATACTTGCCAGCAAGTGAGATGTGCTTCCTGTAAGCATTCAGGATGATTCTCTGATATTTAATGAGTCAACGAGGTGTAAAAACAAAGTCTATGATATTAATCTGCTATATATACTAATTTACCAGTGATTTTTTAAAAAAATCAGGCTCCAAGTGAGTTAAATATTTCTACTTCTAAAATATAAATCATTCCACATATTATATGCTTTCATTTAATAGATATATCTAGAATAGGGAAAACTATAGAGATAGAAAACAGATTAATGATTGTCTTGGGCTGAGAGAGTACAGCTAAGGAGTACAGTGTTTCTTTTTTTGAGGGGTGATAAAAATGTTCTAAAATTGATTGTGGTGCTGCTTGTAAAACTCTGTGAATATACTAAATGCCACTGAATTGTGCATTTTAAGCAGGTGATTGTACGGAATGTGAATATCTCAATAAAACTGTTAAAAATATCAACTATCCAAACCACACTGAATAGGCAAATAAAAAAGTACAAGTGATTGTTTTGTTTGTGAGCAGATTTCATATGTATCTATGATTTCATTGAATGTTTATATTTATAGGAATGAAAATGAAGAATGTTATCAATATGTTAGAATTTTCTATGCATGAAGAAACAAACTAAACGAAGATATAACATATTAAAGCTTAACAAAATAATTCCAAAAGAAAGATCACCTTAAAAAATGTCACTGTGTTGCAGACAAGTGGGTGATATTAAGATCTCAATTGGCTTTTTCTTAAAAAGATTATTTGTGGTAATGTAGGAAACTGAACTACATACACGTAGCCTCTGTTTTGTATCCCTGTTATAAGAAATGAGGATGTAAACATACATAGTATAGCTCACAAAGGGACACTGACTTATTATACTTTACCCTGTGTAGTTACAGTACCTGAGAGGTAGAAGGTGGTCAATAAATGGTTGCTGAATACCACCTTTGAAAATCGTAAATCACCATGAAAATGTAACATATTAATTACTCTTGGAAGGCAGCGACTAAGTTTTGTAACTCTTTGTTCTGTTCACAGTGCCTTTTACATGTCAAGATGGAGAGCCAAGGAGTGTAGTGGAATTAATTCCCACTGGTTTGGGAATGAGACATGACTGAGTTTGAATCCCAACTGTCAGCTCAGGCTAATTACTTACTGCTTTAAGCCTCAGTTTTCTTCATAAAATGGGGAGGCCATAACTCATAGAGGAGTTGTGAGATCCAAAGCAAAGAATGTAAAGAGCCTAGAAAAATCCTGGCATATTTAAAGTGCACACTACATTTTAGTCATTTTTCTCTGTATTTAACGAATAAAAAATCACTGTCTTACTCAAATGTAGATATGAATTATTCTCAAATCAAGTATTTAATTTAAGTATAGATTATTTTGGAAGCATTATGATAAAATTATTGTTAAAAACATTTTCGGGGAAGCAAGTTTGATATGTAAGAAGGTAATGATAAAAATATTCTAGAAAAATATAAATATTTTATAAAAGTGTATAGAAGGTTTTTCTGAGCATAGCATGAAGACAGATGCAAAGGGAAATATTGATAAATTAAAATACCTAAGAATTTAAGTTTGTACATAGGAAAATTACAGTGAACAATGTTGAAAGACTACGAACAGAAAGATATTTGATCTACAAAGCTGATAGTTTTAATATATATAAAGCCCCTGCAAATCAATGAAAAGTCAAACAAATAAAAATAGGTAAAGAGTAGAGGCATCCAAGAGAAGAGTTACAAAAGATTAATAACCATGTAAAAAATTCATATTTACTAATACTTTTAAAGTGCCAATCTAAAATCGACGTTCATTTTTACCTATATATATATATTCCAAAGATTAAAAAGAGTGCTATCTGGAAGATATACCAAGGTAGACCATATCCTGGGCCACAAAACAAATGCTAACACATCTAAGAGCATTGAAATTTCAGTGTGTTTTCTGTGACCAATGTGGAACCAAATTAGAAATCAATAATAGAAAGATAACATAAAAATCCCCAAGTGCTTGAGAACTAAGTAACACACTGCTAAATAACACATAGGTCAAAGAGGAAGTCTCAAGGGAAATAAAAATACGCTGAACTAAATAAAACTAAAAATACAATGTATCAAAATTTGTGGGACTCAGCTAAAGCAGTACTGAGAGCAAAATTTATAGCAACAAATGCACGCATTAGAAAAGGGGAAGAGTCAGCTGGGCTCGGTGCTTATGCCTGTAATCCCAGCACTTTGGGAGGCCAAGGTGGGCGGATCACTTGAGGCCAGGAGTTCGAGACCAGCCTGACCAACATGGTGAAACCCCATCTCTCCTAAAAATATGAAAATTAGCCAGGTGTGGTGGTGGGTGCCTGTAATCCCAGCTACTCAGGAGGCTGAGGCAGGATAATCGCTTGAACCCGGGAGGTGGAGGTTGCCCGAGCTGGGATCATGCCACTGCACTCCGGTCTGGGTGACAGAGCAAGACTCCGTCTCAATAAAATAAAATAAAATTAAATAAATGAAAATAAAATAAAAATAAAAAAAGGGGAAAAGTCTCAAATTGATAATATAAGCTCCCATCTCATGAACTTAGAAAAAGCAAAATAAACCCAAAGTAGAAAGAAATAAATAATAAGCATAAGCAGAGATCAATTAAATTGAAAACAGCAAATCAATAGAGAATATCAATAAAACAAAGAACTGGTTTTTCAAAATGACCAACAAAATTGACCAACTTCTAGAAATGCTGACAAAGAAAAAGAAGAAACCGATTACTAATATCAGGAATGAAATAGATAATACCCGTATATACCCTGAAGACATCAAAAGGATAATAGGGGATACTACGAACAATTCTACATATATAAAGTTGACAACTTAGATGAAATGGACCAATCCTTGAAGAATAAATTATTACGACTCACCAAATATGTAATAGATAATTTGAATAGCCCCATAACTACTTGGGAAATTAAATTTTTAATTTAAAAATTTCCCCAAATAGAAATTTCCAGCCCCCAATAATTTTACTGGAGAATGAATTAACGCCAATTTTATACAATCTTTCAGAAAATAGAAGAGAAAGGAAAGCTCTCCATCTCATTTTATAAGGCCAGAATTATTCTGATACCAAAACCAGATAAGACAATGTCAATCTCAAAAAAAGAAAAGTACAGATCAAGATTTCCTGCATTTAGACACAAAAATCCTCAACAAAATATTAGCAAACTGAATCA
Source organism: Homo sapiens (assembly GCF_000001405.40). NCBI lineage: Eukaryota > Metazoa > Chordata > Mammalia > Primates > Hominidae > Homo > Homo sapiens. Next base: position 199,103,917 of record NC_000002.12, on the reverse strand, counting down.
ACAAGGTATAAGAAGATTAAACAACATCATGAAGTGGGTTTATTCCAGTTATGCAAAGCTGGTTCAGTATTTGAATATCAGTTGATGTAACACACCATATTAACAGGCTAAAGAAGATAAATTATATGACCATATCAATTGATACAAAAAAAGCATTTGACAAGTTCCTACACTCTGTCAAGTGTTCCTTACATTGATAAAATCTCAGTAAGTCAGTGATAAAGAGGAATTACTTCAACTTGATAAAGAGGACTGCAACACTACAAAAAAACCCTACAGCTAAAACTCTACTTAATGGCAAAAGACTAAATGCTTTCCTTCTAAGAGTGGGAACCAGGCAATGATGTGGGTTCTTACTACTCTTACTGAACATGGTTCTGGAAGTCCCTTATTATAATAGCCAAAAACTGAAAACAATCAAAATGCTCCTTAATAGGGCAATGTTTAAGCAGTAGTATATCTATACTACGGAATGCTATTCAGTAATAAAAAGGAAAACACTATTTATTAATGTAATAACTTGGATAGATTGCAAGGTTATTATGCAGAGTGAAAAAAAAGCCAATCTCTAAAGGTCACATACTCTATGACTTCATTTATGTAACACTCTTGAAATTATAGAGCTGTAAAACAGATTAGTGGTTTCCAAGAGTTAAAGAGGAGTTTGAACCTAGAAGGGAGATGGGTGTGGCTATAAAAGGCAACAGGAAGAATCCTTGCAGGGGCAGAAATGCTGTATCTTGACATGTATCAATGTCACTATCCTGGTCCTGATATTGTACCATAGTTTTATAATAAGTTAGCATTGGGGGAAACTGGGGAAAGGGTAAGGGGATCTCTCTGTATTTTTTTTAATAAGGACATGTGAATCTACTACTATCTCAAAATAAAAAGTTTGAAAAACTATAAAAAATAATGTTATGGAAAAATGGACACACTCATATATTTTTCTCTTTTGATAATAAGTGTTTCTACATTTTAGAGAAAAGCATGAAAATAACTCTTGATTTAAAAATTGCACATATGTATATATATATATATATATTTTTTTTTTTTTTTTTTTTTTTTTGAGACAATGTCTTGCTCTATCACTCAGACTGGAGTGCAGAGTCGCAATCTTGGCTCACTGCAACTTCTGCCTTCCAGGTTCAAGACATCCTCCTGCCTCAGCCTCCTGAGTAACTGGGACTAGAGGTGCATGACACCAAGCCTGGCTAATTTTTGTGTTTGTTTGTTTATTTGTTTGTAGAGATGAGGTTTCACCATGTTGCCCAGGCTGGTCTCAAACTCCTGAGCTCAAGCAATCTGCCCACCTCGGCCTCCCAATGTGCTGGGATTACAGGCATGAGCCACTGCGCCCACCCCCAAAATTGCATCTTTTAACCAGCAATTCTACTTTTAAGACTTTGTCTTTAGGACATCCCTTTGTACAAATAAAATGCTTATTTTAGCATTTAATGCATAGACTGAATGGTATAAATTATAGATACTTATAGTCTATCAGTAGGGTACAGGTAAAACTAGAGTACGTTTGTATAAATGAGTATTATACAGCCATTATAGTGGATCGGATAAGGAAAGATGACCAGAAAAATAATTATGAGGTATTAGAAGTTGAAAAAGGCAGATTCAGAGCAACACTGTTTTCCATTTTTGTAAAATAATAGTAGCATGTATGCTTATACAAGCGTAGGAAAAAATCAGAACAAACAGAGATCAAGTTGTAAACCATTTACCATCACTCCCACCCTGGGGCTGGAGTAGGATGGCAGTACAAGAAGTTGTCACTATTTACTTTATATATTCCTACATTGTTTTCATTTTTCATTAGGTATATTTGGTACTCTTATTATAAAACATAATTATGACATAAGTAATTTATAATTTCAGCAGAGCGTTTTACAGTTGAAGAGACACCTTTTTATGTATATGATTTCATTTAATAAGCAAACAGCCTCATGAGGAGGATAAGTAGACCCATGTGTGAAACGAGGAAATAGATGGTCCTAAAGATGAACTAACTTGCCCTAGGATTCTCAGCTGGTGAGTGACAGAGCACAGGTCTAGTGTCTTTGGCCTATACTTTTTGCAGGCTGACCCATTATTACACTGCTTGTGAATTTCTTTTTCTTGCTCACACCTTCCTGCCTAGCTGGAATGACTCTCTTCTTTCTTTCTCTTTGCCTTGCAGCCTATCAATCAAGACCACATCCTTTCAAAAGCTTATAGAGCAGAAGTAGACTCCTACCACGCGTTCAGCTGGTGTCCTTTGACTGCTGCTTTGCTCAGTTCCACCTTGGATGGCTTGCACTGCATTTAACGGTATGTTGCACACTACTAAATGTTTGTCAGCTGTGGGCCTTTTATATACCCAAGGAGATCTTATGTGATGTTGAAGGCAGAGGCCAGTTCACCATTTCTTTTGTTGTCTCCTTAGACACGGGGAATACAGTGCTCTGTTCAAAACATGCTTACAGCAATTCACTATTAGCTTAACATCATCTTCAAAATAAGCATCTAAATACAACTCATGAAGGACACGGAATTCTTTTTAATTGGCTAATAGTGAAAGTAAGAGAAGCACAGAAGGCCCCCAAGTTGATAAGGGTAGAATTCCTGTACCCTCAAACTGACAGCTACTTCCCTCTGGAAGTATAGTGACATGAGTTAAACTACATAGCAGCTTATTACTAAGATTTTTTTCATTTAAAAATAAAACACTATTTTGCCAGCAGCTGCTTTTATGCTATATTTTCTACTCACATTGAGTTTATTGGGCTTCTGTTAAAGAGGAAATCTGACTGTGTTGACAAGTTGTTTGACCCTGAAACTGTGAAAGTTCAACTCTCTTGCTGCCAATTTGACCTCTCATTAAAACTTTTGGCTCCTGCCTGCTTCTGGTTATGTTAACCATGGGGTGGGTTTTTCTATGCAGTTAAAGGATAAAGACCAAAAGTTTTGAAATCTGATCATCATTCATAGTCCTGTTTATGATCTCTTACCACAAATGATCTGTTAGACTGCCTCCTATTAATCATCTCTTGAAGAGGAGGAGGGAGTCACTTTGCTGTGTCTTTTGTGCATAGGAAGGTTCCCCTTCATTTAATCTTACTGGAAGAGACTGCAGTAATCATTTCTCTTGCTGATGGGTGGCCATTGTATTATTGTTTGCTCCCTCATTCAAGTTGGTGGGTGGCATTTATAGTGTGTGCATTCCATCCTTCTGGTGATTGAGGGGTAAGAATTGGGTAGGAGAGGTACGGTAGGGAGGCAAAAGCTACCTCTGAGATGAGATTCCGAAATAAACTGAAAGGGTTCTTATCCTAGCAACCCTCAAAAAATACATAGAAACACATCTGTCCCTTATTTTTTCAGCTTGCTTTATGGTGAGTCATTCAAGTTTTTAAAACCATACAATTACACATGCTAGCAGCAGGGAAAAAGAGTCGATAATAAACCTGGCAGGGGTAATTTAACCAAACCATGCATATCAGTGGTTTATACCAAGAAGGGAGATTTAGAAATTCTTTTCAAGATACATGCTTGCATGTGCGCACACACACACATACACACAGGTCCATAGGCATATCTATTATAAAATTATATATATGCATACAACTACACATGTCATTTCTAGAATGTTCAGAGGAAAATGAAAATGGGGGTATTGTATCAAAGAAATGCAATGTAAAACAAATGTAGTTACAGGTTTAGAAAAACAGAATTCATTTGTGTGTGCTAGGTTATCATACTCCTGCAGTTAGGTAAAGAAATATTCTTTTCTGAGAAAATTATAAGGAAAGAAATGTAACAGTTTAAGAAACAATAATTGAATATATCCAGATCATTGCTTTCTTTAAGGAAATGAGTAAGGGCACAAAAGCTTACTTATCCCATTGCATTGGCTAAATCCCACTATATATATATTTTAAAATCTATTAATAAATATCCTTTGTTCTGAAGCGATAATTGGAAAAAAATGTGAAGATTAATATATCCTGGAACATTATCTATATGCTGTAAACAAATGAAACAGAACTAGTTATAGATACAGCATCCTTCAGAAGAAGGAACTTAACACAGCACTGGGTTCTAGGCTGTCTCTTTAATATATTTATTATAGTTAACTTTGCAGATGTTAGTTCAGAGAGCCTTAGAGGTTCAGGGGAGACCCTTATTACCTAAAGATTACCATAAGATAAAATTCTTAGACTTTATCACTTATTCTTACAAAATAGTTCTTTGAGTCGTTTTTGTTTAAATTGTGATTTATCATAGGATGGGAAAGTTAACTGTTGATTTTTTCCAAGCTTATAATTATTTTAGCATTTTACAAACGTTTCCTACATTTACAAATTATTTTTTTGAAAACAGTTGATAAAAACGAAAATGTGGGGAAGACATTTTTATTCCATAGAATTTATTCCCTATCTACAGCTCATCAGATCTTCAGCTTCTCTAACTCACTTCTTTCTCATTGTTCAGTGTAATAAAAGCAAGTGTTAAATGCATTTCTCCTCTAGGATTCTTTTAGGCATGGATCACAGACTCAAAGGAGATACATACATTATTCACGCACAGACATATGCACACATCATACTTCTTTTTAGTAATTTTAAAAGGTAATTTGATTCAGGTTGTGAAGTTGTTCGCCAATTTGTTTAGTAATGTAAGTCCATCCATTATTGGTATGATATGTTGTTATGATGTAAATATCTTTCATATATTCAACTGCATGTAATTGTGTGATGATGTTGGTCCTGGAAGTATTTCAAGGCACATTTTTGCACCTGAATCTGAAAGCAGCCCGAGTTTAGTGGCATACTTTGATTTTAGAGTGCTTTTACTCCTTTTCCCAATTAGGAGTACTCTGAGTGTGTATGTGTGTTTATGTTTTTGCGCGTTTTGAGAAAAGAGTTTATACATGAATCTGGATTGAGGATACATTAAAAATATATCTACCCCAGAGCATTTTACCTTAAATATATTTCATTTTGTACATATGCCATAATTTTAACAACTTCTTCATGTGGTGCATTCAAGTAGTATCTTTCCTTTGAAATTTAAAGTGAGTAAAATTTATTTTTGTTCATGTTTCAAATACTTCTGATTGATATTAGAGCTTAAATGTTTTCCACAAACATTTTGAGGTCATGATGATTTAGAAATGTATTGTCAAATGTTGTCTTTATTATTATGGTAAATTCCCTGACTTGACTTATTAAGGAGCGAAGTAGAGTTTTTAACTAAACTCCTCTGAGTGGTTTAATAGTCACTTTCTGCTTTCCTTTAGAGCTCAGAATAAAATGGATCTGATTTTTTGTCTTTGATCTTATATTATATAGTATTTTGGGGTATTTGGAACATTTACATTTACATTGCATCCTAACTCAATAGGATTTCTAAAGAAACTTGTATCAAATAGTATTTTGTGAATTCAAAGAAATAGTATGTGTGTAACAAACAACCATAGAATCTCAGTGGCATACAACGGTAAGTTTTTATTCTCATAATTACAGGTTCGCTGGGGTGGCTCTGTTTTAGGCTTGGGTCAAGGAGACAGATGGGATAGCTGTGCTCCGTATATCTAATTTGGGAACCTAGGAGCAGTTGATATCTGGGACAAGTTTTTCTCAAGGTAAAGGCTGACAGAAAGCTTAGTGGGTCCATGCCCATTAAGGGCTGGAACACTGTAACTTCCACCCATATTCCCTTTGCTAAAGCAGGTCATATAGCTGAACATAGTATCCAATGGGGTAGGGAAAAGTAATTTGTTTAATAGGGGGCAGGGAGTGAATGTTTGCTATCACAGAGATAGATTGGATCTATACAATCTATCCAGTATTTTTGGATTTCCTTGTTATAATTTAAGAATGTACTTTGTCCCGTTCATTGACTTCCCATTAGGACTAATCTTGGAACCCCTGGCTCCTCAAAGATGCCTGGCTTCACCTACATTTAAAAAGCCATTGGAATTCTTCTTACATGCAGTGTGCAGACGTTTCCTGACTTATGATAGCTTGATTGAGAATTTTTTGACTTTACAATGATGTGAAAGTTACATCCATTCAGTATAAACTATACTTGAAGTACTCATGCAACCATTGTTTTCCACTTATAGTGCAGTATTCAATCAATTACATGAGATATTAAAAACTTTGCTATAAAATAGGCTGTGTTGAATGATTTTGACCAACTTTAGGCTAATGAAAGTGTTCTGAGCACATTTAAAGTAGGCTAAGCTATGATGTTCAGTAGGTTAGGTGTATTAAATGCATTTTTTACTTACAATATTTTCAATTTTCATTGGGTTTATTGGGATGTAATCCCATTGTAAGTTGAGGACCATCTGTATTAATTTTCTATTGCTATTTAAAAATCACCTACCATTTAGCCATTTTAAATGATGTACACATTATCCCACAGTTTCCATTAGACAGGAGTCCAGGCAGAGCTTAACTGGGTCCTAGGCTCAGGGTCTCAGAGGCTGCAATCAAAGTGTTAGCAACACTGTGATCCTTTCAGGAGCTTGGGGCTGCCTTCCAACTCATGTGTCAGCAGAATTCGGGTCCTTGTGGTGGTAGAGCTAAGGCTCCTGCTGCCTTGCTGACTCGGAGCTTCTCTTAGCTCCCAGAAGGCCCTGCAATTTCTTGCTACACAGCCTACCCATTGTCTTCCCTCACAATATGGCAACTTACTTTTTCAAAACCAGCAGAGAAATCTCTTCCTCCAGGCTGCTAAAGTGGAGTCTTATATAATGTAATGTAATCACAGGAGTGACTACCCATCACCTTTGTCATATAACATAGCCTAACCAAGGGAGTGACTATTCAACCCCATTGCCATATTCTATCAGCTAGAAGCAATCAGTGGGCTCCTCTCCCACTCAAGGGGAGGGGCTTATGTAAGGCGTTCGGTCATTGGGGGTCATCTTAGAATTCTGCCTGTCACATACCATAATCTACCAATTAAAAGCCACAAACCCAGCACTTGTGCCTTTGGAAGAATCATACTTACAACTCCAGAAATTCTGGCTTCTCTGTTTAGTAGCCATCACTTGATGCATGGAAAGCAGTAGGTAATCTGTAGCTCTAGGACTAACCTAAACTTCCTGAGGACTAACATTCCTCAGAAATATTGGTGGGATCTTAATTTAAGCCCCCAAAATATTATCAGTGGTGGGATGGGCATAGAAGTGGGTAGTTTCTTTGAAAAAAAAAATACAAAGAAAAGAAAAAAACAACTAACAGTAACACCTAGGTTTTAAAATCATGCCCAGCTCATGTTTGACAATCCTTCTGATAGCCCAAATACTATAAATTTAGTTGACGATAACAGAACAGATGGAAAAAACATATGGCTTGTAGGTAGTGTGTGGTAGTTGATATTTGCGGTACATTAGGGGAATTTATTTTATTTTGTCTCTTTCCTTGTGTAACTTTGTGATACTTTATCAAGCGAATTTTATCTGCCTTTTTTGACTTATCTCTGTTGTAGCTATTAAACTCTCTCTGTGACTTGAATATAATATTAACATGGATTTTTAAAATAATATTTCACAGCAGGCGTTTAGATTCACTGGTAAAAATACTATTTCATTCAGGAAAACATATCTTTAGCCATTTGTCATTGTGTAGAGTCCTTGGATAGAGATTACACAGGTAAAAGAAGCAAGAATTTAAGGAGATTAATTCAGTGAAGGATTAGTAAAGAAGGTCAGCTTAACTGGGATTTAGTTTAGACATGTATCTAAAATTTCAACAAAAACCACTAGGTCTTGATTTAACATTGATCTCTAATAACTTCACATTTTCTAAAGAAAATTTAGTCAACAAATCAGAGGGTTTGTTGAAAATGCTACTTTCTGATCCTGTTACAAGAATAAGAAAAATTTAATGTGCTGGAAATGGCATAAACATATTTGTTTATGTGTGATCTTCAATTTGATTTATTTTAAGGCTAGACAGCAGCCCTAGAAACCCTGTGCCACTTTAAGATTTACTACACAAAACCCTAAATGAAATGCAACTTTGTGATGTTTGCCTATTTGCAATCTTGTAATTAAAAAAAAAATCCAGATATTTATTTAAGGTTTTTCAAACATACAGGGCAAGATTAAAAAAAGAACATTTCTCTTTAGAGGGACTAAGGGACAAAAGTAGACTTTGGCAATTCAGTATAAATTAAATAAATATGTGTGAAAATCCCTATTCCTGTTGGCTACTTAATACCATGTCTATAATAATGAAGCCACACTGAAAATCAAAATTGAATTATTGGTAAATATTTCTTAAATGATTCATTCAGTTTCCTGACATGACTCTTTTCCTTTGCCTTATCTATCATATCAAGATAGAGACCCATATTCCTAGTTATATTAGCAAAAGAAGAGCTTTCTTTGGATTTCATCCACATGACTTCTCTTTAAATAGCTGAATTTTATGGGTTCTTTTTGTCCCTCAGGCTTTGAACTCTCTCACACACAAAACCTGCTAGAATAGGCGAGAATAAAGATGTTGTCTTAGAATGGCTTATTATCCTGTAAAATATCTATATAGTATATATTTCTGTTTCTCCCTTAACAGTGAACACAGTGGAATAATGCATTAGGCAAATTTTAAATTTCCAATGAAAACATGTTTAGGTTTAATGAGTGATTAGTCATTTTGAATTATTATTAAAAGAATCAAACATGTTTTTATCTTTTTAAAACAGACTTTAATTTTTAGAGCAGTTTTAGATTCACAAAAAATTAATGAAAGGTATAGAAATTTCCCATATACTCCTGCCCCCACACATATTTAGCCTCCCCCATTATCAATTTTCTCTACCAGAGGGGGAATGTTGTACATTTTTTTACAATTGATGAACCTACATGACACATCATTATCAACCAAAGACCATAGTTTACATTAGGGTTCACTCTTGGTGTTTTATTGGTTTAGACAAATGTATAGTGACATGTATCTACCATTATCATATCATACGGAGTAGTTTCACTGCCCTAAAAATCCTCTGTGCTCCTCCCATTCATCCTTTCTTCTTTCCTAACCCCTAGCAACTACGGATCTTTTTACCATCTCCTTAAACTCTTCCAGAATATCATATAGTTGGAAACACAGTATGCAGCCTTTTCAGATTCATTTCTTTCACTTAGTAATATGCATTTATGTCTTTTCATGGATTGATAGCTCAATTCTTTTTAGTGTTGAATAATATTCCATTGTCTGCATACACCACAGTTTATCCATTTACCTACTGAAGGACATCTAGGTTGCTTCCAAGTTTTGACAATTATGAAGAAAGCTCCCATACACATCTGTGTACAGTTTTTTGTGTGAACATAGGTTTTCAACTCTTAGAATAAGTTTAAACTCTGAGTAAATTACCAAGGAGCCTGACTGCTGGATCATATGGTAAGAGTATGCTTAGTTTGGTAATAACCGAAGTGTTTTCCAAAGTAGCTGTTTGCATTTATATGAGCAATGATTAGACTTTCTGTAGCTCCACATCATTGTCAGCATTTGGTGTTGCCAGTGTTCTGGATTTTGGCCATTCTAATAGGTGTTTTCATTGCTATTTTTACTTGCATTTCCCTGATGATATATTATATGGAACATCTTTTCATATGCTTATTTGCCATCTGTATACCTTCTTTGGTGAGATATCTGTTAAGATCTTTGGCCCATTTTTTAATTGGTTGTTTGTTTTCTTATTGTTGAGTTTTAAGAATTCTTTGCATATTTTGGATAACAGTACTTTATCAGATATGTCTTTTGCAAATATTTTCTCCCAGTCTGTGGCTTGTCTTTTCATTCTCCTGACTGCATCTTTTGCAGGGCAGAGCTTTTTAATTTTAATGAACCATAGCTTATGAATTTTTCATTCATGGATTGTGCCTTTGGTGTTATATCTAAAAGATTATCGCCAAACTCAAGGTCATCTAGATTCTCTCCCATGTTATCTTCTAGGAATTTTATAGTTTTACATATTACTTAAGTATGTGATCTAATTTTTGTGGTGAGTGTAAGGTCTGTGTCTAGATTCATTCTTTTGCATTTACAATTTTTGGGATATCCAATTGTTCTAGCACTATTTGCTGAAAAGATTCACACTCTTTAAACTCTATAATTTTATAATAGCATATTTAATCCTTGCTATGGTTTTAACATTTGTTCTTTCCCAAACTCATTGGAATTGAAATATAATTGCCATTGTAACAGTATTAAGAGGTGGGACGTGTAAGAGATGATTAGGCCGTAAAGGCTCTGCTCTCATGAATGGATTATGCCATTTTTGTGGAGTGGGTTTGTTACCACAGTAGTGGTTCCTTATAAAGGGTAAGTTGGCCTCCTCTTTGTCTCTCTCTCTTTCCCCCTCTTGCTTTTCTGCTATGAGATTATGCAACAAGATGGCAACAAGATTATGCAACAAGATGTCAGCTCTTTGATCTTGAACTTTTCAGCCTCCAAAACTATAAGCCAATAAATTCCTGTTCATTGCAAATTACCATTTGTGATATTCTGTTATAGCAATACAAAATAAACTAAGACAGGAAATTGGTACTGCAGAAGTGGGGTGTTGCTGTAACAAATACTTGAAAATGTGAAAGTGGCTTTGGAACTGGGTAGTGGGCAGAGGCTGAAAGAGGTTGGAGAAGCAGGCTAGAAAAAGCCAGTATTTCTGTAAATAAAGAGTTAAGGACAATCCTAGTGAGGGCTCAGAAGAAGAAAAGAACTTCAGGGAAAGTATAAAACTTTTTAGAGATTACTTAAGAGGTTTTTATCAGAATATTGGTAGAAATTTAGATGGTAAAAGCAAGTCTGATGAGGTCTCTGATGGAAATGAGAAATATTAAAAATTGGAATGAAGATTGTTCTTGTTATGAAGTTGCAAAGATCTTGGCTGAATTGTGTCCATGTCTTACGGCTCTATGGAAGGCAGAATTTAAGAGCAGTGAACTAGAATATCTGGCAGAAAAAATGCCTAAGCAAAATATTGAAGGAGCTATGTGGATTATTTTAACTGCATACAGTAAAACCATAAAAGAGAGAAATTGATAAGGAGATTAGCATGGGTAGAAGAAAGCCAGGTGCTATTTATCAAGACAATGGGAGATTGATTCTGAAGGCATTTCAGAGGTCTTTGAGGCTGCACCTCCCATCGCAGGCCCAGAGCTATAGGAAGGGAGAAGGGCCCAGGGTGCTCTCCATGGGCTCACTGCCCAGGGCCACCTTGGGACTCTGCTCCCTGCATTCCAGTGCAATGTTCCCTGGCTGTGGCCCCAGCTGTGGCTCAAGTGGCCTTGAGTGCAGCTCAGGTTGCTGCTCCAGAGGGCACAAGCTGTAAACCTTGGCAGTGCCCACATAGTGTTAATTCTGCAGGCGCACAGCATTTGTGAGCTGTGGAGGAATGGCTACCTACATCTAGATTTCTAAGAAGTTATTGACCAGCTAGGTGGCCCATGCCAAAACCTGCTGCAGAGGCAGAGCTGCCAGAGAGAGTCACGTTAGGGCAATGCCTAGTGGAGCCACAGGGATAGATTGCCCTGGGACCCCAGAACTACAGAGCCATAAACATGCAGCCCCAGCCTGGGAGAGCTATAGGCACAAGACTCCAACTTGTGATAGCTGTTATGTGGGCTAAGTCCAGTAAAGTCATGAGGGTGGTGTTGTCCAAGGCCTTGGGGGCCCAACCCTCACCCCAATGTGTCCAAAGTGTGGGACATGATGTCAAGGAAGATTATTCGAGAGTCTTAAGATTTAATATTGTTTGCCCTGTTGGGTTTTGAACTTACTTGGAAGAAGTTGCCCCTTTCTTCTTGCCTATTTCTCCCTTTTGGAATGGGAATCTATCCCTGTTGCACCAGTGTATTTTGGAAGTAGATAATTTGTTTTGAATTCAGAGGCTCAAAGCTGGAGGGAATTTGCCTCAAGATGAATTGTGCCTTGAGTCTCACCCATATTTGAGAGATGAGACTTTGGACTCTTGATGCTGGAATAAGTTAACACTTTTGGAGCTATTGGGATGGAATGAATGTATTTTGTATGTGAGAAGAACATGAGTTTTGGGTGCCTGGGGCAGAATGTTACAATTTGAATGCTTGTTCCCTCCCAAACTCATGTTGAAATTTAAATACCATTGTAACAATATTAAGAAGTGAGACCTTAAAAAGTGGTTAGGCCATAAGAGCTCTAAATGGATAATGCCATTATCACAGGTATGGGTTCATTATCATGGGAGTGAGTTCCTTTTAAAAGAATGAGTTTGGCCTCTTTTTGCCTGTTTTTCTTTCTCTCGCCATCTCTTGCCCATCTGCCTTTCATCATGGCATGATGCAGGAAGAAACTGCTCACCGTGGACTCCCCAGCCTGCAGAACTTTCTCTTCATTATAAATTAACCGGTCTGTGATATTCTGTTATAGTAGCACAATATGGACCAAGACGATTCTATTCACAAATAAGCAGTATATATTGCTAACTGTAAATCAAATAATGCCATCACAAAAATAACTAAAATAACTTGAGAAGCACAAATTGCTTTTGGTTCAAAGCTCAACATTAGTCTATATTTGGTAAATGCTAACATCTCTTCCCACCCCATCATGGATATTTTATCTAAAGAAATTTTATGTTTCAGCATATCTTGTTGGGTTTCACTGTAGCTTCAAGTCCAGGGAAATGAATATATTGTTTTGCAAATTAATTCCATAGTCTTCCTATTCCGGTGTTTAATCTTTGGTTTTTCAAAGATATTCTTTGGTCTGATCTAATTTCCTTTTGCTTTCACTATGATCTGTTTCCCCCTGCTCAATAAAGACGAACAGGTTAACATCTAGCAAATAATATTTGAGTCACCCTTAGGCTTATAAAAATTGTGCTGTAAGTCCAGTTTCTTCAACCTCCTTAAATTATTTGTAAAATAGTCTCATTTTAAGTGATATTCTAAATAAATCAAAGAAATGGGTACTAGTTACCTCTTTGACGGTTGCATATGGTGATCTTTACACAGTCTTGTTGAGAGAAATGCCAACATGTATTTGTTCATGTAGGTTTCATTATCTCACACTTTTGCTCCGGCAACTGTAATGTCAAAAAATGCCCTTATTTGCTAAGCTCAGCTACTTTCTTCTCCACCTGTGCCATTGTTGCCAAGACCAAATGGGTTTTCTAAGACAAGTTAGATTTTCTGTCACTGTGATGACAATATACTGTGCTGCTCTATTTGCTCTTAGAATATAAACTACAAAGGTTATGCAGTCAAAGCCTTGTGCTTTCTGCTAGGATCACTTGAAATGAATCTTTCTATGCTTGTGTCACAAGTTTGGTATACAATTAGGTTCATTTATTTCAAATTGTTTTTGACTTTTAGAGGTTGCTTTTGAATATTTTAACATTTTTTTAGATGTATAAGTCATTTGTACAATTCCAAAGTCAAAACTTTGTAACAAAGTGTATTCATAAAAGTCTCACTTTCATCCCTTTTTGCCACGTTACGTACACCAGAGCCTACCGTTTTTATTAGTTTTTAGTTTATACTGCCAGTGTTTCTTTCTCATCTTTTTCATTTTTTTTACAAATGAAATTAAATGTGTGTGTGCATATCTATCTCCCACGCATATATATAATATGTGTTATATATAATATGTGTATATAATAGGAGTGTATTCGTATCTCATTGCACATACTATATATGTATGTGTGTATATAAACACATATATATACGTACATGTATGCATGTACATATATATACACATAAGATATATATACATATGCTTGCTCACACATATATTTTTCTACACTTTGACTGTTTTCACTTTGCAATCAGCCTAAACATAACCTATATTAGCATAGTCCTTTTCATTATTATTTTATGGCATTGAATAATATCCCATTGTGAAGAGGCACCATAGTTTTTTCAAGTAGCTTCTATTTATGGGCATTAGGGTAGTTTCCAATATTTTCGTATTGCATATATAATATTGCAATAAATGAACTTGTAAACTTGTTTCTTTTTAAAATTCACAAACTCTGGGATACTTTCCTCTGAGTAAATCCATTGATTTTCTAAGCATTAAGAGTAATCACTTGTCCCTTTCATATTTACAATTTATTGTATCATATTTACACATATATTTCATTTATTAATGTTTTCTACATATTACAAGTATCTTGGGGTCATAATTTGTGTCTGGCTTTTACATATCCCAAAAACATTGGGTATGATATAGACCATGTGGCTTCTGATTGTTCTGAACTATAAGCTTCTTTTACTGCCCATGTTTATGAGTCAATATATATGTTGATACAGAGGTTCTTTTGCTTATTAATTTGGAAATGTTTATCAAAAGTCAACTCTATGTGGTGCTGTGTAGGATGTAAAACTGTGGAAAACAGTCTTCCATGAAGCTTATGCTACCTGTGACTTACCTTGTGCCTTAAGGTCAGGCAACTTACATTTTTGTATCTCAGTTTTTTTATCTGAAAAATGGGAACTATAATCTCTGTTTTGATTATTTCATGGGGCTCCTGAAAGAACCTGCTGCAGTGATGAATGCAAAATAGCTTGCTAAGACATAAAAAGCCATAAAATATATACTATAGTTACTGTCATTTTAGTACTATATGTTCTTAAATGTTTTGCTATTATCTTCCCCAACAGACTCAGCTGTTTGAGAAATATGAGTATAGTTATTTTTTGTTTTATATTTCCTCAAAGCAGCTAGTACAGAGGGAACAGACACTGAATTTATGAAACTTTTATTTTATTGAGTCATGTACCAAGGGTTTCAAACTCAAATTCCTACAGGGGCTACATGGAGAACATAAATTGGACCACAGTAGGAAGTGCTGAGAAATTATGGCCAAACTGGAGAATAAATTCTAGGCCTAAAAACGTTCAAATTCAAGTTCAAAAACAGTGCTGTGTGAAGTAAACAAACAATTAAAGGCCACATTCAGTAGCCTTTATGTTCCTCTGTGTGCTGTGGTTTATACAAATGTTATATGTGAGACAGAAACCTTATTTCTTTGCTCCATTCAAATTCTAGATGATTTTAAAGATGTAGGATATTGACAAACACAGCTAAGCCATCATAATAATTATCAGTAAACCTAAAATAATACCAAAATGTGTTGTGTGGCTGTGAGGGTGTAGTAAAGGATATAAGATTCAGCCTTAGAGGGTTATGCTTAGTGTAGATGTGCTTTCTGCATTTGCTTCCTATGTTAAACATGCCCTATTCATGGGCACCCAAGGGCTGATATCACTGTGCTACTTCTCATAACACAATTTGCTTTTATCTTGTAGATACTATGTATCATACCACTGATTGTATTTCTTTTTTTGCATGGTTCGTGGAATGTTCAGAGCCAAATTTATCACTGACTTCTAGAAAAGTATACCAGATCTCCTGTCACAGATACTGGATTCTAATTTTGTTTTAGCGTTGTCTTTTAACTCCTTGTTTTTCCTTCCCCTTTCTCCTGACTTATGTTTTTTTCTTATGCTGTTTTGCTTTATGTATCTTTGTAAACTACCTCAAAGTTTTTTGGACAAAGGTAATGTATAAATGACAGAAGTCCCAAAGTATGTGCTTTTGGAGATAAGAGAGTAATCACCTCTGTTATTCTTATTGTTGTTATTTACAAAGAAATGGTACATGCAGCTGGTGGAATATTACTTCTATAGCCAGACTCTTAACAAGGAACTGAAAAATGTGAGCTTTTCTATATTTTGCTATCCAGTAAGCTTTACTCAATTTTCCCTACACAATTTTTCAAAGAAAAAAATTATTTTTAATTAGAGAACTTTCTTTTAGGGGTCCGGGATGGTCCCTATTGCCACTTCTCGTATTTTTCTGGCTTTTTGCTTTACAAGACAAATTAGGATGTAATTCCTGGCCTCTTTTTGGTGGTGTGGGGCCATCTGTTTAGCTCCAGCCAATGAGATGTGACCGAAAGTGACTTGAGCATGTCACTTCTGGGCCAGAGCATTGAATTGCCCTTGTGAAACCCTGCAGCAATCTCCTTTTCTTCCGTGTGTCAACTGGCAACATCTGAAATGGTGGCTGCTCTATCTGCCAGAATCCCTGAGTGTCGACCACTGTTAACTTGTATTAGGGAGCAGAGAGTTTGGAGTACTTTGCTACCAAAACACAGTTGTGGCTATCTTAAGCAGTTCAAAGACAATTCATAACAAATCAAAGATTAGGGACATGGATTGCTCATCAATTGTGCTTACTTCTTGCTACGTAATTAAGATACAGGTGAGGATCCAAAAATAAGTCAAGTCGAAACAGATTTCAGAATTTGCCTTGGAATTTAAAAGAAAAAGAAGAAAATCATTCAGAATGAGAAATATTATCTTTCAGAAAGAAAAATCTCTTCTAAAACCTGAACACTCCCACTGCTCAGCTTTGCTTACATTAAAATCAAGAACAACAACAAAAAATGCTCCCTGTGACAGCCTGAGAATCTGGATAATATGTTTATACACTTTTCATCAATTCTGTATTGGTGATGCTTCCTACAGCTAGAGGTGAATGAGAATCTAGAGGGAAATTATGACTCAATTTAGCCTTCATTTGCCTCAACTAGACAGGCAATTTTTACATTTTCAGAGACTCAGGGGTGTTATTTGGAGGAGTTACTCAGGAATAAAGATATCTCGCCAGGCAAGAGAGGATTTAATGTTTTTGAGACACTTCTTTCTTCAATTCCAGTTTGCAGGTGGGACGGGGGGAAGGAAGGGGCATTAGAAATATCTAGATAATATCTGTGACTAAGAACAGGAAGCACCCCTCCAAGCTCAGCGAGTGGACTCTCAAAGGAGACAGATTGGCCACATGTCTTTTTGTGGTGGTTGTTTTTGAAGTATTTTGGAAAAAAGCATAAAGAAGGAGGAGCATCCTCCTCTGAATGGAATGGCTTTCATCAGATACTCCTGTATTTCCTGGGGTGCAGGCCTGGATGCTGGTTTCAAAAATCTGGTCTTAGAAAAATGATTCTCTTTTGCTCTTGATTTTAGGAAAAGGTGCTAGCCTATACTATAAATGGTGGTATGACTCAGGCAAACTGAGATTAGAGAGAGATAAAGACAGATATGTGGATGGAGACACAAGCAAGCCAGGTTTCCAGAAGCAAAAGATGATTATCCTTCATTAGGGATGTTTAAAACTCTTGACACTGTTTTTTGTTTTTTTCTTTTTTTTCTTTTGAGACAGTATCTCTTTCTGCCAGAATGTAGTGGCACAGTCATAGCTCACTGTAACCTTGAACTCCTGGGTTCAAGTGAAGCAGATCTCCCACCTCACCTTCCCAAGTAGTTGGGACTACAAATGTGTAATACCATATACCTGGCTAATTTGAAAAAAATTATTTTGTACAGACAGAGTCTCACTATGTTGCCCAGGCTGGTCTCGAACTCCTGGCCTCCAGTGATCTTCCTGCCTTGGCCTCCCAAAGCACTGGGATTACAGGCATGAGATTCTCTTGACATTCTTGAGAGGGCTTCTAGGGTGGGTGAAAAGGGAAGGAAGTTAGAAATTCTAATGTAATAATTTTTTTTTCTTATTTTGTAGTGGCCATATCCTCCATTGAACTGAGAAATTTTCACACCTAATTGATTCCTAATAGAAAATGAAATATGTATTCCCACAAGCAGCTTTAAAACATCTAAGATCGCAAGCAAAATTTTTCATTATAGTTTGCAAAGAAAACACTACATTATTTCTCACTTCTTAGTTACAAGTGATACATTAATTTCATCCTGTCTATATACATTAAGCACACATGTTGTATAGTATTTCTTATGAATTATGAATTTTGCTAAGTGATTACACAAAGACATATAAGAGTGTTAATTGTAATGCTCTTTATTGTAGCAAAATATTAGAAACCATCTACATATATTAAACTAAGAACAGGGTTAATAATTTACAGTATAGATATATTAAGCGATATTATATGCTCAGTAAAGTTACATATCACAGAAGGAATCTATATTTACCTGAAGAAACTGTGCTCAAAATGTTAAAAATCAGATTAAAAATAATATAATTCTTTTTTTTTTGTAAATAATAATTGTGTGTACACATGTAGAGAAAGAACTCTATGGTCGTTTTTAATGCTTTTTTCCCCAATGGTCATGCATTAACATTTTATTTAAAGTGAAAGATAAAATTAAAAAAATATATTTGGATTTTTAGCCCAGACCTCCCCTTTGAGCCACAGATTATGTTTGTGATATTTTCCCTCGTATGTTTTACAGGCATTTCCAAGTTAATGTGGCCGATGTTGCACACGATAAGTCTGTGCCAATCCAGTGCTTCCATGTCAGTAAACCACAACTCTGCTATTTCCAAATGAGTCAACTGAGGGTCAGTTTTGCACCGGTCACACCCACAGCCCAACCCTATTCTCCATCTAATTTATAACCAAGCTCTGTTTCCAACACAGATCCCCACACAGACTGTGAACACCTCTGTGTCTCTTCATCTTAAATGCATTACCTCATTCCACGTCCCATACCTCTTGTGTGACTTCTGGCAACACTTCTGTGCTCTCACCATCTTTTCATCCTTATTATTAGCCAGGGAAAGCTTTTGACACACCAGTGACCTTCCATTGCTCCTAGGGTATGTTAAATATTCTGTTATGATTTAGAGAGAACTGACTAATCTGGTATGCTGGTCCCTGGTCCCTGCCTTTACCATAGCCTCATATTGTATCTTGTTTTCTCTCTCTCTCTCTTTTTTTTTTTTTTTTTTGAGGTGGAGTCTCACTCTTGTCACCCAGGCTGGAGTGCAATGGTGCAATCTTGGCTCACTGCAACCTCCGCCTCCTGATTCAAGCGATTCTCCTGTCTCATGTTCCCGAGTAGCTGGGATCACAGGTGCCCACCACCACACCTGGCTAATTTTTTATATTTTTAATAGAGATGGGATTTTGCCATGTTGGCCAGGCTGGTCTTGAACTCCTGACCTCAGGTGATCCGTCCGCCTTGGCCTCCCAGAGTGCTGGGATTACAGTGTAGCTTGTTCTCTTTTGCTCACAAATCCCTGGACACTCTAACTTCCTCTCTCTTCTTGAAGTACTTCTTATCAGCAACTTCTTACCTTAGGGTCTTTGTACAGTCTTTATTCTTGAAATGTTCCTCTCCACTTTTCATATTTAATTCTGATGTCTTTTTTAGATGTTAAACTCTTCTTTTTCTTATCACATTTTATCACTATTTGAACTGTTTATAGTCTATCACTCCCACTAAAATGAACGCTTCCTGAGAACAGGAACTTAATTGTCTAGCTCATTATTGTATCCTCAGTGCCTAGCACAATTATTGGCACACAGTAGAAGTGCAATACTAAGTATCTGTTGGACAAATGACTACATGAATGTGTATTTGTGTCATTCAAATATTAAAATGTGTTTATACATTGGCCATTCTTAGGCTATGATATAGTTGACTTTTTCTTTTTCTACATTTCTTTTTCCATTTTTTTGGCTAGATAAGTAGTTGGTAATAAAGTAATTTTTCTATATTTTTTATTCTATAGAAAATGATAAAGTAAATTTATATTCAGATTGACAGCAAAAAAATTAATAGAAATTTTAATAAAAGTACAATGTTAACAGCCCTCAACCTTTGAAATATGAAGCATGCTGGGAAATGTTCTTTCATTTTGATCTATAGGAATTTAAAGGTATTAAACTTGCTGCAGGCATATTCCTTATTATTCTCTGAATGTAATAGAAACATATTGATAATTACAAGTTAAAATTGAATGTAAGTGCTATAGCACTCAGACAAAATCTATTCTCCAGTTCAGGAAAATTCAAATTAAATTTTGATCATGATATGTACATCAGATGTGAGCAAAATAATATTTTTTGAAATCAATGGGGATATTATGTGTAACAGAATAAATAACATTTAAATTATATAAACGAACCTTGACGTTATGATGATCCATTTGACAGCCATAGAGAATACTAGCAACTTTACATAGAAATTCAACTGCCAAAGAATTTAAAGCTCTTTCTTTTAAATTTGCAAGTTTTATTGACATAGAATTTACATCTTTATTTCACTGGATATCACACCATCCAGTTTTAACATTCCCTATATTTCTATTAATAGACTTTAGAATATGTGTGAATACATGTTATAGTTAAGGGTTATATCTAGATAACGTCTATCAATGTTAAGCTAATTATTGCATAAGACAACATCTTTCTTTAATTTATCCTTGTTGAGAAGATATTTGCATATTAAAGCATCATGGTATTTGGATTTTAAAAAGTTTAGTAACAATTGTTTATATTATAAAAACATAAGCATTTTATGCTTTTTATTTATGTTTATTTTAAATTAACTATGAAAAAAATTCTCATAGCTAATAAGTATAATTAGTAAGGTAATAAATGACAGCATAAATGAGTGGTATATTAACTAAATGTAAATATATTAATTCAAACTATGTATGTGTACATATATGTGATATTCTTTTTTCATTGAATGATTTTGAATAGGATGGTATATATATATATATATATGTATTCTTTTAAAACAATTAGAATTTTGCTATATACACAATTTCAGATCCTGCCATTTTCTCTGTCTTTTTTTTTTTTTTTAGTAACCCCTTTTAGAAGAAGATCCTGCCATTATTCTTATAGCATAATATCTAAGCCATTTTCCCATGTAATTACAATTTTCATCCTACATTCTTTTTTCCCTATGATTCCCTATGAAACAATAAATATTGTTTCATTATTTATATCAACATTTCCCTTTGTAGGATATTGAAGGTGAGTCTCACCTTTGTTAATATAAATGATTCTGAAGTGAATATCCTTGAGTCTTTCTGATTATCTATCTAGAGCAGTTGTTTTTCAGACATTTGTGTGCATTAGAATCATTTGCCGGGCTTGGCAAAACAGACTGCTTATTTCCTTCCCCAAAGTTTCTGCTTGAGTAAGTTTAAGGTGGGGCCTTGAGAATTTGCTTATGTTTATGCTGCTCATCTGGGGGCCTTGATTACAGAACCACTCACATACATGCAGTACATTTTTCGAAGTAAGGTTACTGGATTAATGAATATACATTTTTTAAGGTTCTTGGTACATATTGCCAAATTGTTTTTCAGAAATACTGTATCAAATTGCATGCCTACCGGTAAGTCTCATAGCATGGAGTATTTTAATTTTAAATCTCTTGTCATTTTGAGACAAGAAAAATGTTATCGCCATTGAAGCATTTTGTATAATAATGAAACATTGGAAACATTTCCATCAAAAGGAAAATGGATAAGTAAACATGGGTATAGCCATACAAGGAAACTCGATTTAGCAGTTTAAATGAATGGGACTAGGTCTAGTCTATTTGTATCCAACCCCGGAAAAATCACAAACTGTAAGTTTGAATGTAAAAGGTTTTAAAACATGCAAACAATATTAATTGCTTATAAATACATACACTTAGTCAAGATTTAAAGAGCACACAAATATGTAGTAAGGGTATAAAGAACATGTGAAGGAATGCTAATACACCAAACTCCAGATAGTTACTGTGAAAGGAGAGAATGAAATCAGTGAGGTGGCATTCAAGAGGCTTCCATTACATCTGTGGTATATTTTTATAAACAGATTTAAAGCCAATATGACAATATGTTAAGGTCTGTCAAACCTGGTTAAGTACTTATTGCTTTATTCAGTATTAAAAAGAAAAAATGGAATTTATCAATATTATTTGCATATCTTTAATTAGTAGTGAGGCTGAATATTTTCCAAGACTATTAGCTAATTTTTATTT
Source organism: Homo sapiens (assembly GCF_000001405.40). NCBI lineage: Eukaryota > Metazoa > Chordata > Mammalia > Primates > Hominidae > Homo > Homo sapiens. Next base: position 199,082,103 of record NC_000002.12, on the reverse strand, counting down.
CTTTCTTCATATGCACATAGATTAAACTAGAAAAAATTGATTTGGTATCCTTAGTTGTAGAATTTATTTGCATTTCGCTGTTGCATGGGTTTTAATTTCTAAACATCATTGGTTACCCCCATTTTTAAAAATAAAGGATCAGTTGAAAAAGACCTATGAAAACATAAGCGAGAGAGTCTACTAAATTACTCTAAAATGAAATAACAATTAAAAACAACAATACACCTACATGCAAGTATTTATTGAATGTTACACTAAGCAAAAGTTGAGAAGAACCAAAACCATGGTATACCTAAAGACTTCTGTACTAAGCTGAATAATAGCCATTCAAATATATCAGGTCCAAATCCTTGGAACACAGCTTAAAAGGAAAAAGAACCGTTGCAGATAAGATTGAATTAAGCGTCTTGACACAGAGAGATTTTCCTGGATTATCTGAGTGGGCTCTAAATACATTCACAAGTGACCTTATATGAGAGGTAGATAAAGATACACAGAGGGAAAGGTGGCAATGTGACCATGGAGACAGAGATTCGAGTGATGTGGCAGCAAGTCAAGAAATGCCAACAGCCACCAGAAACTGGAGTAGATTCTCTCTTAGAGCTGCTGCAGGAAGTACAGCCCTGTGATACCTTGACTTTGTCCCAGTAATATTGATTTAGGACTTCTAGCTTCTAGAACAGGGAAAAAATAAATTTATGTTGTTTTAAGCCATCAAGTTTGTGGAAGTTTGTTATAGTAGCCATAGGATATGAGTACATTTTCCAATCAGAAATTTTAGTTTGGTCATATCCTGAAATTTTTTAGTGATTTTTCAAGAATATTAAATACATTATAAAAAGTGGCAATTTGTCATGTTAAGCATTTCTGGTTTAAAACAAAAATATGCACAAAATAGCCACATCTTTTGAATTACTACTGTAAGGTTTTAAGACACAATTTCTTACAATTTCAAGGCGAACTGTATTGAAGTTATCAATGATATTAACAGCAAAATGCTTCTAAAATGAAGAAAGTGTGAATCTTTCATGTTACCTCCAAATGATTTAGCTTCATAGTTTTCTGAAACAATTGAATCTTAATTAAAATATTCCTATGGCTAAGATTATAGAATACTCTGAAAAAATGAAGAGATTTATAACATAGACAAATCAACTATGATAACAATTCACAACATAGTCAAGGGAGAAATAAATGGAGAAATGATTATAGATAAATACAATTGATTATAGCTTTAGACAGACATGTGGTTGAATTAGTTTACTTGTTTCAATTATTAATGAGAAATTGATATGCCAACTTCAAAATATTAAGTTTTTGTAAAATATTCTGGATGTTTTAGTTTTGATCTTAACTTTGTATGCATCTTATAGATCCAGCAGATTTGTTTCATTCGTTAACTTAAAAAATATACATTGAAATAATTCTACATTCACAGAAAGATGCAAAGACATTTATAGGTAGGTTCCATGCACTCTTCACTTAGCCTTTCCCAATGTATGTCTTGCCTAACTCTAGTACAATATCAAAACCAGGAAATGAACATTCGTATGATCCATACAGCTGAATCAGATTTTGCTAGGTATACATGCAGTCATTTGTGTGTATGTATATGTGTTGTATGTGTATACTTCTATGCAATTTAATCATGTCTATCATCACAGAACCAAAATCAAAATACTTAAGCATCACCACAAGGTTCCTTCATGCTACCGTTTTATAGCTATACCCATCACCTCCTTTGTTCTCATTAACCCACAGGAATTATTAATATATTCTCCATGCCTAAATGTGTGTTTTGTCATACAGATTATATACATGGAATCATGCAGTATGCATTTTTATGACATTGGCCTTTTATTCTTCCATACAATTTCCCTAATATGTATCCAAGTTGTTGCATTTATCAGTAGTATTTTTCTTTTTATTGCTGTGTATTTCATGGGATGGATGTCCCACAGTTTGTTTAACCATTCACCATTGAATGACATTTGGGGAGTGTCCAGTTTTCAGCTATCATAATTAAAGCTTCTATGAATATCTGTGTACACATTTTTGCATTAAAATAAGTTTTCATTTCTGTGGGGTTTATGTCCAAGAGTCTTAACTGCTGGGTGATGTGGTAAGTTCCATTTTTAGTTTCAAAAAGAATTTCCAAACTTTTCCGCAGTAATTGTATCATTTTAAATTTCCACCAGCAGTGTATGAGTGATCTAATTTCTCCATATGCTCTCCAGAAAATGGTTTTATTACTATTTTTTTAATTTTTGCCATTTAGATAGATGTATAGTGATATCTCATGGTGGTTTTAATTTGTACTTCCCTAATGACTAATAATGTTAGGCATCTTTTATTTCCTTATTTGCTGTCTGTATATTCTCTTTAGTGAAATGTCTTGTAATTCTTTTACCTATTTTCTAGTTGGATTTTTAAAATTATTATTTTTTAAGAGACAGGGTCTCACCCTGTCGCCCAGGCTGGAGTACAATGGCATGATTATACTTCTCTGCAACCTCAAACTCCTGGGCTCAAGCAATCCTCCCACCTCACCCTCCCGAGTAGTTGGGATTATAGGTGTGAGCCACTGCGCCTGGCCTGTTTGTTTTTTAATGTTGAATTTTGAGAGTTCTTTATATATTCTAGATTCTAATTATTTGTCAGATATGTGATTTGCAAATTTTTTTTCCAGTCTATATTTTCTTCACCTTCCTTACAGAATCTCACAGAGCAAAAGGTTTTTAATTTTGATGAGGTCCAATTCATCAAGTCCTCCTCTTTTGGGTTATGCTTTTGGTGTCAAGTCTAAGAACTCTTTCTGTTGTTGTAGGTCCTGAATACTTTCTCCTATTTTTAAAGACATTTTATAGTTTTAAGTTTTAAATTACATTCATTATTCAGTGAGTTAATTTTTTAATAAGGTGGGAGGTTTAGTTTGAAGTTCATATTTTTTATGTATGTTTAACAGTTGTTTTTGTTCCTTTGCTAGAAATTAGCTGGACACATTTGTGTGGATCTATTTCTAGGCTTCCCATTTTGTTTCATTGATAAATGTGTTTATCACTCTACTCTGTCTTGATTACTGAAGCTATATAGTATGTCTTAACATTGGAAAGAAGAATTCCTGCTTTTTTGTTCATTTTTTCAAAATCATTTTTACTGTTCTAGGGCCTTTCACTTACCATATAAATTTTGGAATAAGCTTATCTATGTTTGCAAAAACCTTACTGAGATTTATATAGGCATTGCATTAAACCTATACATCAATTTGTGGAGAATTGAAATCTTTATTATGTTGAGACTTCTAATCCAGAAAAATGATTTTTCCCTTCCAGTATTCAAGTCTTCCTTTATTTTTTTCACAAGAATTTCATAGTTTTCATTATTCAGATTCCATACAGGTTTAGTTAGATTTATGCCTAAGGTTTTTATTTTGGAGCAATTGTAAATGGTATTGCATTTTTTATTTTAGTTTTAATTTGTTTATTTATAATGGATAAAAATGCAATTAATTTCTTCATGTTGATTTTGTCTCCTGTGACTTTATTGGAATCAGTTATTAGTTTGTGGAAGTTTTTTTTTTTTGTAGATTCCTTGGGGTTTTCTATATAGACAATCATAACATCCATAAATATAGATAGTTTTATTTTTTTTCCTTTCTAGGCAGGGCATTTTTTTTTCTTGCCATGTTGCAATGGCTAAAACTTCCAATACATTGTTGAATAAGAATGGCAAGAGTGAATGTCCTTGTCTTGTTCCTGATTTTGGAAGGAGAATATTCAGTTTTTCACCATAAAGTAAAGGTTTTCTTGTAAATGCTTTTTATAAGGTTAAGGAAGTTCTTCTCTATTCCTAGGATACTGATGATTTTGATCCTGAATGGATATTGCATTTTGTCAAGTGCTTTATTTGTGTCAATGGATTTGATCATAAGATTTTTTTCTTTGGCCTGTTAATATGATGTATACCAGCCTTGCATAATTGGAATAAACTCTACTTGGTTATGGTGTATAAGCCTTTATATATATTGTTGGATTCAGGATGCTAATATTTTGTTGAGAATTTTTGTGTCTAAGGTTATGAGAGATATTGGCCAGCCATTTTCATTGTTTTTGTGTGTTGTCTTCATTTAGTTTTGGAATCAGTGTAATACTGATTTCATAAATTGAGTTTGGAAGTGTTTCTTCCTATCCTGTCTTCTGGAAGAGGTTATGTGAAATAGGTGTTAATTTTTTAAATATTTGGTAAAAATCTTCAGTGAAAGAATCTGGGTCTGAAGATACCTCTTTTTTGTGTGTGAGGTTTTTAATTACAAAGTTAATTTATTTCATAATTATAGGGCTATCCAGGTTATCTATTTTATCTTGACTGAGATATGGGAGTTTGTGGTTTATTTATTTATTTATTTATTTTTTTAATGATACTTAAAGTTCTGGGATACAAGTGCAGAACCTGGAGGTTTGTTACATGGGTATACATGTGCCATGGTTGCTTCCTGCACCTATTAACCCATCATCTACATTAGGTATTTCTCCTAATGCTATCCCTCCCCTAGCCCGCAACCCCCGACAGGCCCTGATGTGTGATGTTTCCTTCCCTGTGTCCATGTGTTCTCATTGTTCAACTCCCACTTATGAGTGAGAAGATGCAGTGTTTGGTTTTATGTTCCTGTGTTAGTATGCTGAGAATGATGGTTTCCAGCTTCATCCATGTCCCTACAAAGGACATGAACTCATCCTTTTTTATGGCTGCATAGTATTCCATGGTGTATATGTGCCACATTTTCTTTATCCAGTCTATCACTGATGGACATTTGGGTTGGTTCCAAGTCTTTGCCATATACTACAAGTCTACAGTAACCAAAACGGCATGGTACTGGTACCAAAACAGATACATAGACCAATGTAACAGAACGTGTGCATGTATCTTTATAGCAGAATGATTTATAATCCTTTGGGTATATACCCAGTAATGGGATTGCTGGGTCAAATGATATTTCTAGTTCTAGATCCTTGAGGAATTGCCACACTGTCTTCCACAATAGTTGAACTAATTTACACTTCCACCAACAGTGTAAAAGTGTCCCTATTTATCCACATCCTCACCAGCATCTGTTGTTTCCTGTATTTTTAATGATCGCCATTCTAACTGGCATGAGATGGTATCTGTTCATACCCTTTGCCCACTTTTTGATGGGGTTTTTTTTTTTTTTCTTTTAAGTTTGTTTAAGTTCCTTGTAGATTCTGGATATTAGTGCTTTGTCAGATGACTAGATTGCAAACATTTTCTCCCATTCTGTAGGTTGCCTGTTCACTCTGATGATAGTTTCTTTTGGTGTGCAGAAGCTCTTTAGTTAATTAGATCCCATTTGTCAATTTTGGCTTTTGTTGCCACTGCTTTTGGTGTTTTAGTCATGAAGTCTTTGCATATGCCTATCTCCTGAGTGGTATTGCCTAGGTTTTCTTCTAGGGTTTTTATGGTTTTAGGTCTTATGTTTAAGTCTTTAATCCATCTTGAGTTAATTTTTGTATAAGGTGTAAGGAAGGGGTGCAGTTTCAGTTTTCTGCATGTGGCTAGCCAGTTTTCCCAACACCATTTATTAAATAGGGAATCCTTTCCCCGTTGCTTGTTTTTATCAGGATTGTCAAAGATCAGAGGGTTATAGATGTGCGGTGTTATTTCTGAGGCCTCTGTTCTGTTCCATTGGTCTATATGTCTGTTTAGGTACCAGTACCATGCTGTTTTGGTTACTATAGCCTTGTAGTACAGTTTGAAGTCAGGTAGCGTTATGCCTCCAGCTTTGTTCTTTTTGCTTAGGACTATCTTAGCTATATGGGCTCCTTTTTGGTTCCACGTGAAATTTAAAGTAATTTTTTTCTAATTCTGTGAAGAAAGTCAACAGTAGCTTGATGGGAATAGCATTGAATCTATAAATTACTTTGGCAGTATGGCCATTTTCATGATATTGATTCTTTCTATCCATGAGCATGGAATGTTTTTCCTTTTGTTTGCGTCCTTTCTTATTTCCTTGAGCAGTGATTTGTAGTTCTCCTTGAAGAGGTCCTTCACCTCCCTTGTAAGTTGGATTCCTAGGTATTTTATTCTCTTTGAAGTAATTATGAATGGGAGTTCACTCATGATTTGGCTCTCTGTTTGTCTGTTATTGGTGTATAGGAATGCTTGTGAATTTTACACATTGATTTTTTATCCTGACACTTTGCTGAAGTTGCTTATCAGCTTAAGAAGTTTTAGGCTGAGACGATGGGGTTTTCTAAATATACAATCATGTCATCTGCAGAGACAATTTGACTTCCTCTTTTCCTATTTGAATACCCTTTATTTCTTCCTCTTGCCTGCTTGCCGTGGCCAGAACTTCCAATACTATATTGAATAGGAGTGGTGAGAGGGGGCATTCTTGTCCTGGGGCAGTTTTCAAAGGGAATGCTTCCAGTGTTTGCCCATTCAGTATGATATTGGCTGTGGGTTTGTGATAAGTAGCTCTCATTATTTTGAGATACATTCCATCAGTACCTAGTTCATTGAGAGTTTTTAGCATGAAGGAGTGTTGAATTTTGTCTAAGGCTTTTTCTGTATCTATTGAGATAATCATGTGTTTTTTGTCATTGATTCTGCTTATGTGATGTATTATGTTTATTGATTTTTGTATGTTGAACCAGCCTTGCATCCCAGGGATGAAGCCAGCTTGATCATGGTGGATAAGCTTTTTAATGTGCTGGTGGATTCAGTTTGCCAGTATTTTATTGAGAATATTTGCATCTATCATCATCAGGGGTATTGGCCTCAAATTTTCTTTTTTTGTTGTGTCTCTGCCAGGTTTTGGTATCAGGATGATACTGGCCTCATAAAATGAGTTATGGAGGAGTCTCTCTTTTTGTATTGTTTGGAATATTTTCAGAAAGAATGGTACCAGCTCCTCTTTGTACCTCTGGTAGAATTTGGCTGTGAATCTGTCTGATCCTGGGCTTTTTTTGGTTTTTAAGCTATTAATTACTGCCTCAATTTCAGAACTTGTTATTGGTCTATTCAGAGATTCAACTTCTTCCTGGTTTAGTCTTGGGAGGGTGTATGTGTCCAAGAATTTATCCATTTCTTCTAGATTTTCCATTTTATTTGCGTAGAGGTGTTTCTAGTATTCTCTGATGGTAGTTTTTATTTCTGTGGGATCAGTGTTGATATCCCCTTTATCATTTTTATTGTGTCATTTTGATTCCTCTCTCTTTTCTTCTTTATTAGTCTGGCTAGTGGTCTACCCATTTTGTTAATCTTTTCAAAGAACCACCTCCTGGATTCATTGATTTTTGAAGCGTTTTTCGTTCTCTATCTCCTTCATTTCTGCTCTGATCTTAGTTATTTCTTGTCTTCTGCTAGCTTTTGAATGTGTTTGCTCTTGCTTCTCTAGTTCTTTTAATTGTGATGTTAGGGTGTCAGTTTTAGATCTTTCCTGCTTTCTCATGTGGGCATTTAGTAGTATAAATTTCTTTCTAAACATCGCTTTAGCAGTATCCCAGAGATTCTGGTACGTTGTGTCTTTGTTCTCATTGGTTTCAAAGGACTTAGTTATTTCTGCCTTCATTTTGTTATTTACCCAATAGTCATTCAGGAGCAGGTTGTTCAGTTTTCATGTAGTTGTGCAGTTTTGAGTGAGTTTCTTAATCCTGAGTTCTAATTTGATTGCACCGTGGTCTGAGAGACTGTTTGTTATGATTTCCATTCTTTTGCATTTGCTGAGAAGTGTTTTACTTCCAATTATGTGGTCAATTTTAGAATAAGTGTGATGTGGTGCTGAGAAGAATGTATATTTTGTTGATTTGGGGTGGAGAGTTCTGTAGATGTCTATTAGGTCTGCTTGGTCTACAGCTAAGTTCAAGTCCTGAATATCCTTGTTAATTTTCTGTCTCATTGATCTCATATTGACAATGGGGTGTTAAAGTCTCCTACTATTATTGTGTGGGAGTCTAAGCCTCTTTATAGATATCTAAGAACTTGCCTTATGAATCTGGGTTCTCCTTTATTTGGTATATATATATATATATATATATATATATATATATATATATATATTTAGGATAGTTAGCTCTACTTGTTGCGTTGATCCCTTTACCATTATGTAATGCCCTTCTTTGTCCTTTTTGCATCTTTGTTGGCTTAAAGTCCATTGTATCAGAGACTAGGATTGCAACCCCTGCTTTTTTTCTGCTTTCCATTTTTTCCATTTGCTTGGTAAATCTTTCTTTATGCCTTTATTTTGAGCCTATGTGTGTCTCTGCATGTGAGATGGGTCTCCTGAATACAGCACACTGATGGGTCTTGACTCGTTATCCAATTTGCCAGTCTGTGTCTTTTAATTGGGGTATTTAGCCCATTTACATTTAAGGTTAATACTGTTATATGTGAATTTGATCCTGTCATTATGATGCTAGCTGATTATTTTGCCCATTAGTTGATGCAGTTTCTTCATAGTGTCGATGGTCTTTACATTTTGGTATGTTTTTGCAGTGGCTGGTACTGTTTTTTCCTTTCCATATTTAGTGCTTCCTTCAGGAGCTCTTGTAAGGCAGGCCTGGTGGTGACAAAATCCCTCAGCATTTGCTTGTCTGTAAAGGATTTTATTTCTCCTTCACTTATGAAGTTTAGTTTGGCTAGATATGAAATTCTGGGTTGAAAATTCTTCTCTTTTTTTATTATACTTTAAGTTCTAGGGTACCTGTGCACAATGTGCAGGTTTGTTACATATGTATACATGTGCCATTATTGGTGTGCTGCACCCATTAACTCGTCATTTACATTAGGTGTATCTCCTAATGCTATCCCTCCCCACTTCCCCCACCCTATGACAGGCCCTGGTGTGTGATGTTCCCCTTCCTGTGTCCAAGTGTTCTCATTGTCCAATTCCCACCTATGAGTGAGAACATGCGGTGTTTGGTTTTTTATCCTTGCCATAGTTTGCTGAGAATGATGGTTTCCAGCTTCATCTATGTCCCTACAAAGGACATGAACTCATCCTTTTTTGTGGCTGCTTAGTATTCCATGGTGTATATGTGCCACATTTTCTTAATCCAGTCTATCATTGATGGATATACTCTATATAAAATTATTTTAAATTTGTTAAAATTTGTTTTCTGATTAGATAAGATGTATCTTCATGAATGTTCTATGAACACTTGAAAATTATGTGTATTTTTATCCTGTTGAACAGAGTCTTCCAAATAAGTCAGTTAGGTCCTGTTGGTTGGTAATGTTCGGTTCTCCTAAATTTTTGCTGATATCCTGTGTAATAGTTTTTATTAATGATTGGTAACAAAATGGCATTCAGTAGCTTTAAAAATAAGGTTATAATTCTGACTTTCCTCACAGAGGTATGATAAATCATCAATGAACATGGTTTTTAAATCCTACAATTTAAAATTTACATAAAACATTTACATTAATCATTAAAACTCACCTGTTAATCATATAACCTTTTTATAGCTCTTTATGTCTTCTGTCAGTTTGAAGAAAGTAAAGGGATATTGGTGGCCTCAAACTTGAAATTTTCTATACAAAAGCATCAATAAATTCATTAAAATATCAAGTGGAAGCAGAAAATATGAATAGAAGAAATAAATGTTTAACTTAGCTTTGGATTAAGCATCATACTACATTATACTGAGGGAAACAGCTTCAAATGCCTCACAGACTCAGGCTTGGTAATCACCACATTCCTTGAAATGGGAAGAGGTAGGAAGTGTTCTCAGTTCCACTTTATGGATAGTGATTGAAGTAGGTTACACTTCAAAAATAATTGGTAATTCTCACAACTTGTAATGTCTTTTCTGCAAATAATTTTTATAAACTAATGGTAGTTACAAATATGAGAAAATGAGAAATGTAGAACAGTGTATACAAATGGAACACTGAATTATTCAATATAGCATTTTGACCACTAAATTCTGCCCCACTCTAATATTGCAGTTTGATTCTTTACAGCATTGTGACCTAATTCAAAACCTTAAAAAACTTTTATCTTTTCTTAAGATGGGGAGCCTCAAGAGTTGCTACATAGACTAAAGCCTGGATTGTTGATTTCCCTGTACTGTATTTTAAGCAAAATATTTTTCCAACTGAAAAGCAAAGCAAAAGAACAACAAAGGCTAAGAAAGGAAACCAAATAAAAAGGCAGTTACCATGGAATCTTCAACATTAGGCTTGAAAAAGCAAGAGGATTTTTAATTCTATCAAAAGAAAAGAAAAAAATTATAGAGAAACCGTTGCTATACACATTACTTTATAAATCTACCATTAGAACTGTAAACACAGGTTTAACAGTGGATTTTGTACTTTTACAGCTGCTCTTTGATAAAGTAAGAGAAAAATTAATCCTTTATAGTCCTTGATTATCTGGTTATAGCTTACTAAAGATATCAAGTAAAGCCATTTTAATGCTTATATTTAAGTTGTCCTTGAAAAAATACATGATTTTTATTTAAAATCAACCTATTCAAAAATACCTTTATAAGACAAATAGTGATATAGTTCATAATTGAAGCAAATATTAGTCTTTCAGCAAATATAAACCACCAACTTTTCCAGGAACTCGGGTATGATTTTTTTTTTCATAGAGATGAAGATGAAAATAAATTTATATTGCTAGCTTGATGAGCTCAAGAGTCTAGGTGAAGATTTACAAGTGAGTAAATCCTTTATGCTATCAATATTCTTGTTTAACATTTCAACTGTATTCATGAGATTAGCCTTTAGATAATGTCTAGGTTGATAATCGAAAGTACACTAATTAATAATGATTGAATTCTGCTTCTTCTGGTGAATGAGTCATGCTTGATATTATTAGAGTTTATTACAGTTTATATTTTGAAAGCTCACCACTCTACAACTATGCAACCTTGAAAGAAAGGCAAGTGTGGGAGGCAAAGAGTGAGAAAGCTGTGGAACCTCATCACTGGGCTGATGAAGAGGGCATAGTTTATGTTTAGTTCTGGTTTCAAGTATTTGGGTTGCAGTGTTTTCAGAATGCCATGATCACCAGGGGCCATTGGAAGAATCAATTATAAAGTTTATAGTTTTCAAGACATACTCTTAGCCACAATGGAAAAGAGGGTTTTGTTTATGATAAATCTTGTCAGCATTAAAAAGTAAATTATTTTCAAGATAATTTGACTTTAACACAGAGGAAAAAAATCCCTTAATTTCTCAGAATCATAATTAATTATTTGTAATTTTTTTCATACAGAGATGTTTGAAGTGGTGCCAAAGAGTAAATCAATTGTCTTCTGTTTTGTTTCTTAGTCACTGAACAGTTTCTTACTGTTTGCTGTCTGCTTTCTGTTTCTCTCTCTCTCTCTCTCATTCTTTCCAGCAAAACAAAAGCTCATTATGTCTCATGGGTGACAGGATGAGAAGGAGGAAGGAATAAAATGGATTGGAGTCCTACCATGTGCTAGTTACTGTAAAATTTGATTGATTCTATTAAGTAAGTACATGTACTCCCTTTTAACAGATAAGGAGACCCAGACTCAGAGAGGTTTGTCAAGAGGGATGCAAATGAAACTTACTTCCCTTCCTTCTGTTCTCAAGTTTTGAGTGTGACCGCATACAAAGTAGATCATCTCAGTTAGAAGCCAATTCTACCAAGATGTTACTGATTTAGCTAGGGAAAAGTTCTGAAGCCCCATTTTCTGTGAAAAAATGCTGTTTTAAACACAATATTATGTTGTTTTCTGCAATGTAGATGCTAAAAGGTGTGAAAAGTTCTTGTTTTCCCTAAAGGATCACAAAGTCAAAGTCTATATGATGTTGACTTTGCAGGTACTGCTGTGGTTTCCCCAAGCAACAGAACCTGCAAATGAAGTGTGATGACTTTGTGAGGGAGAAGAATGTCATCCTTCCATGTTTTCCCATTCATACCAGGCTCTAAATCTACGAGCAAATTATGTTCTGTGAGTTCTTTCACAAATCAATTTCTTGGTAGTTGGAATTCTTTTCTTCACTTAAACAGTGTGAGAAATGTTGATTTGGCTCTCTATGTAAGTCAGCATCTTAGGTAAGCCAGGAAGTAGCAGGACCACAGAACTAACAGTGTTTTTTGGAAGATAAGCACTACTTTGAACACAATTTCTAGTGGATAGTACATTTTTTTTTAGTTTGAAGACAAACAGAAGATATTGATATCACTAGTCAATCTTCATATTTCATTCATTTTCTGAATCAATTCTTTTCAACCTCCTTTCTAAATATATCTCATGTGGCTTCAGTTTCCACTGAAGGCATGAGACATACCTGCCTTCCACCTTCATGCACCTTGACTGGGCTGTTCAGATGGATGCACTGTTCTAGGTTGAGATTTTGGAAGGTGATGATGTTGGTATTAACACAAGAAGCTAACAAAATCCTATAGCTAATTATAATTAAAACAAAACTTTATTTCCTTTGCACAGGATCTCAGCAAACAAAGATAGGGCAGTGGAGCAATAGTAGATGTTAAAACTATTTGCTTTTTTTTTTTTAACGTCAGATGGTAAAATATAGTATTATTTAGGAAATGCTCAATTTATATGTGCAGCAATCAACATTTCACACCTCTCATTGCATATTGCATAAAAAGTGAGCTTGGTAGAAAACATGTCATAATGTTTAAATGTTATTTTTATGAATGGCTTAAAACTTTGTTTCTCAATGTACATTGTAGGGCATTTGGCAAAGAAGCCTGGAGACATTTTTAATTTCCATGGCACTGGGAGGGGTTGCTAATGGCATCTAGTGGATAGAGGCCAAGATGCTATTAAACATTGTTCAATGCTCAGGATAACCCCCTACAACAAAGCATTATCCCATTTAAAATGTCAATAGTTCTAGGGTTGAGAAACCCTGGCCTATGAAAAGCAATGTGCTAAAATTGTACTCTAGGGGCTCAGAACAAATTATTTAGTTATACGGCTAATGTAAGTGGTATGCATTTTTACTGAAGTATCAGAGTTGAATTTGTAAAATGGTGTCTCTTTAGGTACTTTTTTTGTCAAATTTTAGTACAACGGTGACTTAGTCAGCCCCCACTGCCATAACAAAATACCTTAGATCAGGTGACTTAATCAACAAAAATTTATTTCTCGCAGTTATGGAAGCTGGAATTCTAAGAACAAGGTGTCAACTCGGTTGGATTCTGGTGAGAGTTGTGAGGGATCTCTTTCCAGTTTGAAGATAGCCTCCTTCTCACTGTGCCCTCATATGGGGTGGGAGTGAGAGGGCAGAGAGAAAGGGAAAAGAGGAGAAAGCTCTCAGATGTCTCTTCTTATAAAGACACTAAGCCCATCATGAAGACCCTCACACTCATGACTTCAAATAAATCTAATTATTCCCCTAAGGCCCCATCTTTAAATACTATCAAATTGGAGGTTAGGGCTTAAACATCTGAATTAAGGGGGACACAATTCAGTCTATAGCACATGGTTATTTCCAAAAAAACCATATATAGGAAAGATACTGTTAGCAGAATCTAGCAATGCTCTCAAGAATGGGAATGGATTGTCAGATGTAAAAGAAATCTTAAATGTTTACAACATGTTTTATCTTCAGTAAATATTTGCAAAGTTCATTACATCTGAATGTAAAATCTCATAAGATATTATATCTAAAGTCTCTGGAGATAAATTCCTCAGAGATATATTTTTACACCTTCTGAAATGAAGAAGTAGTATTGTAGTCAAAATGATTTGTGTTTCTAAAATATGCTGCTTCTTTAGTTAAGAAGTGACTGGTTACTTCTTCACCAGTGACTGGTTAAGAGGGAGCCTGTATTCTGCATGGGCATAACTAGGAGTCTAATTACTTCATCCAGACTTATGCAACATTAAAAAAAGAATTAGGTGTTAATACAGTATAAAGTCAACATATTTTGATCAGCATTTGTATGCCATGGATGGCTTGGAAATTCAGTTCAAATTTTAAGTTTTTACCCTTGATTTTTGTCTGTGTTTACCTAGTTTCTTTATTTCTCGGGCTTAATCATTTTTTAGAGAAGTAGATGAGTGGTTGCAGAGGGCAGAAGTGTTAGGGAGAAGTGGTGAGTGCTAATGGCTACAGCGTTGCTTTTGGAGGGTGATAATATAAAATTGTGGTGATTGTTACATAACTTCATTACTAAAATTCAAAACTAAAAACCACTGAATTGTACATTTCAAGTGGGTGAATTATATAGTATTTGAATTATACCTCAATATAGCCGTTGTATTTTTTTAAAATTGTGATTAAATGGAGCACTGCTAGCTGGGTAGCATTGACTAGTGAATTTGGCCCAGGCCAGGCAGCTCAAGGACCTGCTAATTGTATTATCTCTCTAAGTAAGGTGTCCTCATGTTTCCAAGAGACAGTACCTCCACCATCATTCACTTAACCTCTAATAATGTCAAATTGAGTGGCTCAGTTTCTCTTATTGTTTAAGAGAAACATATTATTCCTGACCTCGTAGCTTCTTTGCAGACAAGCCTCATATGTCCTTCTGCTGCTTTAGATATCATTAAGTTCCTTAGACAATATCCATTATGATATTATTCTGTAAAACAATACATGGCACTTTTGTATTAAACTTGGGTTTAAATGTGCTTTACCTTGGGAGAAGTTTCATGAAGCTTATGTTTAAATTTAACTCCAGGTTCCTTAATGTGCCAGGTTAAGATGCTTTTGGGGATAAATACTTTGCAATGACTTTTAACTTAGAATTACCTTGATTCATTGTGTTTGTTTCTCTTCTAAAGAAATTTGTTTTGACTGAACAGGATGCCATTGAGCAAAGCTATTTTGCCTCTGATATAACTAAAATTTTGGAGGCATTGTTATAATAAAAAATTGTAAAAAAATGTTAGACACACAGTTCCTCTCTGTACACATTTTTATTGAGAACAGTTTCAAACGTAAAGTGTGCTGATCACTTTTCTGCTTGCTCTCCATCTATTTCCCCACTTCCCTTGGTCTGGCCTTATGTCAGGGGGAGGTCTGGGAAGCCTGCATTTCCCAAACTCCTTACTCACTGCCTTTGGGCCAGATTGGGCCAACTGGAAGGAGATTGCATATCATAAAGAAAAATCTTTTTCAGGAGAGTCTCTGGCAGTGGCTGTATCTCCTTAGTAGTCCCAGGTCCTGTTCAGACTGCTGATCCTGCTCAGTGGTCCCGCCACTTGATATTACCACATTTTCCCTTTGCTCCTCAAGTTGTTGGGTAAGAGGGGCTTCCTGTTACTGATCATCTCAGAATTGCTGTACGATCCCCTATTCAGGTTTTTATGGTGTCTAACATTTTTGTAATAAGTTCCTGTGTTAAAATTCCTCTTTAAACTACTAAGTAGACTCACTCTATCTAACTGGACTTTGTCAGGTAAATGCAGAAAAGTTGAAAGCACACGTGTGTCTTTGACACCTTAATTTAATCATTGTTATTGTTTTGTTGTATTCGCTTTATAATGTAGGTACATGTATGTGCGTTTGTTTTTGTGGTGAATCATTTGAAAATGCAGAGAAGATGACACTGTACCTCTAAATCCTCTGGCATGAACCTCTTAAAGACAAAAACATTATCCTACTTAACCATGGTAATATTGCCTTACCTTAGAAAGCTAACAGACATTTTCTAATATCTAATAGTTGATCAGTATTCTAGCTTTTATAATTAACATTTTATTTTAAAAGTGTATATCATTATAGCTAAAGACTTCATTTTGAAAGTTATACATTTTTTTTTTCAACAATGATGATTACTTTATATTCAGAACACAATGAGACTGGAAATGAGTAGCTGACTTCTCATGGCTACAAAGACTGTTGGCCTTATTGTGACTCCTCATTCGTATTAATAGATTTCAGTAATTTTGTGAGAAATATGCTATAGTAATTTAATCCTGTATAACCATGTGTAAGCACTATCTAAAACCAAACTGTGTTTTTCAAAACACATGAACAAAAATATTTCATGCATCATTTTTCAATTAACTTATTTGAATACTTTTACTGATTTGTAAATTTGGTAATCATCTCATCATTAGGGTATACTTTTACCATTTGAGGCCTTCAGTTAAACTGGGTAAAATTTCTCATAACTTCCACAATTTTCAAGTCATAACTAAATGACATGAATTGTAAAATGTTATAGCCTTCGTGGTTATTTTGACATATGTTTCTATCTTGAACCATTCTGTTTTTAAATATGATTCCTTGATAACAGTGATATCTCTTGGTAATGTTGCTGAATTATTAAATGGTTCATGGAGCCATAGCTCTTAAATAGCAATAAGAAAGAGATTTGGCGTATCTAATCCTAATCCACTGCTTCCTATGTTAGATGGGTGTAATACTGTCTACAATGCCTACTCCTACTACTTTAAGGTAAAAGTACTGCAGGTAGCCTTTGTTCCCACAACTTGCTCATTCCTTGAAGGATAACACTGAGTTGCTTGCATTCTATTCTCAGACTTATATTTCTTTTAAAAGCTTTTAGAATAGACTACAAATTTAGTAGCATAAAAGCAACACTTTTTTTTTTTTAACTGTGTCCCTTTGGGAAAAAAAGGAACTTCTTCCCAGACCTAGACTGTGTTTTTCAAAGTTATGTCTTAGAATGGTTATTATGAGCTGATGCAATTCTGCTATAGTGACTGTGTATGCGTGTGTGTGTGTGTGTGTGTGTGTGTGTGAGACAGAGAGAGAGAGCGCTATGAAGTTTTTGGGGCAAGTGATACTCCAGAGAGGTTGCCCTAGAGACATGGCTAGCCTGTGTAGCCTTTTTATCTGGGAGGTCAGAAAATATTTTTTTTGTCATAAAATTTTTGGAATTTCTCTCTACAATTAGGGCCAATAAATCAGGTGAAGGGACTTGATATTTTGGCTGAAAAAGCTGAGATCATCAGTCAGAAGGGAGCATCTTTTTGGGGCAAGTGGTGGCTGCCGTTAAATCTACGCAGGTCTTAAAAAATATGAATGTTCTCTGGGGCCGTAATGGGTAGAATTATGAACAATGGGTAGAAACTACAGGGGAACATATTTTATTCAATGTAAATAAAAATTTCATAATACTTTGAATTGTATGTTTTAAAAATATTTCTATTTTGTGACATAACTCTCATTTAGTAAAGCCTACAAATCTTAATTATATGGCTCCAAAAATTCTTACCTATATGTTCACCTATGAAACCACCATCCAGATAAGATACAGAGCATTTTCCACACTCCTGAAGTTTCCCTTGAGTCCCTCTCTAATCAGTACTCTCCACCCAAAGGTAGCCACTATTCTGACTTCTACCACCATACATTAACCATGCCTTTTCTTCAACTTCACATAAATGGAATCATGCAATATGTAACTATCTCATTCTTTAAACATGTTTGTGGATATGTAGTATATGTATATATTTATGTTTTGAGATATTTTGGTACAAGCAGGCAACGTGAACTAAGCACATCATGGAGAATGGGGCATCCATCCCCTCAAGCATTTATTCTTTGAGTTACAATCACATTAGCCTACTTTAAAATGTACAATTAAGTTATTATTGACTATAGTCATTCTATTGTGCTATCGAATAGTAGGTCTTATTCATTCTTTGTAACTATTTCTTTGTACCCATTAACCATCCCCACCTCTCTGCCAGGCCCTCACTACCTTTCCCATCCTTTAGTAACCATCCTTCTACTCTCTGTGTCAATGAGTTCAATTGTTTTGATTTTTAGATCTCACAAATAAGTGAGACCATGTGATGTTTGTCTTTCTGTGCCTGGCTTATTGCACTTAATAATGATCTCTTGTTTCATCGATGTTGTTGCAAATGACAGGATCTCATTCTTTTTTTAATGGTTGAATAGTACTCCATTGTGTGTAAGTACCACATTTTCTGTATTCATTCATCTGTTGTTAGACACTTAGGTTGCTTCTAAATCTTGGCTGTTGTGAATAGTGCTGCAATAAATGTGTATACTGATTTCCTTTTTTTGGGGTGTATAACCAAGAGTGGGATTGCTGGATCATATGGTGGGTCAATTTTTAGTTTTTTGTGGAACTTCTAAACTATTCTTTATAGTGGTTGTACTATTAATAATTTACGTTCCTATTGACAGTGCATGGGGGTTCCCTTTTCTCCACATCCTTGCCAGCATTTGTTATTGCCTATCTTTTGGATATAAGCCATATTAACTGAGGTGAGATGATATTTCATTGTAGTTTTGATTTGCATTTCTGTAATGGTCAATGATGTTGAGCAATGTCTCATATGCCTGTTTGCCATTTGTATGTCTTCTTTTCAGAAATGTCTATTCAAATGTTTTGCCTAGTTTTTGATCGGATTTTTAGATTCTTTTCCTATAGAATTGCTTGAGCTCCTTATATATTCTGGTTAATCCCTATTAATAGTTTGCAAATATCTTTTCTCATGCTGTGGGTTTGTCTCATTCTTCATTAATTGTACTCTCTGCTGTGCAGAAGCTTTTTAACCTGATGTGATCCCATTTGTCCATTTTTATTTTGATTGCCTGTGTTTGTTGGGTATTACTCAATAAATCTTTGCCCAAACCACTGTCCTGGAGATTTTCCCCAATGATTTCTTGCAGTAGTTTCATAGTTTAGGTTTTAGATTTAAGTCTTTCATCCATTTTGATTTGATTTTTGTATATAGTGAGAGATGGGGGGCTAGTTTCATTCTTCCTCGTGGGATATCCAGTTTTCCTACTACCATTTATTAAAGAGACTGTCTTTTCCCCAGTGTATGGTCTTGGCATCTTTGTCAAAAATGAGTTCACCGTGGGTGGTGCATTTGTTTCTAGGTTCTCTATTCTGTTCCATTTGTCTATGTGTCTATTTTTATGTCAGTACCATGCTGTTTTGATTACTATAGCTCTGAAGTATAATTTGAAGTCAGGTAATATGATTTCTCCAGTTTTGTTCTTTTTGCTTAGGATAGCTTTGGTTATTCTGGGTGTTTTGTGGTTCCATATACATTTTAGGATTGTTTTTTCTACTTCTGTGAAGAATGTTCTTGGTATTTTGAAAGGGATTTCATTGAATCTGTAGATTGCTTTGGGTAGTATGCACATTTTAACAATATTTATTCTTACAATTCATGAACATGGAATATTTTTCCATTTTTTGTATCCTTCTCAATTGTCTTTCATCAGTGTTTTACAGTTTCCATTGTAGACAGCTTTCACTTCTTTAGTCAAGTCAATTCCTAGATATTTAATTTTATTTGTGGCTATTGTAAATGGGATTACCTTTTCCATTTCTTTTTCAAATTGTTCACTGTTGGCATGTAGAAATGCTACTGATTTTTGTATATTGATTTTGTATCCTGCAACTTCCCTTAATTTGTTTATCAGTTCTAATTGTTGTCTCGTGGTGTCTTAAGGTTTTTCCAAATATAAGATTATATCATTGCAAACAAGAATAATTTGACTTCTTCTTTTCCAGTTTTTGCTCTTTATATCTTTCTCTTGTCTGATTGCTCTGGTAAGGACTTCCAGTACTGTGTTGAATAACCCTGCTGACAGTAGGCATCCTTGTTATGTTCTAGATCTTAGGGGAAAAGCTTTCAGGTTTTCCTTATTCAGTATGATACTAGCTGTGGGTCTGTCCTATATGGCTTTTACTAGGTTGACGTATGTTCCTTCTACCTCCAGCTTTTTCTTTTTTTTTGTTTTTTTGAGACAGAGTCTCACTCTGTAGCCCAGGCTGGAGTGCAGTGGCATGATCTCGGCTCACTGCAACCTCCGCCTCCCGGGTTCAAGCAATTCTACTGCCTCAGCCTCCTGCGTAGCTGGGACTATAGGCACGTGCCACCATGCCCAGCTAATTTTTTGCATTTTTAGTAGAGATGGGCTTTCACCATGATAGCCAGGATGATCTCGATCTCTTGAACTCGTGATCCACTCACCTCGGCCTCCCAAAGTGCTGGGATTACAGGCGTGAGCCACCATGCCTGGCCAAGTTTTTTATCATAAAGGGATGCTGAATTTTATCAAATGCTTTTTCAGCATCAACTGAAATAATCATATGGTTTTTGTCCTTCATTCTGTTTATATGATGTATCACACTGATTGATTTGCATATGTTGTAACATCTTGCATCCCAGGGATAAATTCTACTTGTTCACGATGAATTATCTTTCTAATTATTATTGAATTCAGTTTGATAGTCTTTTGTTGAGAATTTTTGCATCAATATCCATGAGAGATACTGGCCTGTAGTTTTCTTTTTTTGATGTGTCTTTGTCTGGTTTTGGTATCAGGGTAATACTGGCCTCATAGAATGAGCTTGGAAGTATTATTTCCTCCTCTATTTTTCAGAATAGTTTGAGTAGGATTGGTATGAGTTCTTTAAATGTTTGGCAGAATTCAGCAGTGAAGCCATCAGGTCCTGGACTTTTCTTTACTGGGAGACTTTTTATTATAGCTTTGATCTTGTAACTTGTTATTGGTCTGTTTAAGTTTTGGATTTCTTCCTGGTTCTATCTTGGTCGGTTATATGTATCTCAGAATTTGTCTATTTCTTCTAGATTTTCCAATTTATTGGCATATAGTTGCACATAGTAGCCACTGATTATCTGTTACATTTCTTCAGTATCAGTTGTAATGTCTCCTTTTTCATTTCTGATTTTATTTATTTGAATTTTCTCTCTATTTTGCTTAGTCTGGCTAAAGATTTGTCGATTTTGTTTAACTTTTTAGAAAACCAACTTTTTGTTTCATTGATTTTTTGTATTTTTTCATTTCATTTTTAAAATTTCTCCTCTGCTCTTTATTATTTCTTTTCTTCTACTAATTTTGGGTTTAGTTTGCTCTTGCTTTTCTAGTTCTTTAAGATGCATCATTAGATTGTTCATTTGAAGTTTTTCTTTCTTTTTTTTTTTTTGGTGTAGGCACTTATAGCTGTAAACTTCACTCTTAGTACCGCTTTTTCTGTATCCCATAGGTTTTGGTATGTTATGTTTCCATTATCATTTGTTTCAAGAAAATTTTCAATTTTCTTCTTAATTTCTTTATTGACTCACTGGTCATTCAGGAGCATATTGTTTAATTTCCATGTATTTGTGTGTATTCCATGTATTGTATTTGAAGTTTCCAAAACTTCTCATGTTACTGATTTCCAGTTTTATTCTATTGTGATCGGAGAAGATGCTTGATATTATTTCAGTTTAATTGAATGTTTTAAGACTTGTTTTGTGACCTAACATGTGGTCTATCCTTGAGAGTGATCCATGTGCGGAGGAAAAGAAAGTGTATTCTGCAGCTGTTGGATGTAATGTTCTATAAATACCTATTAGATTGCTTTGGTCTGTAGTGTAGATTAAGTCTGATGTTTCTTTGTTGATTTTCCATCTGGATGATCTGTCCAATACTGAAAGTGGAATGTTGAAGTCTCTAGCTATTAGTGTATTGGGGCCTATCTCTTTCTTTAGATCTAATATTTCCCTTATATATCTGGGTTCTCCAGTTTTTGGTTCATATATATTCAAAATTGTTATATCCTCTTGCTGAATTGACCCTTTATCATTATATCTGCTACTGATTTTTTTATGTTGATTTTGTATCCTGAAAGTTTCCTGAATTTGTTTATCAGTTCTAATAGTTGTCTTGTGGAGTCTTTAGGTTTTTCCTAAATGATCTTATGTTTGGAAAAACCTAAAACAATTATACCATGACCTTCTTTGTCTCTTCTTATAGTTTCAGTATTGAAATCTATTTTGTCTGATATAAGTATAATAACTACTGCTCTTCTTTGGTTTCTATTGGTATGGAATATCTTTTTCTATCCCTTTATTTTCAGTCTATGTGTGTCTTTATAGGTGAAGTGTGTTTCTTGCAGGCAACAGATTAATGGGTCTTGTTTTTTCATCCTTTCTGCCAATCTATGTCTTTTGATTGAAGAATTAGTCCATTTACATTCAATGTTATTATTGATAAGTAAGGACGTACTCCTGCCATTTTGTTGTTTTCTGGTTGTTTTGTAGTCTTTTTTTCCTTCTTTCTTTCCTTCTTGTCTTCCTCTAATGAAGGTGATTTTTCTTTAGTAATATGACTTAGTTTCTTGCTTTTTTATTTTTTGTGTATTCATTGTATGTTTTTTTTTGGTTTGAGGTTACCATGAGGCTTGCAAACACTATCTTTAAACCCACTGTTTTAACCTGATAACAACTTAACACTATTTGCATAAACAAACAAACAAGCAAAAAGAAAACTAATAAAAACTCTACATTTTAACTTTATCCGTCTACTTTTTAACTTTTTTGTTTTTCTTTTTATATCTTATTGTACTGACTATGTCTTGAAAAGTTGTAGTTGTTATTTTTGATTGGTTTATTGTTCAGTCTTTCTACTTATGATGAGAATAGTGTGCATATCACAGCTACAGGGTTATAATAGTCTGTGTTTTTCTGTGGGCTTACAATTACCAGTGAGTTTTGTACCTTGATGATCATTTATTCCTCATTAATGTCATTTTCTTTCTGGCTGAAGCACTCCCTTTAGCATTTCTTGTAGGACAGGTCTGGTATTGATGAAATACCTTAGCTTTTGTTTATCTGGGAGTCTTTATTTCTCCTTCATATTTGACAGATACTTTCACCCTATATACTATTCTAGGGTAAAGGATTTTGTTTCTGTTAGCACTTTAAATATGTCATGTCACTCTCTCTTGACCTGTAATGTTTCCACTGAAAAGTCTGCTGCCAGACATATTGGAGCTCCATTGCATTAATACGTTATTTGTTTCTTTTCTCTTGCTACTTTTAGGATCCTTTCTTTATCTGTGACGTTTGGAAATTTAATTACTAAATGCCTTGAGGTAGTCTTCTCTGGGTTAAATCTACTTGGTGTTCTAGAACCTTCTTGTAGTTGGATATTGATATCTTTCTCTAGGTTTGGGAAGTGCTCTGTTATTATCCCTTTGAATAAACTTTCTACCTCAGCGTCTTTCTCTGCTGCCTCTTTAAGGCCAATATCTCTTAGATTTGCTATTTTGAGTCTATTTGTCTACATCCTGTAGGTACATTTCACTGTTTTTTATTCTTTTCTCTTTTGTCTCCTCTGATTTTGTATTGTCAAACAGCCTGTCTTCAAGCTCACTAACTCTTTCTTCAATTCTGCTATTTCTTCAATTCTGCTATTAAAGGACTCTGATATTTTCTTCAGTATGACAATTGCATTTTTCAGTTCCTCAATTTCTTTTTGATTCTTTTTAATTATTTCTGTCTCTTCATTTAATTTATCTGGTATATTTCTGAATTTCTTCTCTGCACTATTTTGAGTTTCCTCAGCACAGCTGTTTTGAATTCTCTGTCTGATATGGTTTGGCTCTGTGTCCCCACTCAAATCTCATTTTGAATTGTAATTCCCAATGTTGGAGGAGGGACCCGGTGGGAGGTAATTGGATCATGGGGGTGGATCTCCCCCATGCTGTTCTTGTGATAGTGAGTGAGTTCTCATGTGATCTGATGGTTTAAAAGTGTGTGGCACTTCCCCCTTCTTTCTCCTGCCACCATTAGAAGAAGGTTCAGGACTGTTTTTCTATCTCTTCAGTACCTTTTTCAATGGTATGAAGTTAAAAGCAGGTACTATGAGTGCTTACCTGATTTTTGGTCCTTATAAAGGTGCTTCTTCTGTGTAGATAGTTGTTAACTTGGTGTCCTTGCAGATGGGAGAATCAGTAAAACCTTCTATTTCACCATCTTGCTCCACCATCTCTCATGCTTCTTTTGCTCAACATTATTTCAGGGAGATTTAGCCTTGCTGTTGCATAGTTTGTTCATATTCATTGTTATGTAGCATTTTATTCTTCTTTTATATGTTTTTCAGTGAACATTAGCTATAAATTTTATATCCATTAGGTAAGCAAAAAATGTTCATTGAACCCATACTGGGGACTAGATCTTGTCTTACGTTCTGGGGTTTTAGCAGTGAATAAGGCATCTTACTCATATCCTTTCTCAGTCATCAGCGATGCTATCTCCACACAGGCTCACTCCTGGTCAGTTCATGAAGTTTAGTTTGCCAGGCTTCATTCATGAGGCAGTTCTGGCCTAGGTGAGCCCACTTGTTGGTAAAGTCTTGCCTTAGCCTCAGTCCACAGTGTCTTCCATGGTTACATTTCCTCAATCCCTACAGGGTTGGCCCAGATCTTATATCTAATCTGCTGATGTGGTTTATTGTCTTTTGCTGATACCTGTGCTATTTTGAACTTCAGCCATTTGGTTAGATTCTCGAGATTGCCTAGTTCTTTCCTCTCCCACCTTTCAGCCTCTCTAGTATCTTCTCCAGGAGTGACCTCACATAGGGAGTGACCTTCACACCTCTGTACTCTTAACTATGGAATCAGACTTGACCATGCAAGGATGCCTTGATCCAGGATGCTGGACAGCAAATGAAGGCTGCTGCTCCTACTTCAGCTGCTAGATAACCACTGTCTGGATCAGAATTTCTTCTATATTACGGGTAGGCCAAAGTACGTAAAGTATGCCCCATCTTTGAGAATTAGACAAATTAGACAAGCTGACCATGTACTCAGATGGATACGTTGTAGCTGGGTCAGTTTTTTACACTTCCCTCCCAGTTTTCTCCCTTTGCACACTTACCTTACCTATTTAATTCTCAGGGCTCCTGAAAATCAAGTTTCTATGTAGGTTATGACCTGTCCAAAGATGAACTGAGGTGCCTTGAGAAAGGAATTTTTTATTCTATCACGGGAAGTGTTTAGGCACAGATTCAATATCTCCTGGAATGATTGCTATTAAAAAATCCAGTGTGTGTTCTGCTCAAAGGGTATCAAGTTTAGAGCCCTAACTGAATTTCTTAATAGCTTTAAGATTCTTGAAAAATGTCAACTTTCCAGATGTTTTTCATCTATAGCATGTGTGTATTAATAACTCTCATAGCAGTATGCGCTATATAGATAAACTGAGATATGTGGGAACCTGCTATAATATTAGTTATTATTATCCCTTTTCCCTTATTTCCTTTGGTCACATTCTCCCAGGTCGGAATCAAGGAATGTCATGGCTACAGACAGGAGGAGAAGTGGGCTTGACAGCAGTACCTTCACAAAGACTTCTCTTTGAAATTTAGAGGTTTAAATTTTTGTTATTTGATTTGTCTCACCCATCAGAAGACACATTTTAGCACTTAAAGGCCCATGATCAGCCAGGCACGGTGGCTCACACCTGTAATCCCAGCACTTTGGGAGGCTGAGGTGGGTGGATTATGAGGTCAGGAGATCAAGACCATCCTGGCTAACACGGTCAAACCCCATCTCTACTAAAAAATACAAAAAACTAGCCAGGCATGGTGGCAGGTGCCTATAGTCCCAGCTACTTGGGAGGCTGAGGCAGGAGAATGATGTGAGCCCAGGAGGCGGAGGTTGCATTGAGCCAAGATCGCACCACTGCACTCCAGCCTGGGCGACAGAGTCAGACTCCATCTCAAAAAACAAAACAAAACAAAAACAAAAACAAAAAGCCCATGATCTATTAGAGAAAGCTCTGATCCTCTGATCCTGGAAGAAGAGGAGAAACAGGCTTACTCACTTAGGAAGCTTTAGTGTTCTTCTCCAATGGTGGAATCCTATTCTGTAGGAGGATGTGAAACCTACAAAGAGGGTCTAGACTGTTATGAATTTGAGATGGTTTCTTTTGGAATATTGAGTTTGACCTTGGCACTTTTGCCTCCATGATTGATACCTTACATTTGGGTACCTGGGAGAACATTATCCCATAGACTCAACTTGGAAAGACAGACGAGATCTAGTCATTGTGTTTATAGAAAAAGTAAAGCAAGATAATGACTAAATCATATGGCAGGGGGCTGGCAGGGGGCATACATGTCCAGGAGAAGGGGTAGAAAGAATATAAACTGGACAATGGTTAGAATATAAAGATAATTACAGCAGCATTTCATAAATGAAAAATACTAGTTTTACAGCATGTTCATACCATGTTTTAGGAAACTAAGATACCATCAATTATAAGATACACCATAACTTTATGTGCTTTTAAGTTAAAAGTATGTTGGCAATTAAATTATAATGCAATGCTTTAACAATAACAATAGCCCTATGAGACTAAACCCTCATTTCTTGAAACTCTTTGATCCATTTTGAGAGACTGAGCAATTTCTCCAGTCTTCAATTACATTGCTTGATGTGTCATAGGAAATATGTATCTGTTTTTCAGTAACAAAACACAATTCATGTATGTGTTCTTTCCTATGGTCTCATAAAACAATTGGTTGGTGCTTTTTTTTTTAAAAAAAAAAAAGCAAAAAAAAAAATAACAATTATGCAATTGCAGTTATTTCTCCAATGACAAATATTTGCTTCAGTAATATTTTATACCCCATTCTATTTTCATGCTTTTCTGCTTACAAAATAAGTTTTTTGTTTAAATACTAAATTATAGTGTACTCTTTTTAAAGATATTTTAAATAGCAATTAAAATTGACATGTGTAGTACCAACAAAACATATTACTCAGCTGCTATGATGAAAAAATGAACAGTGATGATCGTGTTTGTTTATGCACAGGAAATGACAACTACATCATGACTGTTACCAGCTAATAGTGATTTTAAAATGCCATTGGTTGTTAGATACAACCCAATGTTAAAATGTGATAAACATGTATGTCATGTTATCATGTTATGTTAACACAAATGAGGAAATAGGTAACTATTGTGACGAAATGAGTTCTATAGTCCAAAAAGTTTGGAAAACCACAGTTATGCAAGTTTCTTTTACTATCAGATTTCACAGAGACTTTAACATGTTAATAAGGACCATGATTCTTCCAGGGGAGCAGTGTTTGGCAAAATTAATTGCCCATAAGTATTCTTTTGAATCTCCTCTTTTTGTATCACTGATTTGAAGAAAACACTTTAGAAAACGCTTATGAAGAGGGACTAAAAATAAGAGCTGAAAAAATTTCAAGGAAGGAATTTTCAACAATTATGTTTGAGAGAAGTCAGAAAAAAAGACCTAAAAACAGGCCATTGGGTTTGTTAGGAAGTCATTGTTAAAATGCTGAGGATATTATTAGAGCAAACCAAATGTGGATTAAAGACAGATCACATGGAGCTAAAGGAAATGGTGGAGTAGAGTTAATTGATACAAACCATATTTTTGAGAAAGCTTGGCAATGAGAAATGGAAGACGGTAGCTCTGGTTCCTAGTGTTGAGTAGGCTTTCCCGTAGTGTGGCTCTGCTGGAATGAGATGAGTATTTCTATCCTCTCTGCTGGCTCTCAGAATCTTAGCTCAGATAAGAAACTCAAAAAGCCATTATCTCAGACCTGTGCTGCTCTCAGCATCCCTTCTAGTTCTGCTCTGACTCAAAAGCATTGCATATAGCAACTGCATCATGCAGGCTGCTATATAGCCTGCTTCCTTCTTGAAGGTTGTTACTGAACAATATGTTATGGGAGGTAATAACAATAACTGTTGATTGTAGAACTTGAGCCACTAATAATGCTGATCTATTAAAGATAGTTAAGGTGATAGTTCAACAAGACTCTGACTGCATGGAAAACTGATGTCCACCAAGCAGAGTGCTAAAGTGCTGAATTTCTAATTCAGAGTGTGGCGGTGATGCCAATATAGATCCTAGCTCCATTAATCAGAGCTACTAATAGCTCTCATCTATGAATAACAGTTAATGTAAAAACTAGGTTGATAGCCAGAATTTCGGAATGTTGATAAATATTTATGGTTTTGTTGAGGATTAAATATAGATATTATTATAGGTCAGATTAACTTCTGACCTATAATACATGGAGTGCATTAATAATGAGAATTGTTTTTCTTTTCTCCTTTATTTTCAGTGCAGGGCTCACTAATAGTTTATATTTTTTTCTACATTTGATAATAGGTTAGTCTTAATTTTGTAGAGGCATTGGGAATAGCAATTCACAGTGAATAGGATTTTCAGAGGAAATTCTGATTTGTAAAATAAATAAGATATTGTTTGCTAAATCTGTTGGTGCTCAGAAGGCGTAAGGACATAATCTTTTAAAAATAAAGTAAGAGGTAAATTGGGAGGAGGTTGAGGATGAAAGAAGGCAAGTTGGAGGGACTAAAAGCCTTAAATAAATGAAAGTTTCTCTTTGGGAATCCAACCTAGGAAATCAACAAGGAATGAATAAAACACTTTTTGAGAAGCAGTAAAGGCACAGATGAAATTTGACAGCATGAATTTATAATAACCATGTCACTATAGTGACCGGAGAAAAGCCATATTAATTTAAAAATATGACCGTATTTACAACTCTACTCAATATTACATGTCCATAAATTCATGTCAAGTCATCACATAATTTATTCTTTTGTTTTTTTGAGATGGAGTCTCGCCCTGTCGCCCCGGCTGGAGTGCAATGGCACAATCTCGGCTCACTGCAACCTCCGCCTCCTGGGTTCAAGCGATTCTCCTGCCTCAGCCTCCTGAGTAGCTGGGATTACAGGCATGTGCCACCATGCCCAGCTAAGTTTTTGTATCTTTAGTAGAGATGGGGTTTTACTATGTTGGCCAGGCTGGTCTTGAACTCCTGACCTCATGATCCATCCATCTCGGTCTCCCAAAGTGCTGGGATTACAGGCGTGAGCCACCGCACCCAGTGCAAACAATTTATTCTTATGCATCTATGTACATCAATGTATAGGCTGAGTTGAAAATGCATAATTCTTGTTCTCTATTTTAGAGAATAACAATCTGAAATAATACTACATTGTCATGGACAGATATATTGGCTATATATGAAACAAATATATGGTAGGTAACATAAAATATATGTTTCCCATGGAATGAAGTTAATTGGTGTACCCTATGTAGTAAGGTTACTTTGGGAAAACCTATGAGTTTGAATATTTGGCCTATTGCCTGTTTGGGTGAATGGAGTTAGCTTCTGAGGTTATTTTGATATTGTTGGTTGTGGTACTCTAGCCACTAATAATGCTGATCTGTAAAAGATAGTTAAGGTAAAGACTAAGTAGCCAGAATTTTTTAATATTAATGAATATTAACTATTCTGTTGAAAATTTAAAAATAGATATTATTACATATACATAGTAAGTTAATAATAAAATCCATGCAGGTCTTTAAATGCCTAAAATTATTTCAGTTTTGATAAAATCCTTTTTGAAACAGGTTACTTATTTCTGTGTCTCTTTTTTTTTTTTTTTTTTTTTTTTTGAGACGGAGTCTCATTCTGTCGCCCAGGCTTGAGTGCAGTGGTGCAATCTCGGCTCACTGCAACCTCTGCCTCCCGGCTTCACACCGTTCTCCTGCCTCAGCCTCCTGAGTAGCTGGGACTACAGGCACCCGCTACCATGCCCGGCTAATTTTTTATATTTTTAGTAGAGATGGGGTTTCACCATGTTAGCCAGGATGGTCTCGATCTCCTGACCTTGTGATCCACCCGCCTCGGCCTCCCAAAGTGCGGGATTACAGGCATGAGCCACTGCGCCCGGCTTCTGTGTCTCTTAAAATGAAAAAAATTGAGTGTAATTTAACATTTTCTTGATGATTCTGGGTTAATGTGTAAGCTTCACTGTACCCAACCAGTGGGTCTGTGCAGAAATCTACATGGAGGCATGTTTACTCCAACATGAAATGCATTTAGTGAGCTCAGTCACCTCTTGGCCAGTCCTGATCCTCTCCTTGCACTTCTAATTTGCCTTGTCTAATCTGTGACTTGCTTGAAAATAAGATTACTACTCTAGTTAGAATTTCAACTAAAATAATAGTAAAGATGCTCTGAGTGAGAATCTGAATTATTCTCTGTTAAAATACATGCATTTGACAAGATGAGATTAGGGAAAGTCCATTCTGATTGTGTGTATGGCTTTTTTCCCCTCTTATTTTCTGGTTCATTGCCATATAATGGGTAAACAAGTTCTGTATATGGGAGATGCCAATTTACTGATAATTTGCACCTAAAGTATTTATGCTTGGTTGGTAAACACCCTCTCTAATCCCTGCAAAATGCTTTAATGGTATAGTGAATGAAGAGGACATTATGAGATTTGCAATGAGGAAAATTGTAAGTTTTTAAAAAATTAGAGATGTTCACAGAAGAAGACTGCAATTTAATATTTATCTTAGGCAAAAGTATCATCAATGTTTTTATCTTGTATTTGCATTTTATATATACATCATTTATAACTCAAGTATTCTTATGGTTGGGTTTGAGCTGGCCGGCTAAGCTTTTTGTATATTAATATTGACTGGTTATTGGGTAATAGCCTACACTGCATGCCTCCTGCCATAATATGATGAAAAGTGATTATGAAAAGTGCTTTGGTTTCAAGTCTGGTGAATAAAAGAAATACCATTTCAATTTCTCCACAGGGAGATCTCCGTTGATATTTTAATTTGTGTGTAAAGTAAATGTACAAAAGGAGAAGGAAAACAAGGTGATAAAAACCTAAAGGAGTTTATTAATATTTAACATGAAGGAGAAATACTTACCCATGATTCCTTTTAATATTATGGGGCATCAGGGAATGAATGATCCTATATATAATATTAAAATATACATCCACATATATGTATATAAAATTAAAATATTTTGATAATATTTGATGAGCATAGTATTGTTTATCCAATTATTAAACCTCAAATAATTTACCTTATAAAATAATAATGAATGAAGACAATTAAGTAATTTTTTGGAAAGTCACAACATAATTTATAATATTAAAAAACAGAAATAAATAACAAATAAATAAAACAAACACATCTGTGATGTATTTGTCATGGGAAAACATCTGATGACAAGAAGAATGCTGAGTTAATGTGAAAATAACTAGACATAAAACAGTATATGTAGCATACCTCAATTTTATAAAAATGACTTAAAATAAATAACTAGAAATGAAGCAAATGTCAATAAATATCTCTGGATGGTAAAAATATGAGTAATTTTTATGGTGTTCTTTCATTTCTCAATTTTTAAACATTGTATATGCATTATTATTATTATTGGTGAACTTTTTCTAAATAGATTTCTAAAATTAGAAGAAAATTATTGCAAATAAAGTGTAGCATTAATTTTTCTAACATCTTAGATGTTAGAAGCTACACTTAAGTGTTAAGATGCTATACTTTAAGTGTAACATCTTGAAGTGTAACATCAAAGATGTTTTTTTAAAAAGATTTCATTTGAACTAAGATATGAAAATAAAAAATTTGGTGACAAGTTTAAAATTGGTTTGATTAACGAATACATATACTGAACAAAATTTATACAAAGAGCTGTTAAAAGAATACTACCCTTTTAATGTAGCATATGTGATCCCAATATCTACTTTTCAAGTTCCTTCACTGAAACAAATTTATTTTCAGAGAAGTGAATTTAAACTAAAACTAAGTAAAATAAAATTTGAAAAAAATTATTGAATTGAGCCATCGTCAAAAGCTCAGCATGCAACTTGTCTTATATCTCCTTAATATATTTGCAGCAAAAATAAGAATGCATTGAAAATCTCAAACAGTGTGCCAAGGAATCAGTTGTTGAATACTCAGTCACAGTCTTGGTGTCACTGTAAGAATGTATCACCTTCTGAAAATAGTCCCCAAGATGTTTACCTTCTGTGATTCTGCTTCACCTGCCCTAGCAACCGAGTCTTTCCTTTTCCTTTCATTGTGGTCCTAAGAGAAGTTCTAATCAGCCACAAAGAATTAGCACTAATTATTGAAGGAATTCTAATTGCTTACATTAGAAATAAATTCTATGTTTTAGGGTCTGGATAATGTGTCCTGCAATAAATTAAGTAATAATATATTATGATAATATGGAATATTTTTGGTTTGTCATTTAAATTTAAAAGACTGATTAATTGAATTGGTTAAAGCAACATTGTAGGAGGTCAAAATTGTATCAGGCTCCATCTATGGGTCTGAGAACATAAATTGACTTCTTATAGAAAACAGCTCTGTTCCACAGACACAAATTTTCCTTTTAACATCTGGTCAATCATCTTGCAAAGGTGTTACAGGTAAGAAGTGTCATTGAATAAGCAGAAATTCATGCTTATGCAAAAAAATACCCAACTATGTATTCATTTCTCCATTATTCTGAGTTGGATACTAAGAAAAACACAATCAGGCACAGCAAAGCTAAAATGCTGCAAATACAAAAAATATTTTATAATACCAGAGTTGGCAGGAAAAGAAAGAAATCCTCAGAGGTTAAAAATGATACATAAATAAATATAAATCCATAGGATTAGCAGACTCTGGAACTGGCACTTGACCCACAAGTCTCTGGTATCCCTGGTAGCCTGGTAAATGGGTTTAAATGGATCATGTGAAAGTGTCAGGTGCTCTAACCCAAGAATCAAGGAAGATACGAGGTCAGACCAGACACCCTCTCAAAAATTTTTGCTCATTTAAGAGTGATATTTAAGAGAGTGAAGTAGGAAGAAAAATACCCCTTGAAAAGAGAGAGTAAAGAACATGCCTGTTTTAGCCTTGGCTCTGAGGCAAAAAAAAAAAAGTCTCTCCTGATAATTCTTAACTTCGAATTTGTACTGCTGTAAGTTGGAGCATGAATTTGTATTCCTGTGTGATTAAAAAATGAACCAAAGCAAAACATAATTGTAGAATTTGAGCTAGAAAATGTCTCAGGCTGTTAATGACCTCAGACACCTGGCAGAAGCAAACACTGATCTTCTCTGAAGGAACACATTCTACTTTAAACACAGGACCCAAATGTTTTCTACAGATGAAGTTCCAAGAACACACACACACACTTAAACGTACAAAGAAACCAGCATGCATGAAAGTTGTTAGAAATAGCAAGCAATAGAATCAGACAATTAAAAATACAGAACAAAAACAAGTTTATACAGATAAGTAAACGTATACTAAAAAATACAAAAATTTACCAGAAATATTTGAAAATGACCAAAATAAACTTCTAGAAATAAAGAAATATAATAATTCAATTTATAAGCTCAATGGATAGGATGTAATAAGAGAGTCAGAAGACTTCTACTTTGTTTATGACATATTACATAATTTGGAGTAATCAATGCATTAAAGAAACTGTAAAAAAAAATAGGCAACTTATTTTTTAAAAAGGCATCTGGCCTGGTGTGGTGCCTTACATCTGTAATCCCAGCGCTCTGTGGGACCTTGGTGGGATGATCACTGAGCCCAGGAATTCAAGACATAGGGAGATCCTGTCTCTACACACAATAAAAAAAAAAGCAGCCAGGTGTGGTGGCATGTGTCTGTAATCCCAACTACTCGGGAAGATGAGGTAGCAGGATCTCTTGGGCCCAGAAGGTTGAGGCTGCAGTGAGCTGTATTCCTGCCACTGTATTCCTTCCTAGGTGACAGAGTGAGACCCTGTATCAAAAAAATAACAAAACAGAAAAGCATGTGTTTGAAGGCATTGAAAGGATAACAGAATAAGATTATTAGTTCAAAAATTTAAAGAAGATAGAAACTCAGAGAAGTGAGATGAGTATCTGGGACTAGCTTTGCTTTGGGCATCTTTAATTACAGAATGAAAATGAACAAATTATAGCTACCCACAATAACATGCCAAATGTCACAATAGTAGTATTGATATAAATGAGCTACACATGAAAGCATGAATACCGTATGATTCAATTTACATAAAGTTCAATAATAGACAAAATTAAACTACAGTGTTTAAGGATGCATATTCAGAAGATTCAAGACAATTAGCACAAATGTCAGGAAAGTGGTCACCTTTAGAGAATAGCATGGAGGTTATGATTGGGAAGAAGTGCATGATGGAGGGGGTTGTGTTTCCAGGGTGCTAGCAGTATTCTGTTTCTTGTCTTAGATGGGGGTTCATGCAGTAAGCTTTAAAACTGTCTTGTGTTTTATACATTTTTGTACGTATATTGTATTTTATAGTCAAAATGGACTAATAAAGAGAATTAGTGTTCTAGACGATAGGTCAGGAAAATACCTGGAAAATATGGACAAGAGATTAAGAAACTTGAAAGAGCGAGAAAGTGCAACAAATATGTAACCCAGTATCCTTCTAACAGGGAATATTGGTTACCAATATTCAAAGGGATGATGAATGAAAATTTTCCCGAATTGTATTAAAATTCTTAGATTCAGGAATCCTGATGAATTCTAAGCTGTGTAAATGTGTAGTCTTGTGGCAGTAAATTTGTGTGACACTAAATATAAAGATAAGATCTTGAGAGCAGCCAGAGGGAAAAGACAAATAATAAAAAATGAATGAGAGTGATATTGATAACTGATTTTCAACAACATCAATGGAAATCAGAAATTAGTGGAATAATGTCATCAAATACTGAGAAAAATAGATGTCAAACTAGAGTTATATATAGTGAAACAATATCTCAGAGCTGAGAGCTACATAAGTATAATTTGAATTCAAAATATAAGATCAAGAGCATTTATTATACACAGAGCTTCAGTTAGGACATTTTAGACAGTGAACTCTTAGAAGAAAAGGAATCCCAAAAGAGAAATCTGATGCACGATGAAATGGTGAGTAAAGAAAATGACAGATTTTTAATAAAAATAGTTTACTTTATAAAACAGTAACAAAAATGTCTATTATGTTGGATTAAAGTCAAGAAAAAAGCTAAAATGCTAGATAGTAATTGCATGTCAAATAAGAAAAAGGTGATACACGTTAGTGATCTAAAGTTTTTGTATAATTTACCAGAAATACAAAGAGCTGATTAAACTAAAAGTGTTATATATAAATGTTAGACTATATAGGGTAACATTAAAGGTACAGAAGCAGAGCATAAAACATCTAAGTCATTAATAAGAAATAAAGGAAAGAAAAAAATCTCAACCTAAAAGAAGTCAAAAAAAGCAAAAGAAATCCAGAACAAGTAGGTCACATAAAGTGTATACAATAAATTGGGAGAAATGATTCCAAATAGAACAGCAATCTCAATCAATGTAAATAGACTAAATGCTCTAGTTAACAGACGAAGTTTGCCAGACTGAATAAACAGAACAAAACAAAACGTAGCCATACTCTGTTTATAGCAAACACACCAAAAATATAACAACACAGGAAGGTAGAATGTGAAAGGATGGAGAAAAGCTACACTAGGTAAATACTGGCCAAAAGAAAACTGGAAAGCCACATTAACACAAAACAATTTAGATTTTCAAGTTGGGGAAACATTGCTAGAGCTAACAAGGCCTCTTAAATATTGATTAAAATTGGATTCATGAGTAAGATTTTATGAAATTAATATGATATTGAAACATATACAGAAAAGTTAAAAAAACTAGGATGAAATGACAAATTTGTTATCATAAGACATTCACACATCTGTTTCAGAAGTTGTTAGATCCATATTGATGAAAAATTATGATAAATACATGCTTAAGCTAATGGTTATGCTTAGAAAATTGCTGTAACAATGAAACAATACACATCATTTTCAAGCATATGGAGAACTTTTATAAAATTGACCATATACTAGACCATTAAGCAAATCTCAAAAAATTATTGAAAAGGGATTTCTTACAGATCACCTACACTGACCATAATTCAGTAAAGTTGTAAATCCATTACACATCTCTGAATGTATTTTGAAATTTAGAAATATATTTCTATATAACTTGTGTATTAAAAAATTATAATGAAATTTAGGAAAAAATTTGGATTCTATAAAAATGGAAATTCTACATATTAAAACTCATGAGATGCAGTTAAAGCTATACTTGGTAAGAAATTTGCAGCTTTAAATATTCATATTTTAAAAGACCATTTGAAAATAAACAAGCTAAGCATTCAAATACAAAATACTACAATCTAAATGTAGAGAATATGGATGAAAGGAAATAACTTAAGACAGGAGCAGATATGGATGAAATGAACATAAAGGTATAAAATACAGGACCAATAAAACTAAAGATTGGTTATTTGGATTAAAAAAAGATACATTCCCTTACAAAAGACAACTTGAGTTTAAAAGGAGAGAAAAAATGAGCAATATTATGAACAAAAAAGCAGGTATAATTATAGATGTAGCAGACACTAAAAAGGAAAAGCATATTATGAAAACCTTTATAATACTTTTGAAACAAAGGTGGAATAGATACATTTCTGGATGATACAAATTAAAAAATTTGATTCAAGGCTAAATGGAAAACTTAATAGTCTATAACCATTAACATTTTGAATCAGAGATCAAATGCCTTCCTATAAAGATAATATCAAGCCCAGATAATTTTACCTTTGAGTTCTCGAAGCAATCAATAATCATGTTATTCCTATCTTACACAAACTAATATTACATACTTAGTATATAACCTTAATATTGGAACCAAAAGTGAATAGTATGAGGAAGAAAAATTAAAAGTTAATTTATTCTTGACTATAGATGGTAAAATTTTAAACAACATATTTATAAAATGAATTCAGACATGATTAAAACATGGACTGTAGGCTTATTTCAGAAATGCAAGTTAGTCAACATTAGAAAATCTATTACTGAATTAAAAAATTAACAGATTAAAGGAAAAATTATAAACATTTCATTAAATACAGTAACAGTATTCATTTAAGTTCAACAACATTTCATGATAAAATTCGTAGAAAACTAAAAATAAAATGGGGACTTTTCTAACCTGATAATAATATCCACAAAAAATCTAAAATAAATATCATACTAATAAAGAAACATTACAAGCATTCTCTTTGAAAACATGAACAAAGCAAGATCAGTACTACCACACTTTATACCCATTCGACATTGTCCATGAAGTTTCAGTTTGTACAGTAAAACACACAAGAAAAGCTTGTTAAAGCAAACAAAATATGGCCTGAGAAGGACTCCGTACTTCTATATTTGGGTCCTTGTGGATGAACTGTAACCAGCTTAAAAGTCAGACAAAATTGAAATCCTAAATAGTATACACCTGTAACAATGGCTGAGTGCTGGCCAATCCCAGCAGCCATACTCAGAGACTGCTGAATGTTCAAACCGTGTTCAAATAAGGCAAACGTTGAGCTTTTCCTTATTTGAACGTTGAACCAATCCCACTGTTTCTCTACCTTCCTTCTGATTCTTGTATGTCACTTTACCTTTTTTGTCGATAAATTTGTTCTGACCATGGACCCCTGGAGTCTCTGTGAATCTGCTGTGATTCTGGGGGCTGCCTGATTCGCGAATCGTACATTGCTCAATTAAACCGCTTTGAACTTAATTCGGCTGAAGTTTTTCTTTTATCAAGAGTAAGGAATGGTAAGGAAGATACATAGTTTTCATACATTCATTCACAGATAAAACATTTGTCCACATTGAAAACCCTAAATAATCCAAGGACAAACTATTATATAAGTTTATCCAGTTTGCTAAATTCACCCAGGTTAATTTCATTTTTATATGCCACCAAACCCAAGTTCCAGAAAGGATTTTTATGAAACTTGACAAACTAATGCTAAAATTCACATGCAAGAGGAAAGGACCAGGAATACTGGCACTTCTGAAGATGAAGTGGTTTCCCCTACCCAATATGAAAAATTACTACAAAATGGTAATTTTAACAATTTGATATTGGCACAAGAATCAAATCAGCCAACAGAATAGTGTAGGGAGTACAGAAACAGAGCCATGTATTGATGGATATCTGATAGACTGAAGAGCTTGTATTGAAGGTCACTGGGGAAAGGATAGTCTGATCAATGCATGGTGTTGAAACAAAAGGTTATTTTATGGTTAGAAAAAGGGATCCTTGAATCAAACCATATCAAAATAAATGAATGAGTAAATTTGAGGTGGATCAAGAGTTTACATGTCAAAAGCAAAACTTTAGAATGCATTCCAGAAAAATATATGAGAACTATTTCAATGAGCTGAGGCTATGGAAGAAGAGGAGAGAAGAAGACAAAGAAATGGAAGAGAAAGGAGAGGAGGAAGAGGAAGAAGGGTAAACCTTAAAAAATGTATATAAAACTTCTCCTTATCAAGACAATATAAAGAAAGGGAAATGACACGCCAAAAATTGGGAAAAGATATTTACAATACATGCAACCTACAAATGACTGGTGTTTGGTAATATTATATGAGACTCCTGTGAATCATTAACATCAAAGCAAACAATGTAACAAAAATGGGCAAAATCATGAGCAAGTAATTCACAAAAGAATAAGCCTGAATGGCAACAAACATGTGGAAAGGAGCTGAACTTCATGGTAAGAGTGCAAATTAAAACCTAAATAAGTGCCATTTCACAACTGTCAGACTGTCAACAATTAAAACTCTGATAATATCAGTGTTTGTAAGAATGTGGAGGAACGTGCTAGAAAGGATACTTAGAACATAGTAGGCACTCCAAAAATGTTTCTGGTTATCTATTACTGTGTAACAATAACTTAGTGTGTAACATCCTAAACTTAGTGATTTAATATTTAATTATACTGATGACCTGTTAGGGACTAGGGCATAGGTTTACAGGTGCTTCTGTTCTAAAAGAAGTCACAAAGATAGAAAGCATTATATGAACACTAAGAAGAAAATTGTATGTTAGATTTGAGAAATTATTTTAGGACTCAAGGAGGACATGGAATATGAATTGGGCTGAAAGTACCTTAACAGTTGAAAGGCAGAGAAAGTCATGACTATACTGTGCCATAGTTTGTTTTGGTTGGAGGGAAGGTTGATATAAAGTAGTAGTGGGAAAATATCATAAATCTGGGGGCCAATTTCCAATTGGTCATTCCTGTCATGCAAGGATTTCTACACTCAGTGAATATTATCAAGTACCGACTTTGTGTCAGGACCATACAGTGTGCTGGGGATGCAAGAAAGAACTCCACCACTGTCATTGCCTGAAAACAGTTTACAATCTAGTGGGAGTGTGGAGGAGGGAGGTGGCAAATGGGTAACTAAAACACAATGAGGTAAGTGCTAGAGTGCTGTGAGTCAAGGGAGATAGGCACATTCACAGGAAGAGTATCTAATCTAGGGTTGAGATGGAGGTGGTCAGAGAAGGGAGGAGCTGACATGTTAGTAGAGAAAGAAGAATGGGTGCTGGTGAAATGACGGTTGGAGGAAGAACACTCTGACAGAAGGGACAGCATGTGTTGCATTGAAAAGTGCAGGAGACTGTGTCATGTGGGTTCAATTGCAGTTAGTTCAGTACAGCCCACTGGACTGTGAAGTCAAGGAAGGAGATGATATTGGGAAGTTAAACTTCATTTACAAGTCACCAGGCCTCTGATATAAAAGTGCTGATATAGACTTTATTATGGTGGCAAGAGGACTCTGTTGAGGCATTTTAAGCATGGTAGTAACTTGATTTTATAAAGAGTCTGTGTTTTAGGAAGAAGATTGTCACTAAAATTTAAGAGGATCTAAATAATCTAAATTGTACATGGTAAAAGAATAAATAGGAGTGCAACTGAAGCAAAAGTGGGAAGCAGAAAGACTAGTTAGGCTACTGCAGTCATTGATGAAGGAGAGGGTGGTGTTCTGGCTAAAGGGATGGAAAGAAGTAAATGGATTCAAGAGGTATTTAGGAAGCAGGAACAATAGAACCTGGCCATGTACTGGATATGGGGAGTGAGGGAAAGAAAGGAGTTAAAGTAACTCGTATTCTTCCATTGTGCAACTCAGTCTATGGTGATGCTGTTGCCTGAAACAGGGAACACAGGGAGAACCGAAGGTGTGGGGTGGTGGACAGTGATGACTAGGAGTCACTAACTGTTGCCATGGGAATGGATGATTTGTCAAGAAGGGTTGTAGAGAAGAGGACTAAGAACCAAATGGTAAGGAACAGGTAGAAGAAGACAAATGTGAAAATCAGGCAGAAAAGGAGGATTGAGGGAGGTAGCATGGAAGCCAGAAAGGTGAGCTGTCATGGAAATGAAGCAAAGAGAGGGTTTCCTGGTACAGGTGACTAAATGATTGTGAGAAATAAAAGGTTAAGTGGAAGGAGTCCCCTGTCCTTTAGCAACAACAGTTCTCTGGTGACCTTGATGACAACACCTTTTTTTTTTTTTTTTTTTTTGTGAAGCTGTAAAATGGAGGGGAGAGTGAATGTAGGCCTTTTCTTAAAAAAGACCCATGGCTACTACTTAAATAAACCGGGGAAGAATTTTGAAATAATGTTAGTAATATTATGAGTATTCAGGTGTTATTTTATGGATATAATTGTAGAGGGTTTAAACCATTTAAATTTTAGATGAGA
Source organism: Homo sapiens (assembly GCF_000001405.40). NCBI lineage: Eukaryota > Metazoa > Chordata > Mammalia > Primates > Hominidae > Homo > Homo sapiens. Next base: position 199,041,903 of record NC_000002.12, on the reverse strand, counting down.
AAAGAGAGCTAGGGATAGGGGATAAAGGGGAGTATGGGGTTACGTGTTTGATGAAAGCATTTGACTTTAATAAGCTGGTAGAGACTTGAACCACCTGAAATGCTGATGGGAAGGCCCAATAAATATTAAAAAGTTGACAATATATAGCAGTTGGACTGGATGATTGCCTATGAACAGACAGAAGAGGAAAGAATTTGTATACAGGTGGAGGAATTAGCAGTTAGAAACTGCCTCCATCGTGCCAAATTTTTACAAAGACAATATTCATTGTTACAGCTTTTATATTTAGATTGTATAAAATAGTTTCATCTCGATTTCACTATTTTAGTCCTTTGGAACAAAATCTTGGGCCATTTATCCTTGAACTCATTCATTGAAGGAACATTTGGGGCAAAGTCTAGTATGATTACATTACCCAAAGACCAAATTACAAACATGTAATCGAATGAATTTCCTTGGAGTGTATTTCTTTGCTATAGTGGCACTTTCAAAACAAATGGCACTTTGAAAAAAAGTTTCTTACTAATATCTAATACTATTGTTTTACGTACCATGAACACATGCTTAAAATGGCCATTTCTCAGTTTCTCCAGTAATCATTTCATTTTAATCAGCTAACTGCTGATAGCCCAGATGAACATCTTGCACGCAATTTTATTTAGCACATCTCTTAGGATGACTGAAGTGTCAGAACATCCCAGGTACACTGCTGTAGATGCCAGCTGCACTGGAGGAGTGTTGCCCAAAAACATCTGGAACATTATTCAGTATGAAAGGGAATAAATATGTTTATGGAAGAGATATTCACATCTGTGGTCAGGTTCTTTCAAAGATTTCAGATTTCATATAGTTTCCATCTTTTTTTTTCTATAGAACTTTTGATAGAATTATAATTTGTGGGTTAGATTATTTGATCAAAGAAAAAAGGCTAATATTTTTGGAGGCTGGGTTTGAATACTGTACCAAATAAAGCATTATGAAGAATAAGTTCCAAGAACTAATCTATTATCTGAATCTGGGAAATCTGAGATACATTGTTTCCCTTCTGTTTCCCTAAGGATTTGCAGGAAAAAGAGAGGAAATGTAATTATTGACTTCTTATGAAAGGAGAGGGATGGGCTATCTTTTCAGAACTATTATAATGCTGATTAGCATTTGCTGAACATCCATGCTGAGCTAGGCACATGCTAGCCACGTTGCATATGTTGTTACTTCTATTCCTCGTAGCTAGGAATCCTTGCAAGGTAGATACTCTCTTTCTCATTTTGCTGGTGGGGAAACTACTGACCAGTGATTTATGTTCAATGATTCATCTTTGATTATATCACTAGTAGATTTCAATCAACTTCTATTTGGCTGAAATATCTGTTCTCTTTTCACATATTCTGCTCCTGTCCAAATAAACTGAGGAAGAATTTTGAAATGATGTTAACATAATGTGAATATTCAGATACTCTTTTATTAATCTCAAGAAGGTTTAAAGCTACAGGCATTTTATTTCTTTTATATGTATTTATCTGCACATATGTATTTATAAAGAACACATATAAGGAGAGCAAACAAATGCCTGTTTTTATAACATACTGCTTATGAATTTTTGGATAGGAATAAAATAAAATAATTATTATTGTAACTGAAGACATAAAAGTAATTTGAAAGTTGTGCTTTATTTGTTTTTGCTCACTTTCATTCATTTTCAGTCTTAGAAGATGCTTATCTAGGAGATTGCTAACCAGTGCAGATGTGGAGGGCACAGCTATGATTGTTTTTTTTGAAAGACTGGTCTAGATACGCTTATTAACTATGATACATCCTTATGTATTTTATTAGTGACTACAATTTTCTTAAGATTATTGTGCAAATTTACTTATAGAAATTTTCTTCAGTTTACCTATTTAACCTGAGTACAGAGGGAAGAAGAGGCCCTGTTTAAGGCTTTGTTATTTATATCTGCTTTTAGTTTTAGATGCTGGTGCAGATGCCCCTCTCCTGACCTCTCCTGTATCGTTTCTTTTCATGAATTAGAGACAACCCAGTCTGGTCATCATTCTCTATGAAAATCCTTGTCTTACTTGCTTCAGTAACTTGCTCAAAATGCTCTTTTACATGTCAGATTCCTCATCAGTAAAAATAGGATACTAACACCTGCTGAGGTACGTTCTCATTGGGATTATATTAGATGTTACATGGAAAGGTAACTTGTTAATGCTTGGCACATATTAGGCATTCGGAAAGTATTTATGGAATGTGAATCAGAAAAGCACATGTGATTAACTTCACTCCATCATTATTATTTTTGTCATATCTGCACTTCATTTTGTCATCTCTGCACACCTGACTGGTTTTGTTCATTTGACAAACATTTAATGGGATATGAGAGCTATTGGTAGTTTTTTTTTCCCTCACTGAGCCATATATTTTTGTAGGGGAGACAGACAGTAAACAAGATAAATAAATAAAATATGGTGTGTTAGTTGGTAAGTTCTGAAAAGGAAAAAGCAGGGAAGGAGAAACAGAAATAATGGGGGTAGGGTTGTGATTCAAATGGGGTGACTAGGGAACTCCCTTGTGCAAAACTATTTGAGAAAGGACATATGAATAAAAGACCAAGTAAAAAGGATATTGATATGGTCTGGCTCTGTGTCCCCACCCAAATCTCATCTTGAATTGTGATCCCCATAATCTCCACAAGTTGAGGGAGGGACCTGATGGGAAGTGATTGGATCATGGGGGTAGTTACCCCCATACTGTTCTCATGATAGTGAGTGAGCTCTCACGAGATCTGATGGTTTTACAAGTGTTTGACAGCTCCTCCTTCACACGTTCTTCTCTCGCCTGCCACCATGTAACACGTGCCTTGCTTCTCCTTCACCTTCCACCACGATTCTAAGTTTTGTGAGGCCTCCCCAGTCATGTGGAACTGTGAGCCAATTAAACCTCTTTTCTTTGTAAATTATCCAGTCTCAGGCAGTTCTTTATAGCAGCATGAAAACGGACTAATACAGATATATTGAGGTGAGGAGATCCAAGCATAGGGAAGGGCAAGTATAATGGTGCTGGGGCAGTAGGATGCTTAACATGTTCAGGAAACAGCATGGAGTGTGACGTGAAGTGTTTTTAGCTTCCATAGAAAAGTCTGAAAGTTTTACTAGTATCTACTTTTCAAAATCCTCAGGGATCCAGCCTTCTTCCAGTCTCTCTCTCTCTAGGGAATGGTTATTATCCTCAGAGTCTAAGACGGTCCTGCCCACATTCTGTAGTCCAGGCTTAGTGGGAGAGTTGAAAAATAGTCAAGGTGTTCTCAGCACCTGTATTTTAGGGAAGGTTCTCAGAGATTGCCAAAGCAAATGTCTGCTCATATGTTATTGGCCAAAACTTAGTAGTCCCCTTCACTACAAGGGAGGCTGAGAAAGGTAGTCTTTTTCTCTGAGAATACATCTGCATAGTTAAAACTTCAATTACCGTGGAAGAAGGGAAAGAAGATATTGGGGAACAACTGACAGCCCCTGCTATCCTCCATGAACAGCCCCACCAACAAGGGGCAAGGTGTTGAACTTCAAATGTTCCCTCTAATGATTTCCTTTGAAGACACTCATGCCTAACAGATAAGATCACTTCCTCAAACAACAGTGAGGAAATGGAACAATGCTTGAAAATGGAAAAACAAGGTGATTTTACAAATGATGCCTACATTCATGGACTCACCTCAGTTCTTTTGCTGCTGAGAGAGATACCTCCTGGTGTCTCCTACACAACAATTTTTGCTCTACCATTCTATTTCAGAAATATGAAAAGTATCCACAAAAGTTTCTAAAGTAAGGAATGCTTTGTTTCATGTATATATCAATAAAGGCTTTGTTTAGAACAAGTGAGGAAAAGACATTTTTATGTTCCTACTATGTCTCCTTTTAAAGAATGAAAATGAAGAGCATAGAAACCACATATTATAATTGGTTCAGAATATTTTATAGAATTAATTTTAGATGCCAACTGAGTGCTTTCCTAGAAAGGATGGTTCTTTGACATTCATTTAAAAATATCTGACAAAATAGAAAAGAATATTGTTTCCTTTTTTAATAAGCATGAGTGAAATACAAGAAACTAAGAGTTTCCTTCAAAACCTTTTAAGAAAATAAAATATGCACACACCTCTTGCAGTTGAATTGAAATGGATATCTTTGATTTCTAGTTTCTGACCAGAAGGAGGGCCCAGAGAAGTCCCTAGATAAGCTCAGATTCGAGTAGTTCTGCTTGGAGGTGACGTAGAAGGACCAGCAGTCTCCCAAGAGAGCTGGTATTTTTGGCAGCTGCACATGCTCAGTTTTGTAAACTCAGATGATTTATAGAAGATTCAAATAAGCATCTGAATTTTTGTATTAGATATACTGAACCTGAACTCTGAACTTTCAGATATCCACCCATTCTTGCCTCTCAGTGTCTCCTCACTGTGTGTTCTTCTTTGGAAGAGGAGATTGGCCTTTTTATGACCTACTTGACTTCTCACCCTCTGATTCATGTTCTATTCTCCATCTAATTCCATCTGTCTAATGTACAAAACCCAGTAACTCATGTGTCCAGTGCCTCTCTAGTGTTTAAATATTCTTTTTCATATCCCCAGTTGTCAGTAATTCTCTTTCCATAAAGTCTGTAATTTGAGGGTGAAGTAGAATGGTTTGTTTTTTCTAAAAGCATTCTCAGTTCTTAAGAGTTCTATAATTGAATAGGTCTTGCAACAGAATCAATTCTTGGAAAGGTTTTTTTTTTTTTTTTATGTCTTGTTTTATTGGACTTGTTTTGTTGTTCATGTAAAAGACCTAAACCCCAAATTTAGGTTCAATAATGTTAAATTGTCACTGCTTATATTGTAATGGCTCTGCCTTAAAGACCTATAAAACAAAGTGTATTCTTGTACAATGCTTAGTCAGCCACCCTTTTAGTAGTTACCAGAACCTTTTCTTCTTTTCTTTTCCATTAGCACAAACATTTTGTCTTTATCACATTGAGAGTGATAAAATTAGCCATTAAGCAAAATTTAGTCTTTTTCACCACAGAAATCTCTTCTTCTCCCCACATCATACCTTTTGGCCTTTTTTCCCCCATTCTTTTACAGTTCGATTGAAATATTCTTTAAGGACTGGTGAACCACGTGTGGTATCTCCAATAAATATTGTTATTAGAACTTGTGCCTGGTCAAGATGAATTTAATGCACATTATTTAAACATCTAGCATTTAAGCTGATAATGATTTAGAGAGAGCTTGTTGATTAACAGTATTTGCCTTTAGAGAGAATTACATTTAAGTTCATTAACTGACATAGCTTTGCATGCATCAATGGTTGGGTGGTGTCAGCATTTATGAAGAGTACTATGCAGTGTTCTCGCAAGCTGATATTTTTAATACTTGTTGTTAGACTTAGAGATTAAATATCTTTCCCCTATTTTAGTCTCCATAATTTCCTTATTTTAGTAAACCTTATTTTAGTAAACATGTTTTCTTTCTCATTACAAAAGCAATCCCCATCCGTTATGGGGATTTTGAAGAATTCAGAAAAGTTTAAAGAAGAAAGTAATAGATCATTGCCACTGAGAAAAAAAAATGGATGGCATCAATAAAATACTGTAATTTTCAGAACAGTTATTCCTTTCTGAGTCATATTTTTGTTTTGTTCTGGAGCTATCATTTATTTTTTATTTAAAAAACACTTTCACTCACAGCTTTTTATTCTACAGAATCAAGTGGACTACTTGGATTCAAATCCTGGTTCTGACACTTGCCAATCCTATTAATTTGAGCAAATTTATTTTTTTAATTTAACTAATTATTTTTTATTTTATTTATTTATTTTTTATTTTTTTGAGATGGAGTCCCACTCTGTCGCCCAGGCTGGAGTGCTCTGATGCAATCTCGGCTTACTGCAACCTCCGCCTCCCAGGTTCAAGCAATTTTCCTGCCTCAGCCTCCCAAGTAGCTGGGATTACAGGTGTGTGCCACCACACCCAGCTAACTTTTTGTATTTTAGTAGAGACGGTGTTTCACCATGGTGGCCAAGATGGTCTCGATCTCCTGACCTCAGGTGATCCTCCCGCCTCGGCCTCCCAAAGTGCTGGGATTACAGGCGTGAGCCACCACGCCCGCAAGCAAATTTCTTAAACTCTTTATGTTTTAATTTTTTTTGGTATAAACCAGAATAAAATATACCTTTTTTAAAATTATTATACTTTAAGTTCTGGGATACAAGTGCAGAATGTGCAGGTTTGTTACACAGGTATACACATGCCATGGTAGTTTGCTGTACCCATCAACCCATCATCTACATTAGATATTTCTCATAATGCTATCCCTCCCCTAGTCTCCTCCAGCCTGGCGACAGGCCCTGGTGTGTGATATTCCCCTCCCTGTGTCCATGTGTTCTCATTATTCAACTTCCACTTATGAGTGAGAACATGCGGTGTTTGGTTTTCTATTTCTCTGTTAGTTTGCTGAGAATGATGGTTTCTAGCTTCAATAGGGTTATTGTGAGAAGTATATAAACTAGTACAGGTTAAGTAATGAGAACACTGCCTGGCATGTGCTAAACACTGTGGTTAGTTTTTGCTATTATCATTATGTAAGGGGAAAAAACAGCTACAGCTGGAGTTTTGTGTTCTGTTAGACAAAAGAATATAACAAATCTTTGTGTCCAACACAAGTGTTATAAAATGGGCTGTCCTATGTTCATCTTTTCCATCTTCCTTCCTATCTCAAGTAAAAAAACGTATCACTCAGCCTTCCTTACCAACATTAATGAACAATGAGGTATTAGTGGAAGTTGCTGGATGTGATTTCTGTGAAAATTCTTCGTCCCAAGCCATTTTCCTCTCTTCTGCTTCCTGGAGGGTGGCTGTAATGACTAGAGCTGCAGTAGCCTTCTCAGATCGTGAGGCAGTTTTAAAGATGTTGGAGCAGAAAGACCGAAGGACCTGGGCTCATGATGACAAAGAAACCCACATACCAGCTTTGGTTGATCAACCATTGTACTTCTTTTATATGAGACAGAAGCCTGGACTTCCATTAACAACACCAGAATGTACTTTATAATTGATACATTGAATAAATAATCAACACATAAGGTTTTCAGATTATTTTCCAAGGTCTTTCCCACTTTTTGTCTGACAAGAGATAGCATTGCTTATAGGGCTCCATACATTGCCTTCCTATTCTTTCTGAACTTTTCACCTATTAATGTTGTATTCTTCTCATTTTGTCTCAGATTCTAACAGGAATTCATATTGGGGAGAATTGTTCCTGTCTTTTTTTTCCTGATTTTTATTTTATTTTATTATGCTTTAAGTTGTAGGGTACATGTGCACAATGTGCAGGTTTGTTACATAGGTATACATGTGCCATGTTGGTTTGCTGCACCCAGCAACTCATCATTTACATCGGGTATTTCTCCTAATGCTATCCCTCCCCCAGCCCCCCACCCCCTGACAGGCCCCGGTGTGTGATGTTCCCCACCCTGTGTCCAAGTGATCTCATTGTTCAATTCCTACCTGTGAGTGAGAACATGCAGTGTTTGGTTTTCTGTCCTTGTGATAGTTTGCTGAGAATGGTGGTTTCCAGCTTCATCCATGTCCCTGCAAAGGACATGAACTCATCCTTTTTTAAGCCTGCATAAAAAAGGTGTATATGTGCCACATTTTCTTCATCCAGCCTATCATTGATGAACATTTGGGTTGGTTCCAAGTCTTTGCTATTGTGAATAGTGCTACGATAAACATACATGTGCATGTGTCTTTATAGTAACATAATTTATAATCCTTTGGTTATATAACCAGTAATGGTATTGCTGGGTCAAATGGTAATTCTAGCTCTAGATCCTTGAGGAATTGCCACATTGTCTTCCACAATGGTTGAACTAATGTACACTCCCGCCAACACTGTAAAAGCATTCCTATTTTCTCCACATCCTGTCCAGTGTCTGTTGTTTCCTGACTTTTTAATGATTGCCATTCTAACTGGCGTGAGATGGTATCTCACTGTGGTTTAGATTTGCATTTCTCTGATGACCAGTGATGATGAGCATTTTTTCATGTATCTGTTGGCTGCATAGATGTCTTCTTTTGAGAAGTGTCTGTTCAAATCCTATGCCTACTTTTTGATGGGGTTGTTTTTTTCTTGTAAATTTGTTTGAGTTCTTTGTAGATTCTTAGACCTTTGTCAGATGGGTAGATTGCAAAAATTTTCCCCATTCTGTAGGTTGCCTGTTCACTCTGATGGTAGTTTCTTTTGCTATGCAGAAGCTCTTTAGTTTAATTAGATCCCATTTGTCAATTTTGGCTTTTGTTGCCATTGCTTTTGGTGTTTTAGTCATGAAAACTTTGCCCATGCCTATGTCCTGAATGGTATTGCCTAGGTTTTCTTCTAGGGTTTTTATGATTTTAGGTCTAACATTTAAGTCTTTAATCCATCTTGAATTAATTTTTGTATAAGGTGTAAGGAAGGGATCCAGTTTCAACTTTCTACATATGGCTAGCCAGTTTTCCGAGCACCATTTGTTAAATAGGGAATACTTTCCCCATTTCTTGTTTTTGTCAAGTTTGTCAAAGATCAGATGGTTGTAGATGTGTGGTGTTATTTCTGAGGCCTCTGAGCCTCTGACCTATTCCATTGGTCTATATATCTGTTTTGGTACCAGTGTCATGCTGTTTTGGTTACTGTAGCCTTGTAGTATAGTTTGAAGTCAGGTAGCATGATGCCTCTAGCTTTGTTCTTTTTGCATAGGACTGTCTTGGCAATACAGGCTCTTTTTTGGTTCCACATGAACTTTAATGTAGTTTTTTCCAATTCTGTGAAGAAAGTCATTAGTAACTTGATTTGTGGGGGCGGATGGCATTGAATCTGTAAATTACTTTGGGCAGTATGGCCATTTTCATGCTATTGATTCTTCCTATCCATGAGTATGGAATATTCTTCCATTTGTTTGTGTCCTCTTTTATTTCACTGAGCAGTGGTTTGTAGTTCTCCTTGAAGAGGTCCTTCACGTCCCTTGTAAGTTGGATTCCTAGGTATTTTGTTCTCTTTGTAGCAACTGTGAATGGGAATTCACTCATGATTTGGCTCTCTGTTTCTCTGTTAATGGTGCATAAGAATGCTTGTGGTTTTTGCACCTTGATTTTGTATCCTCAGACTTTGCTGAAGTTGCTTATCAGTTTAAGGAGATTTTGGGCGGAGATGACAGGGTTTTCTAAATATACAATCATGTCATCTGCACACAGGGACATTTTGACTTTCTCATTTCCTAATTGAATACCCATTATTTCTTTCTCTTGCCTGATTGCCCTGGCCAGAACTTCCAACACTATGTTGAATAGGAGTGGTGAGAGAGGGTATCCCTGTCTTGTGCCAGTTTTCAAAGGGAATGCTTCCAGTTTTTGCCATTCAGTATGATATTGGCTGTGGGTTTGTCATAAATAGCTCTTATTATTTTGAGATATGTTCCATCAATACCTAGTTTATTGAGAGTTTTTAGCATGAAGGGCTGTTGAATTTTGTCAAAGGTCTTTCCTGCATCTATTGAGATAATCATGTGGTTTTTGTCATTCGTTGTGTTTATGTGATGGTTTACTGATTTGCATATGTTGAACCAGCCTTGCATCCCAGGGATGAAGCCGACTTGATCATGGTGGATAAGCTTTTCATGTGCTCCTGAATTCGGTTTGCCAGTAATTTAATGAGAATTTTCGCATTGATGTTCATCAGGGATATTGGTCTAAAATTCTCTTTTTTTGTTGTGTCTCTGCCAGGCTTTGGTATCAGGATGATACTGGCCTCATAAAATGAGTTAGGGAGGATTCCCTCTTTTTCTATTGATTGGCATAGTTTCAGAAGGAATGGTACCAGCTCCTCTTTGTACCTCTGGTAGAATTTGGCTGTGAATCCATCTGGTCCTGGAGTTTTTTTTGTTGTTAGGCTATTAATTATTGCCTCAATTTCAGAGCCTGTTATTGGTCTATTCAGAGATTCAACTTCTTCCTTGTTTAGTCTTGGGAGGGTGTATGTGTCCAGGAATTTATCCATTTTTTCTAGATTTTCTAGTTTATTTGCATAGAGGTGTTTATAGTATTCTCTGATGGTAGTCTGTATTTCTGTGGGATCAGTGGTGATATCCCCTTTATCATTTTTTATTGCGTCTATTTGATTCTTCTCTCTTTTCTTCTTTATTAGTCTTGCTAGTGGTCTATCAATTTTGTTGATCTTTTTAAAAAAACCAGCTCCTGGATTCATTGATTTTTTGAAGGTTTTTTTGTGTTTCTGTATCTCTCAGTTCTGCTCTGATCTTAGTAACTTCTTGCCTTCTGCTAGCTTTTGAATTTGTTTGCTCTTGCTTCTCTAGTTCTTTTAATTGTGATGTTAGGGTGTCAACTTTAGAACCTTCCTTCTTTCTCTTGTGGGCATTTAGTGCTATAAATTTCCCTCTACACACTGCTTTAAATGTGTCCCAGAGATTCTGGTATGTTGTGTCTTTGTTCTCATTGGTTTCAAAGAACATATTTATTTCTGCCTTCATTTTGTTATTTACCCAGTAGTCATTCAGGAGCAGTTTGTTCAGTTTCCATGCAGTTGTGCAGTTTTGAGTGAGTTTCTTAATCCTGAGTTCTAATTTATTGCACTGTGGTCTGAGAGACAGTTTGTTATATCTGGTCTTTTACATTTGCCGAGGAATGCTTTACTTGCAATTATGTGGTCAATTTTAGAATAAGTGTGATGTGATGCTGAGAAGAATGTATATTCTGTTGATTTGGGGTGGAGAGTTCTGTAGATGTCTATTAGGTCAGCTTGTTGCAGAGCTGAGTTCAGGTCCTGAATATCCTTGTTAAGCTCTGTCTCATTGATCTCTCTAATATTGACAGTGGGGTGTTAAAGTCTCCCTTTATTATTGTGTGGGAGTCTAAGTCTCTTTTTAGGTCTCTATGGACTCACTTTATGAATCTGGGTGCTACTGTATTGGGTGCTTATATATTTATCATATTCTTGTTGTATTGATCCCTTTACCATTATGTAATGGCCTTCTTTGTCTCTTTTGATCTTTGTTGGTTTAAAGTCTGTTTTATCAGAGACTAGGATTGCAACCCCTGCTGTTTTTAACTTTCTGTTTGCTTGGTAGATCTTCCTTCATCTCTTTATTTTGAGCCTATGTGCATCTTTGCATGTGAGATGGGTCTCCTGAATACAGCACACTGATGGGTCTTGACTCTTTATCCAATTTGCCAGTCTGTGTCTTTTAATTGGGGCATTTAGCCCATTTACATTTAAGGTTAATATTGTTATGTGTGAATTTGATCCTGTCATTATGATGTTCACTCATTATTTTACCTGTTAATTGATGCAGTTTCTTCATAGCATTGATGGTCTTTACAATTTGGCATGTTTTTCAGTGGCTGGTACTGGTTGTTTCTTTCCATGTTTAGTGCTTCCTTTAGGAGCTCTTGTAAGGCAGGCCTAGTGGTGACAAAATCTCTCAGGATTTGCTTGTCTGTAAAGGATTTTATTTCTCCTTCACTTATGAAGCTTAGTTTGGCTGGATATGAAATTCTGGGTTGAAAATTATTTTCTTTAAGAATGTTGAATATTGGCCCCACTCTCTTGCTGAGAGATCCGCTGTTAGTCTGATGGGCTTTCCTTTGTGGGTAACTTGACCTTTCTCTCTGGCTACCTTTAACACTTTTTCCTTCATTTCAACCTTGGTGAATCTGACAACCCAATCTGTGTCTTGGGGTTGCCCTTCTCAAGGAGTATCTTTGTGGTGTTCTCTGTATTTCCTGAATTTGAATGTTGACCTGCCTCGCTAGATTGGGGAAGTTCTCCTGGGTAATATCCTGAAGAGTGTTTTCCAACTTGGTTCCGTTCTCCCTGTCACTTTCAGGTACACCAATCAAACATAGATTTGGTCTTTTCACATAGTCCCATATTTCTTGGAGGCTTTGTTCATTTCTTTTTACTCTTTTTTCTGTAATCTTGTCTTCTCACTTTATTTCATTAATTTGATCTTCAATCACTGATACCCTTTCTTCCACTTGATTGAATCTGCTATTGGAACTTGTGCATGTGTCGCGAAGTTCTTGTGCCATGTTTTTCAGCTCCATCAGTCATTTAAGGTCTTCTCTACAGTGTTTATTCTAGTTAGCCATTCTTCTAATCTTTTTTCAAGGTTTTTAGCTTCCTTGCAATGGGTTCGAATATCCTGCTTTAGCTTGGTGAAGTTTGTTATTACCAGCCTTCTGAAGCCTACTTCTGTCAGCTTGTCAAAGTCATTCTCCATCCAGCTTTGTTCCACTGCTGGTGAGGAGCTGCAGTCCTTTGGAGGGGAAGAGGCGCTCTGATTTTTAGAAATTTTAGCTTTTCTGCTCTGGTTTCTCCCCATCTTTGTGGTTTTATCTACCTTCGTTCTTTGATGTTGGTGACCTACAGATGGGGTTTTGGTGTAGATGACCTTTGTGTTGATGTTGATGCTATTCTTTTCTGTTGGTTAGTTTTCCTTCTAACAGTCAGGTCCCTCAACTGCAGGTCTGTTGGAGTTTGCTGGAGTTCCACTCGAGACCCTGTTTGCCTGGGTATTACCAGCGGAGGCTGCAGAATAGCAAATATTGCAGAACAGCAAATATTGCTGCCTGATCCTTCCTCTGGAAGCTTCGTCCCAGGGGGGCAGTCACCTATATGAGGTGTTTGTCGACCTCTACTGGGATATGTCTCCCAGTTAGGCTACACAGGAGTCAGGGACCCACTTGAGGAGGCAGCCTGTCCATTCTCAGAGCTCAAACACTGTGCTGGGAGAACCGCTGCTCTCTTCAGAGCTGTCAGACAGGGATGTTTAAGTCTGCAGAAGTTATCTGCTGCCTTTTGTTCAGCTGTGCCCTGCCCACAGAGGTGGAGTCTAGAGGCAGTAGGCCTTGTTGAGTTGCGGTGGGCTCTGCCCAGTTCGAGCTTCAGGCTGCTTTGTTTACCTACTCCAGCCTCAGCAATGGCAGACACCCCTCCCCCAGCCAGGCTGCCACCTCGCAGATTGATCTCAGACTGCTGCCGCTAGCAGTGAGCAAGGTTCCGTGACCCCTGAGCCAGGCACGGGAGAGAATCACCTTGTCTGCTGTTTGCTAAGACCTTTGGAAAAGCACAATATTTGGGTGGGAGTGTCCTCTTTTTCCAGGTAGTCTGTCACAGCTTCCCTTGGCTAGGAAAGGGAAATCCCCTGACCCCTTGCACTTCCCCAGTGAAGTGATGCCCCACCCTGCTTCAGCTTGCCCTCCGTGGGCTGCACCCACTGTCCAACCAGTCCTGATGAGATGAACCAGGTACCTCAGTTGGAAATGCAGAAATCACCCGTCTTCTGCATCGATCACGCTGGGAGCTGCAGACTGGACCTCTTCCTATTCGGCCATCTACTGCTCCTGTCTTTTTTTTTTTTTTCTTTTGTATTTTATTATTATCATACTTTAAGTTTTAGGGTACATGTGCACAGTGTGCAGGTTAGTTACATATGTATACATGTGCCATGCTGGTGTGCTTCACCCATTAACTCGTCATTTAGCATTAGGTATATCTCCTAATGCTATCCCTCCCCCCTCCCTCCACCCCACAACAGGCCCTGGTGTGTGATGTTCCCCTTCCTGTGTCCATGTGTTCTCATTGTTCAATAACCACCTATGAGTGAGAATATGCGGTGTTTGGTTTTTTGTTCTTGCAATGGTTTACTGAGAATGATGATTTCCAATTTCATCCATGTCCCTACAAAGGACATGAACTCATCATTTTTTATGGCTGCATAGTATTCCATGGTGTATATGTGCCACATTTTCTTAATCCAGTCTATCATTGTGGGACATTTGGGTTGGTTCCAAGTCTTTGCTATTGTGAATAGTGCTGCAATAAACATACGTGTGCATGTGTCTTTATAGCAGCATGAACTACTTTAAAGTTCATATGGAATCAAAAAAGAGCCCGCGTTGCCAAGTCAATCCTAAGCCAAAAGAACAAAGTTGGAGGCATCACGCTACCTGACTTCAAACTATACTACAAGGCTACAGTAACCAAAACAGCATGGTACTGGTACCAAAACAGAAATACAAATGAATGGAACAGAACAGAGCCCTCAGAAATAACGCCACATATCTACAACTATCTGATCTTTGACAAACCTGAGAAAAATAAGCAATGGGGAAAGGATTCCCTATTTAATAAATGGTGCTGGGAAAACTGGCTAGCCATATGTAGAAAGATGAAACTGGATCCCTTCCTTACACCTTATACAAAAATTAATTCAAGATGGATTAAAGACTTAAACATTAGACCTAAAACCATAAAAACCCTAGAAGAAAACCTAGGCATAACCATTCAGGACATAGGCATGGGCAAGGACTTCATGTCTAAAACACCGAAAGCAGTGGCAACAAAAGCCAAAATTGACAAATGGGATCTAATTAAACTAAAGAGCTTCTGCATAGCAAAAGAAAGTACCATCAGAGTGAACAGGCAACCTACAAAATGGGAGAAAATTTTCTCAACCTACTCATGTGACAAAGGGCTAATATCCAGAATCTACAATGAACTCAAACAAATTTACAAGAAAAAAACAAACAACCCCATCAAAAAGTGGGCAAAGGACATGAGCAGACACTCCTCAAAAGAAGACATTTATGCAGCCAAAAAACACATGAAAAAATGCTCACCATCACTGGCCGTCAGAGAAATGCAAATCAAAACCACAATGAGATACCATCTCACACCAGTTAGAATGGTAATCATTAAAAAGTCAGGAAACAACAGGTGCTAGAGAGGATATGGAGAAATAGGAACACTTTTACACTGTTGGTGGGACTGTAAACTAGTTCAACCATTGTGGAAGTCAGTGTGGCGATTCCTCAGGGATCTAGAACTAGAAATACCATTTGACCCAGCCATCCCATTACTGGGTATATACCCAAAGGACTATAAATCATGCTCCTGTCTTAATAGCAGTAAATAGTGACACATTCCTTATCTCAATAACCTGGTATTAAGGATATTAAGTGTAATTATAATTAAGGATATTAAAAATACCTTGAGTATTAAATAAAATTTTTTCACAAAAATTCTTTGTGACTGTCATGTATTTCCAAAGAATATATGTCAAATCATCACGTCTGTCTTAAAATTTGATAGTATTAGGATCTCTTTTTAATATAATTTTATTATTTTCTTTTGCTTCCTAATCAGCACATTCTTTTGTCTTTAGGTTGGAAGTTAGACTTTTTGTAAATCTACTCATTTATATCAAGTTGAAGAGAGATTTCCCTGAACACAGAAGAAGGAGGGCTTATGAAGATTCTTTTTTCTTTATTTTCTCTTTTGTTTTGGTAAGTGGCCTTAAGGAATCTATAATTCTTCAAATTCCATGGAAGAGAAACTTAACTAAAACATTCAGCATATTTCTTCCAGTGATTTCCCAAGTCATCTGCTATTTTGCTAATAAATATCTTATCACTTTGTCTCTTTGTCTGATAGTACATATTTATATTCCTTTTACCCCGTTAGCCTGGAACTTCCTCATGGGTAGGAGTTGTAACTTATCCATACTTACTGTACTTAGGGCAGAGCTTTAACATAAAGGAGATATTTAATAAATTTTTTGGTGTGTGTGTGTATTCATACAGTTTTTAAATACATATATAGATTTAGGGGGTACTTGTACGAATTTGTCACATAGCTAAATTGCATAATGGTGAGATTTAGGCTTCTAGTGTGCCTGTCACCCAGATAGTGAATATTACGCCCAGTAGGTAATTTTTCAGCCCTTACTCCCCTCTCTTCCCTCACTGCTTTTGGCATCCCTAGTGCCTGTTATTTCCCTTTGTATGTCCATGTGTACCTATCACTTAGCTCCTAGTAATAAATAGATGTGATATTTGATTTTCTGTTTCTGAGTTATTTCATTTAGGATAATGGCCTCCAGCTCCACTCATGTTGCTGCAAAAGACATACTTTCATTCTTTCTTTTATGGCTGCAGAGTATCCAATTGTGTACGTGTTCCACATATTCTTTATCCAGTCATCCACTGATGGACTTACACAATTTTGTTGCACAGGTCATTCGCCCGTGCACCATTACCAAAAGATCCTTTTCCTGAAATAAGGCCACTCTAAAAACTCTGAGGAGCTGGGTTTTTGAGTTTCTCATCCAGATCAGGTACCTCTGTGACTTAGGATCTGAACACTTCCTTCTTTACAATTGAAAGTTTGAGGGGCCTGAGCTCATTCATTCTGTTTTTGTCTTTCAGTGGGGCTGCACCAGAAACATTCTAGTATTTTAGTAGAGTTTCAACTTTTTTAAAAAAAAGACATCTATCTTGGGAGCAATGGCTTTTTCATGTACATTGAGAGGTGTTTTTTTCTCAGTAGATTTGAGAGTTGATGGCTTATTTCCCTATCCTCTCCCTATGTCTGTCTAGAGATGATCCATGTCCCTGAGTTGGGATAATATCGTCCACATGCCCACCCAGACTGTGATTATTGACGTTAGTGTGTGCACAAAGGTTAACTGTTGTTCCCAGAAATCTCAAGAGGATTTGTGGGATTTAGTAATCCTGGAATCCTGAGCTTAGTCTCTTGGAGATGGATCTTACATGAGGGAAAGCAGCTGTGTTATCTGTAGGTGGAAAGATCCACATTTAGCTTAAATCAAGTATTAGTTGCACTAACTCTTCAGCATTATATTGACATCAGATTTTCACGTTAATTCTGTCTGTCTTTCTCACACACACATTCCCGTTCATTCTGGCTTTATAGCAGTCGGCTGAATAGTACTCTTTTCTTTGTCAGAAAAGCAAAACATTTGTTATGGTGCTTAATCAAATCCCAGGATGGATGTTTGTATGCCTTTGAGTTCTTACAGTGAAATGTGATAGTTAACATTTTGGCCTATCTGAGAGGATGCTAGCGAATGTAAAGAACAAATACATTGATTATTATTATAGCTATCTGTGGATGTTTCTGCCAGAAATCTTTATATTCCACAAGTTTTTTGTCATATAAACTATTTCAACCATTGTTAGCCATCTATATAAAAGAAGAACGTGTAAATAATTAAATATCTAAAGAGTTTTGCTTGAGTGTTCTCTTTTGAGAGAAATGACTTTTTACTTAGCTCGTATTACTCTTATATCATCAGTGTTATTGCTATAAAATGCATTTTCTATGTGGTCTTTACTGTTAAATTACTACAAATAAGACTTACAGGTTGTTAACCTTATGTGCTATGGGCAAATCAAAGTCATTTTCCATCTCCTCTTTTTATTCTATTTATTAATTGTCATGCACTAGGCCCAAAAAATAATAAGAGAAGAGAAAAGAAAGGAAGGGAGGGAGAAAAGAGGAAGAAAGGAATAAAAGAAAGAAGGAAGAAAGGAAGAGAAAAAAAGTAAAGAACCAGTAATGAGAGTGGCTGTTTGGGAAAGAGGCTTGATTGCTTCAGGAAACCATTCTGATATACCTTAATGCTACCATTAATCACATACATCCCTTTAGTGGAAGAAACAGCATCACTTTTTACCTCAACATATATTGGCATTATTGAACTCCCTCATTTCCTTCAGTTCTTTCTCAAAACTTGCCTTTCCAGTGAGCTTTTCTTGGCTACCCTATTAAAAATTTGAACTCCCTCCCCTAATACCATATTCTTTTCCTTACCTTACTTTTGCATCTCAGTACATATAACTATCAACATTCTCTCAATGAAAAGTTGAGGTGTTTATCTGTTAATTTCTTATGCATTTTAAGCTCTTAGAATATTACATACATAATACATGCCCAATAAATACTTGTTATAGAATGAAGAAATGAATGAATGAATGAATGAATAAGAGGGGTAGTGAAAAATCAATCTTTTTTGAAATGACTGATATAAATCTTGGGTTCCTTGAAGTTTTTTCTAGCATGTTTAGTCACAATTCCTGTGGTATATTAAACCATTTGCATGATATATTTTTTTAACTTCACTCGTTGAATCTGGCTATTCTTAACATTAATATTCATTGCCTTTATAGTAAATATTTTAGACTCCTGGTATTGGGATTTAGATTTTGAGCTTCAAGTATCTCCATTAGTGAAACTGAAAGGTTGTTTTTGAACTTTTTATAAGAAAGACTTTGCCATGGATTACATTTCTGCTTTTTTCTTTCATGATTTATTTCAGCTTGTTAAAATATTTTGTGTCTTAATTATTTTGTACTTTCATTTTTATTATGCAAAATTATTCAGAATAAAACATGCATATTCTAAAAAAAAAAAGGTAACATGCGGACAGTGTTGCAAAACTCCAGGTGGGAGCTGTGACTGTCATGTAAAAATGACATATGTAAAAGTTATAAAATATACAACTAAAGTATTTGAAGGAGAAAGGTGTCATTTGGGGGAGATTTATTCTCAAAGTCATAAGAAAAAAAAAGGGAAGTGATTCCACCTGTTCCTTCTAGAGGTTCTCATTGCATTGCCATGTTTAATGGCAATTTATGTGCTGTATTACAAACAATTTAAATAAAAAAAAAAAGACGACAAGCTCTTGCCTTCTGGAAAATAGACCAGTTAGAAAAATGACGCACAGTTGCAGAAATAAATATGTTCATTGAGTTGTTAGAACCATTTAAGTTCAAAAACAGCAATAAAGGAAGGCACATAAAAGAAGTCATATTTCCTTTTATTTATTCGCATGATATATACTTAAATCTTTAAGAATCTATTCATTTATTCTATCTTGAGATAAAACTAATCTACAACAAAATGCATAATCTTAAGTTTACAATTTAATGAGTTTTGATAAATGCACGTAGCCAGCCCCATGTAACTTACACCCCTGAAAAAATTAGACACTGCCACTGCCATCACATCCCAGTAAGTACTCTCATAGTCTTTCCCAGTTATTCCTCCCCATCACAGTGAGGCAACCACTTTTCTGATTTTTAAAACTGTTGATTAGTTTTGTCTAATACTGACCTTCATATGAATGAAATCATGCTCCTCTGTGTTCAGCTTCTTTAGCTCAAGGTAACATCTATTAGACTTGTTCATGTTGTGTGTATTAATATTTTTTAGTCCTGAGTAGTATTCCTTTGTGAGAATATACTAAAATTTGTTTATCCATTCTCTTCTTAATGAAATTTGAGTGTCCAGTTTATGCTACTTATGAATAAAGCTGCTATGGACATTCTTGTGCATGTGTGTAGGTTTTATTTTTTGATATGTTTTTATTTTTTGGTAAATATCAAGGAGTAGAATTACAATTTCCAAAAAGTGAGTATATATTTAACTTTATAAGAACTGTCACAACTTTTTCCAAAGTGAATATACTATTTTACACTTAAGCTATCTATTTATTTTTATTGTGTGTGTGTGTTTTTTTAAAAGGAATAGACTTCTACAATCCTTAACAGAACATGGCCATCTGGGGTCTAGCTGCCAAAATCGTTCCGTATATGCCAGGTACTTTATAAAGTATTGTCTCAATATCTACTGTGCATGCTTTCTCCTGAATGAGAAAAGTGGGATGGTTCTGATTTTCTGGGGACCGGCTATGGAACAATTTTTTTTTAAACCTACATGTTAAAATGGTACTTGCAACCCACTTAGTAAGTGTGAAAATAAGAAAGTTCTAAATTATGGCTGTTGTGGGTTGATTAAATTTTACTGATAATTTGAGCTCACATTTCCATTTTTTCTCCCTGAGCTTTTAAAGTTTACAAAACCCAATATGTATCGTCACAAGCCACTTTAAGTTTTCCCATTCATGTTTGATGGATTTCAATATTTCTTACTTTTTAAAACTTACTGAACACATCGAAATTTTGTTTTTTAAGAATTATTTAATGTCCAAAAGAGCACAGGAATTTCTAACATCCCTTTCCCTCTTTGAACAAAGTTTAAAAGGAGTTTCATTCTGGAAGAACTTAACACCAGTTTTAAATTCACTACCCAGAAGACCTGGTGACATTGGTCATCCTCTCCCCTGCCTGTGCATCACTGTGGTGGAGCTAGAACTGTGAAGGCACAGTGAGGCTCCTAAAATGCATACGATTTCGCAAGCCTATTCTCACCTAAAATATTATTTTTCCTCAGAAATATTTGTGTTTGAGAAAAAGCAACTACAGGGCAAAATTTTGGAGGAAGGTTGAAAACAGGTACCATGGAAAATATTATTATTGATTTTTATAAATGTATTTGGCAGTGAATGTGTACCGAGCTATCCAATGTAAGCATCAAGATTTCTTTCTCCATTGGTAGTATAGCAGAGTCCTCTTTCAGTAAACATTTGCTTTTGGAAAACATAAAAGGTCAGTTTTGGCCAACTGCATTACTCCTACTCTGCCATCTGTAAAAAATTTAGACTTTGCCTTTTTGAATGACCCTTTAAAAATACACAAGACCTAATTCTATCCTTTACTCCCATAAAACTCCCATTGGACTTCAGTGGGAACATTTTAAAGTTAAGTTCTGAGGAATAAGGACATTTTACAATGCCCTCTTGTGAGAACTTCCTTGGGCAGAACTCAGCCAACTCCTCATTCCTCCTGAGAGAGTTCTATGGTCTTACTGGTTTTCGAGCTTCAAAATAGACTCTGTGCCATTAAGTGGTTATGCTTCTTGAGCACACACACACACACACACACACGCACACACACACAAAACCTCACCCTAAAACTCTAATGTTGTGCAACACTAAAGTAGATGGCCCTTGGTGCAGTGACAATCTTCCTGCCTCTGTTCATCACGTGTTGATTGGTAGATGTCAGTTCTCAATGCCCTGCTCCACATTTCCTTAGTGCTCCACTGTGAAAACATATACCATTTTTGAAGACTTAGCACATGCCAGGCATTGTACTGAAATTTACATACATTATTCCACTTAATCCTGTGAGGTAGGAATTACAATTCCTGATTCACTGTGAGGAAAGGGAGACTTAGAGTGGCTAAAAACATGCTGAGAATCACATGGTAGAGCCAATATTTAGACTGTACTCTCTCTGATTCCAAAGCCATTGCTTGTAATTGTTGCACACCTTGCATTGCAGTGTACCACTGCCCTTTATACACCTTAGCGGGGGAGAAGGTGGTTGTTCAGGGAGGGTTTTGCTTATATGCCTGTCTGTCTTCCTAATGAGATTGACAAACGAGATAGGGTTCTTGTTTTGTTCATCTTTGTATGGTTACAGCAGGATGCATAGGAGTTTAATAAATAAATCTTAAATTTAAAAAGTACTCCTTTTTGTTATCATAAAAGTTACACCTCCTTGTTAGGAATAACTAGACAATAAAAAACAGTATAACTCATTTCCAAATAACAGTATCCAGAAGTAATTCAGTACATCTTTGATAAATGAGTGAATTCCAAAAATTAAAAAAAAATACTTATAGTCTTGTGCTGCTTCTAATATATTTGTATGACAATAGGCACACCATGACCTGATTGCTTGATGTTAATTAAGCATGATTAGTGCATGATAAAGTCTTTAGTCTTCACAAAGCTAGAAAGTGAAAGAGAGGAAAAAAAAGCCCAAATATTTCTATGATCAAACGATTTTAATTCACAATATAAAGTTCCTGCAGTAGCATTTTATTTGAGACTATACATCTTTGAGTCACTTACATTTAAACTATTAAACTGATCAGAAGTACTTATTTTAAAATTATCTCTTTATGATAGGAATTATATTTCAGAAATTTAATAAAAATATCCTTGTATTTGTATGCCAGTTAAATAGGACTTGATTTAAGTGCTGTAGTTAAAAGCAGTTTATTGGTGAAAGTCTAGCCCCTAGTGGACAGGCGTCTCTGGTACACGCCCACACACTGAGCTAGTTAGGTACAGTTTGGAGGGATGCCTTCTTAAACCTCAAGGGCTTCAGAATGAAACCGTCTGCAAGACTTTTGATGTTAATATTTTCTTCTCTTTTTTTTCCACAAACATATCCATTGTATGTCTGGATTATAAGAATTTTATAATATTTTAATGAGCATTAAGACTTTTTTCCTGCATTATTAAAATTTCTTGAAAGCAGTAATCCTCTTCCCTGCTTAAAGAGTAAAGTTTCTTTCCTTTCTTTTCCTACTCCCTTTCTTTTTACTGTAAGTATCCAACATTTAGGCAACATTAACTCTTTCAGGATGAATTTAGATTGCACTTATAACTCCACTTTCCACACACACATATTTCATAAAATTCACAATTTCTTTTAAAACTAAAAGGAATTATTTTTAATTACTTCTTTTCACTCATGTAAGCGTGTATGATATATAGACATAAAAATAAAGTGCAAAAATTTAACACCCAAATAAGATAGAAACACAATATTATACCTGATATAAAGCATATGCAATCAGAAAGTTATAATTTTCTTAAGCTTATAAAATCCTTCTTGTTCTAAGAATTGTTATTAAACACATTTTATGATTCAAAGAAACCATAATTAGAGTTCTGTAATCACCTTGATGATCCTACATGTTTGCTTAGTTTTAGAAACTTAATGCAGAAAGACTGTGAATTTGCATTTCAAATACAGTCAACTCTGCTATAATATGACATATGTGTTGTAGGGCTTATGCACAAGGGGCACAACACTCAAAACCTTTGTCAGTGATACGTAAAACAAGTTTGAAATCTAACAAATATGAGAGTTCTCTTTTACACACATTACATGGTCCGGAAATACATAAATACTATTTTACCATAAATATGTCACATTACCTTGAAACAAACCTGAAGTTTGCTTGTGTAAGTGGGTGTCAGAAGTGTTGCAACTTATGAGTTTTTGTGAAATTGTAGAAGGTGGCTTATCTGAAATCAGCTGGAAAGTTCTAATAGCAGATGTGGATGGGTGTGACTCATAACACAGGCTGGTGAACTGAGGTAGCTGGCAGATGTTTGAGGAGCATATGTGTGTTTTGTGTATTCCTGTGTAGCTTGTATGAATTGGGTACAGCTTCCTGCATTCCTCTAGTGTAGCTTATGGACAACATGGTGCATACACAAATACAAAATTTGCATTGTCCTCAAATTATTCTCTACTATATAAATTGTGTGGGAATAAATTCACATTTCCAAAACAAGAGTTATAGCAAAACTGATTATATTCTTTGTCAAAGACCTGAAATAGAAGAAGAATTACTCATTAAGAATGAGAACTATTTAATGTTTAAGAAATGGTATAAAACATTACGCACAAGCTGTTCTAGACTTTGTTAGCCCCCGTGTGTTATATGTTTGGCTGTTACATTCTCAGCACAATTAAGTTCATTTATTCCATGTCCCTTTAAGTCATATGGTGGGTTTGATAGAATGTAAGTCAGGTAGGTATGGTTTTTGTGTCTCTTGACTTCATGCTTTCTAAAACTTTCCATAGTAAGATATAGGGGAACATGAATAACATTCTTTAAGTTATGGTTTTTATGTGTGTACAGATGGAACACATAGCTCAGATAATAAAGGGAGGGAAAATTTTTCCCTTTGGTCAGTTAAGATTAGCTTCACCCATGCTAAAATTTCAGAAGGTGAAAATATGAGTTTTTAAAATGCATTTCCAAGTTAGAAAAATACATGCATCTCTTATTCAGTATGAGTAGCCAAAATAAAATGTATCATAAAAGAACACTTGATTTTCTCTTCCAAACTTACACCTCCCCAAGTCTTCTGAATTCCATAAATAAGCAGCCATGTGGTTTCTCAAGCCAAAACCAAGGGTCATTCTTGCTCCCATCTCTCCATTATCCTGGTTTCATCATCATCCAATCTAACTTCTGTCAGCTCTGCTTTTAAAGTCCATCCAGAATCTGTGCATCCACACTGTCACTGTCATCTCTCACCTGACTGCAGTGCCTCTTAGCTGCTCTGCCCCCTTCTACTCTTTCACCCAATAACTCATTTGCTGCCTAGCTTCCAGGGTGATTAGAATTACAAATCAGATCACACCCTTCCTCACTCTGACCTTCCAATGGCTTCCTATTTCATTTAGGATAAAATCTGAATTTGACCAGGGCCTATAAGCTGTACATTATTTGGCTCCTGACTAAGTTTCTGACCTTATCTCCCATGCTTTTGGTTCAATCCACTCTAGAGATGCTGGCTTTCCTTCTGCTCCTTGCACAGCAGCTCTTCCCTCTTCTGGAATGTGCTCAGCTCAGTCTTTGCCCAACAGTTGTCTTTAGATCTCAGCTTCCATCTTACTTCTAGAGTATCACTCCCTCCACCATGACCCTACCCTTTTTACCCACTTACTAAATCACTCATTTGGTATTATATGCAGCCCTACTACTATCTGATATCATCTTGATCATTTTGTTTCTTTACATTTATTTTCTCTCTTCTCAAGAATTAAGGCCTCATGGGAGTTTGTCTTTCTTGTTTAGTACCTTAACCTTGGCACCTCTTCTAGTGCATAACATTTGGATGTTTAATATATATTTGTGAAAATAATAAATGAAGATTTAAAAAAGAGGGGAGATACACACAGATACACACAGTCACACACATATGTGTGTATATATGTATATACACACATATATACATATATATGTATATACACACATATATACATATATATGTATATACACACATATATACATATATATGTATATACACACATATATACATATATATGTATATACACACATATATACATATATATGTATATACACACATATATACATATATATGTATATACACACATATATACATATATATGTATATACACACATATATACGTATATATGTGTGTATATACACACATTATACATATATACATATATATGTGTATATACACACATATATATACACATATATATACATATATATATGTGTATATATATATAATTTTCCAGCAACGTAGGCAGAGTTCTGTGCTTTACAATGCAAATGCTCTCAGACTTTAAAAAATAGTTTTGAGTCGATGTGGTTATGTCAACCCAGTTGATGAAAATCAATGGTGGTAAGCATTTAGAGATGACTTACCATATCCAAGGCACTCCTTTATATCCTTTTCATATAGAAATTCATTCAATTCTTACAATAGCCCTTTGAGGTAGGTACTATTATCCCCAATTTAAAAGATGAGAACATTGAGGCCCTTGAGTGGCACAGATGGTTGAGCTGGGATTTGAACTAGGCAGCACTACTGTACAATCAGGTGACTTAGGCCCTGCGCATTCTCCATAGGAAGGACATCTGATTATATAGTCATGCTTTCCTAATATGACATGTACTATGCCTAACACCTAGAGTAGTGGAGAACCTCTAGTTTTTTTTTTTGTGGTTGTTGTTTGTTTGTTTGTTTTTACTTAACAGGATAAGAAAGGTAACAATCAGTTAACCACAAAAACCATTACACAGAAATTATGAAATGCAAACTTGATATCAATGTAAAGAGCCCCAAAAGTTATGCATATGCTAGAGTTTTAAAAGAACTTTAAATATGAAGCAATGTATTGATCAGTAACCTGTGGATTTGTTGGTAAATATTCAGTCAATCTTAGTCTGGATCGGGCATTGGCTGTCTTTTCTTGTTGGCTTGTAGCTTTCAGGAAAGACATCTGGAAAGTGGCTTGAAATTTATTTTAGAGGCCATAATGCCAACCTCTGTAGAACCTAAATGTGCAGAGAACAAGAGAAAAAGAGACTGTGACTTTCATACAGTACAGCAGAGGAAAAGGACTGGGTGGAATCTGTGAATAGTAGCAGAACTGCCAAAACCTGGAAGGGAAGCAGTCACACGAAGATGGAGTTTGCATCTATTCACATACTTGTCGGGATCTACCAAGTCTACTGAGTTGGAGTTTGGTGCCAGAAATCAGGAGATAAAGTTATTTTCTTTCTGCAACTTACCACAAGAAAACAGCATGTCTGAGTCTTAGTTACTACACATGTAAATGGTGATATTGTATTACATTTAACAGAATACAGGCATGGAAGCAGAATACTGGCCTAAATGCCTTCTTAGAGAATACTTTAACTTTCATGGACACAATTATAACATTTTATGGTTTGGAAAATGAGTACAACAATGGTTATGAAGTTGATGAAGACAGAATTGCCACAGAATTTATGGTAACACTGAGCTAGGAAACCTTGAGATGAAGAATTAGTCCTTGCTGTCAAACATAATTTACATATGATAAAAATAGGTGAAACCCACTGACAACTTCTGGGGCTGCAGGATCATGGGACTCTATAGAATGGACCAGGTGTTCTGAATTGTTCTTTTAATTTTAAAATTTGAAATTGCAAAAAGCCAATAAAATATGTCTTGGTATGTCTTCATTGCTTGCTTTAGTTTGACTATTAAACATAAGGAATTAAATTCAACACAAGAAAATTAAATATTAGAAAATTTGCCATTACACTATATCAAATTTATATTATCAAATGAATAAGAGACATACTCCATTGAATAGGAGTGTGGGACTAAACTGCTCTGCATGCAATGGAAGGGAATTTAAAAATTTTTCCTTGATGAATTGGGGAGGCAGGGTTTTATGACTCCTAAAATGTGGAGTGTAGGGAGCTATTGGAGAGGTAGCAGACTTACAAGATATCAAGATCTGAGAAAACAAGGTAGTAAGGAATTAACTTTGGCATGTGGCCAAAAAATTTCTAAGAATAGTAATTCTCAAATTCAGTTTAAAATTATCCCCTGATCTTCACCTTTCAGTAATCATTTCCTATTCTACTTACAACTTTAATAATATTTACAAATTACATTCTATTTGGAGGAGCAAGAGAGAAGGGCCCACATGGTATGGAAAGAAGATAGCAGCTGCAGAAAGTGAGAAAATAAGGTACAGAATTTACCAAGAAGAGACGTTCAGAATGAGAGGTGATAAGGAGATTCTATCTGCACACAAGAATATGTGGAACGTTTTTGGAGAGTTTGGGACTTTCCTTAGGACATGGGCTGGGGATTTAATTATCTTAATTTAATTATTAAAGCAATGAGTTCCCCAAATGCTAAAAGACTTGGGAATGTTCAGGCAGCAGACACTTTGGATTATATATGTAAATATTTGTATTATGAATTTTTTTTTAGAATACTTCCAGCAAAAGCATCATATAGCCAAGAAAAGTAATTTGGGGAGACATAAAATATAACAGGATGTATCTTCTCTGCATCCATACACCCTACGTCTGGCAAAAGTCATTAGGAGATTCATTCCTTCCTGTATTTGGTCCATGTGGATGGATAGAGCATTGCTATTTTCTCCAAGGATGGAACATGTAATTTAGGCCCAAGACAATCAATAATTTTAATCCCTTGGCCACAGCAGCTGGTTAGAAATATAGACACTGACCCAATTGGCATCACTGAAATACAAGGAATTTTCTGAGACTTCCAGGAAATCTATATTGCACTTTCCCCTAGATCTAAATCTTGCAGTGGATTTATATTCAGGATCGATTTAGTAACAAAATAGTAGCAGCAGCTTGAGACCCTGCTGCCAGTATTTTGTTCCATGTGGAGCCTAGTGAAGCCTTTGGAACAGCAGCTACAACCAGAGAGAGTGATAATGCAACCAGTGATGGGAACACAGGTAAAGGAGAATTTAAGCGAGGGAAGGGACAACAGAGCGGGGAAACTCAAATATCTTATACTAGGTGCTATGTTTAGGCTACATGTACAATTCCTTTCAATCCTCAAAGCAATTATTATTATCTCTGTTGGAAAGATAAGGTAGCTAAGGCTCAGAAAAGCTAAGCAAATTGCCCAAGGAAGAAGCAAGATACGAATACTCTAATATTCAAGTCCCATTTCAAGCTGTGAGATTATCTGCCTCTGAAATTCTACAAATAAGAAAAGCAGGAATTTAGGGGCTGGTAGGATTATAAGGATGTCACCTATGGGCTCAGAGGAAAGATAATTGTTTCTTGATTTCGATGAGACTCCCCACTCTACCCCTATTCCTCCTTTCTCTCATCCAGATGGTACAGTATAGAAAACTTGAGTTATATCTATTTAACACATTAATTGTTCATATGGAAGACTTATATTTCCTTTACAATCTGGAAAATGGAGTTAACTCAGTGGCAAAGAACTTTAAAATTATAAATAAGATTCAGCTACTGTTCTTTATGCCATTGGTTGTTAATTCATTTGATGCAGGTAACATACCTGCATCTGTAACAGAGAAGCATATAAAATATCTGAGTTACTAAAAATTCTGATTTATCAGTGTATGGGTTAATGAAGTTTCTCTGTGATAGGAAAGCCATTTTGAATCTGGAGAAATGGCAAAGGCATTAATATTGCAGGTATATGCTTTCTTGCACCAAAAGATTTAAGTGTTGTTTTTCTAAATGGGCAAAGTGAACTTCTGTATATAGTGAAGACAGCAAGAACAATAGAGGCTGGAGCCTACTGGTTAAGGCTGTGCAAGCTGCAAACTGTTATTTTTGTGCTTAAAAAATAGCCATAGAAAGGTGGTTTCTAGAAATAGATGTGGAATTCAATGCCTGTGTTAACTAGTGATTTCTAGTTATAGAAAAGAAAAATAAGATGCCATCTTCAGCATATGGAACTAATGTCAGGAAAGCCTTTTATTGTCTAAAAGGGCAATTATGCACTTGAAAGCTCATTTCTTTCCTCACTCCAAAATATAGTCCACAACACAGATTTAAAGGGGAATTTATATAAGATATTTCTTCCATTGCCCCTTTCTAGTTGTTTCTTTGGGCTTCTTTAATCCAGAAACTTTCCTAGTGCTCGTTATCAATTCTGAATTAGCAGTAGCTGTATTGCATGGCATGTTAATGATTAAAATGGAAAGCAACTCTTAAAATTTAGTTCATCTCAGGGAAGAGAGGTACTTCCCCAAGAGCAGCTACACTGCAGGGACAAGAAAATGCTGAAGACAATATACAGCTCTTGGGGGAAATGGAATGAAAAGAAATAAATATCTCCAAAACATATTGTTGTGCTTTTATTTTAAATCCATGGGGAGAGCTTAAAAGAGAATCACTTAAGTTCCAAGTGACGTCTTTGGGTTATAATATTGTAACTTTAAATTGGGAATGGCTTAGGGTATGTGGAAGAATCTTTCTGTTTTCAGGTGGCCTGGACCTGTTATTCTCATTAGCTGGGAGCCAGTATAAGAGACAGCCCGTGTCTGTCTTGGGTTTTGCTGGGGCAATTCATGCCACCCATAGAAAGCTCTTTCCCAGTCACAGTATTTACTTACAATGTATTTTTTTCTTTTAAAAATTTATACAAGGACTGACGTCAGTAAAATGATAAAATAGGACTCTCCAGTGCTCTTCCCCCCACTGAAACATCAATTTGAACAACTATCCTCATGCAAAAATATCTTCACAAAAGCTAAGGAAACTAGATGAGAGATTACAGCACCTGGGTGTAGCACAGAAATAAGAAAAGATGCATTGAAGAAGGTAGGAAGGACAGTTTTACATCAACTGTATTCCTTTACCTCCAACCACAGGCAGCACAGCTTGGAAAGAGATATCCTCTCTGTGAGGGTAGGAGCGCCAGATTGTGCTTCAAACCCCAACACAGGATCTACTCAAGTAATACTAGTGCAGGCAGGTTCCCACAGCCCCAGACTTCATGTCAGTACTCATGGGCTGAGCCTTCAAGCCTGCCCCAGTGCCAGGAGGGATTCTGCAGCTGCAGACTCCAGGCCTGTGTGACGGACTTGGCCTCTGGGCCATCACACTGCCAAGCTGACCACAGCCGCCCCTTTCTCTGGATTGTTCTCACTGCCAGGCAGTCTCCACTGGTTTTCAGGCCTAACCCTGCACCAGGCCAGCCACCACAGAATCAGGCTCCAGGCCTGTCCCATGGCCAGGCTGACCTTAGCAACCCTGGGCTCCAGACTGCCCATATTACTGGGCTGGCCCCCCTGGCTCAAGCTTCAGGCGTGCCCCAGCACCAGGCTAGCCCCAGTAGTCCTAGTCATCAGGCTGACGACCACAGACCCAGCCTCTAGGCTGGTACCTGTAGACATAGAATCCAGGCCCACCCAGTTCCAAGGCAGCTCCTGTGGCACCAGGCTTTAGGCCTGTCCTCATGCCAGTCTGGCACTCAGACCTCAGATACCAGGTGGGCACCATGGATAGAGACTGCAGGCCTGCCTATTGCCAGGCTAGTCCCCACAGCCCCATCCTTCAGGCTGGCTCCTGCAGACCCAGGGGCCAGGCCTGTCCCAGTAGATTCTAGTTCTGAGTCAGCCCCCATATATCCAAACTCCAAGACCTCCCTGTGTACCCGGGTTCTAGGCCAGCCCCTGAGGCCCCAGGCCAACCTTCATGGACCTAGCCTCTTGGCCAGCACCTGTACACTCAGCCTCCAGGCTGGCACTAGTGGATACAGGCTCCAGGCCAGCCCCAGTGGCTTCAGATCCCAGGTCATCCTCCATAATTATAGTCTCCAGAACAGCCCCAACAAACCCAAGCTTCAAGCTGGCCTCAGTACAAAGCCAGTCTCAAGCTCCAGGCCACTCCCAGTGGTCCCATGCTTTACAGAACCCAGGGTACAAGCCTGTTTCAGAAGACCCAGGGTGCAGGCCCACTCCAGTAGACCTTGGTTCCAGATTGAACTCTGTGGACCGAGTCTCCAAGACCACCAAGCTGCAGGCCAGACCCCATGAATTTAGGTTCCAGGCCCATCTTAGTGGCCCCAAGTTCCAGACCCACCCCAGTGCAAGGTCAACTCCATGAACTCAGGCTCTACATCCTTCCCAGTGGACCCAGGTGCCAGACTCATTCAAGCACCTGGCCAACTCATGGAGACTTAGGTTCTAGACCCATCCCAGTGCCAGGTAAGCCCTTGTAGACCAAATCTCCAGGTTGGTCTCCATGGATACAAGCTCCAGGCCCATCCCCACAGACCCCACCAACAGGCCTATCCCAGTGGATTCAGACTTCAGGTCCAACTCTGTGGACTTAGGCACTAGGCTTGATCACCTGCTGACCCAGGCACCAGCTAGCCTGCCCAAGAATCCCAGCAGCAAGTCCACCCTTGGACCATGCCAGACAACCAGCCCAGCATCTCTGGACAAGCTAATTGGTGAAGGACTTTCCTAGAAAATGCCAGACTGCAAACTGGAATAAGTCCCTACTTATTCAAAGGTGCAGATATCAATGAAAAGCAACAAGAAACATGAAAAACCAAGAAGTCACAACATCATCGAAAGAATACAGTAATCTTTCAATAACTGACCCCAAATAAATGGAGATATGTGACCTGCCTGACAAAGAATTCAAAGTAAGACAAATAAGTAACATCAGAAATTAAATAGAAAACATTACAATATATGCCACAGATATAAAAAGGATCATAAGAGATTATATGACCAATTATATAAAAACAATTGGATAACATAGAAGATATATATTCCTAGACACATGCAACTTAACAAGACTGAATCATGTAGAAATAGAAAATCTGAGCAGACCAAAAATGAGTGAAGAGATTGAATCTGTAATAAAAAGTCTCCCATCAAAGAAAAGCCCAGAATCTATTGGCTTCATCATTGAATTTTACCACTGAAAGAACAGTGAATGCCAATTCTTCTCAAATACGTCTGAAAAATAGAACAGGTAATACTTCCAAATTCATTTTACAAGACCAGCATTACTCAGTTACCTAAGCCAGACAAAAACACTAGAAGAATAGAAAACTACAGGCCAATATGCCTGGTGAACATAAATGCACAAATTCTCAACAAAATACTAACAGATGGAATTCAACAGCGCATTAAAAAGATAATTCAGCATGATCAAGTATTATTTATTCCAGGGATGCAAGGATGGTTTAACATACACAAATCTATAAATGTGACACAACACATTAACAGAATAGAGAGCAAAAACCATATAATTATCTGGATAGATCCAGAAAAAGCATGTGATAAAATTTAATATTGCTTCACGATAAAAACTCTCAACAAATTAGGTATAGAAGAAATGTACTTCAGTGAAATAAAGGCCAAATATAACAAACCTACAGCTAAAATCATAATCAATGATGAAAAATTATAAACTTTTTCTGTATCATATTATACTGTCTATCATATCTATATCATACTGAATGGGTAAAATCTGGAAGCATTCCCTTTGAAAACTGACACAAGACAAGGATGCCCTCTCTTACCACTCCTATTCATCATAGAATTGGAAGTTCTGGTCAGGGCAATCAGGCAAGAGAAAGAAATAAAGTGTATTCAAATAGGAAGAGAGGAAGTCAAATTGTCTCTCTTTGCAGATGACATGATTGTATACTTAGAAAACCCCATTGTCTCAGCCCAAAATCTCCTTAAGCTGATAAGCAAATTCAGCAAAGTCTCAGGATACAAAATCAAGGTGCAAAAATCACAAGCATTCCTATACACCATTAACAGACAGAGAGCCAAATCATGGTGAACTACCATTTACAATTGCTACAAAGAGAATAAAATACCTAGGAATCCAACTTGCAAGGGATGTGAAGGACCTCTTCAAAGAGAACTACAAACCTCTGCTCAAGGAAATAAGAGAGGACACAAACAAGCAGAAAAACTTTCCATGCTCATGGATAGGAAGAATCAATATCATGAAAATGGCCATACTGCCCAAAGTAATTTATAGATTCAATGTTATCCCCATCAAGCTATCACTGACTTTCTTCACAGAATTGGAAAAAACTACTTTAAACTTCACATTGAACCAAAAAAGAGCCCGCATAGCCAAGACAATTCTGGGCAAGAAGAACAAAGCTAGAGGGATCATGATACCTGACTTCAAACTATACTATAATGCTGCAGTAACCAAAACAGCATGGTACTGGTACCAAAACAGATATATAGACCAATGGAACAGAACAGAGGCCTCAGAAATAACATCACACATCTATAACCATCTGATCTTTGACAAACCTGACAAAAACAAGAAATGGGGAAAGGATGCCCTATTTAATAAATGGTGTTGGGAAAACTAGCTAGCCATATGTAGAAAACTGAAACTGGACACCTTCCTTACACCTTATACAAAAATCAACACAAGATGGATCAGAGACTTAAATGTAAGACCTAGGACCATAAAAATCCCAGAAGAAAACCTGGGAAATACCATTCAGGATATAGGCATGGGCAAAGACTTCCTGTCTAAAACACCAAAAGCAATGGCAACAAAAGCCACAATTGACAAATGGGATCTAATTAAACTAAAGAGCTTCTGCACAGCAAAAGAAACTATCATCAGAGTGAACAGGCAACCTACAGAATGGGAGAAAATTTTTGCAATCTCTGCATCTGACAAAGGGCTAATATCCAGAATCTACAAAGAACTTAAACAAATTTACAGGAAAAAAACTACCCCATCAAAAAATGGGCAAACGATATGAACAGACACTTCTCAAAAGAAGACATTTATGCAGCCAACAGACATATGAAAAAAATGCTCATCATCACTGGTCATTAGAGAAATGCAAATCAGAACCAAAATGAGATACTATCTCACACCAGTTAGAATGACAATCATTGAAAAGTCAGGAAACAACAGATGCTGGAGAGGATGTGGAGAAATAAGGACACTTTTACACTGTTGGTGCGAGTGTAAATTAATTCAACCATTGTGGAAGACTGTGGCAATTCCTTAAGGATCTACAACTAGAAATACCATTTGACCCAGCAATTCCATTACTGGATATATACTCAAAGGATTATAAATCTTTCCACTATAAAGACACATGCACACGTATGTTTATTGTGGCACTGTTCACAATAGCAAAGACTTGGAACCAAACCAAATGGTCATCAATAATAGACTGGATAAAGAAAATGTGACACCATGGAATACTGTGCAGCCATAAAAAAGAATGAGTTCATGTCCTTTGCAGGGACATGGATGAAGCTGGAAACCATCATTCTCAGCAAACTATCACAGGAACAGAAAACCAAACACCGCATGTTCTCACTCATAAATGGGAGTTGAACAATGAGAACACATGGACATAAGGAGGGGAACATCACACAATGGGACCTGTTGCAGGGTTGAGGGCTAGGGGAGGGATAACACTAGGAGAAATACCTAATGTAGTGACCGGTTGATGGATGCAGCAAACCGCCATGGCACGTGTATACCTATGTAACAAAATTGCACATTCTGCACATGTACCCAAGAACTTAAAGTATAATAAAAAAACAAGACACCAAGATAGCCAAGTGCGTTGCCTCACGCCTCTAATCCCAGCACTTTGGGAGGTTGAGGCAGGTGGATCACAAGGTCAGGAGTTTGAGACCAGCCTGACCAACATAGTAAAATCCCATCTCTACTAAAAATACAAAAAATTAGCCAGGCCTGGTGGCAGGCACCTGTAATCCTAGCTACTCAGGAAGCTGAGGCTGGAGAATCGCTTGAACCTGGAAGGCAGAGGTTGCAGTGCGCCAAGATCACCCCATTGCACCCCAGCCTGGGAAACAGTGTGAGACTCTGTCTCAAAAATAAATAAATAAATAAATAAATAAATAAAAAGATAATTCAGCATGATCAAGTATTATTTATCCCAGGGATGCAAGGATGGTTCAACATACACAAAGCTATAAATGTGATACAACACATTAACAGAATAAAGAGCAAAAACAATATAATTATCTCAATAGATCCAGAAAAAGCATTTGATAAAATTTAATATTTCTTCACAATAAAAACTCTCAACAAATTAGGTATAGAAGAAATGTACTTCAATGAAATAAAGGTCAAATATGACAAACCCACAGCTAACATCATACTCGATGAAAAATTGAAAGCTTTTTCTGTAAGATCTAGAACAAGACATGGATGTCTACTGTCACCATTTTATTTCAGTATGGAAGTTCTAGCCAGAGGAATTAGGCAAGAGAAAAAAAAGGCATCCAAGTTGGAAAAAATGAGTTAAATTGTCCCTATTTGCAGAAGGCATAATCTTATACATAGAAAATCTTAAAGACTCTACAAAAAAAAATTGGAACTAATAAATTCAGTAAAGTTGTAGGATATAAAATCAACCTACAAAAATCAGTAGCATTTCTATATATTGACAATGAACTAACTGAAGAAGAAAGCAAGGAAATCTCATTACAATAGCTACAAAAATCAAATAAAACGGAAATAAATTTAACCAAAAAAAGAAAGACCTGTGCACCGAAAACTATAAAAGATTGATGAAAAAAGATATCCTATGTTCATGGATTGGAAGAATTAATATTATTAAAATGTCCACACCACAGATTCAATGCAATCCCTATTAAAATTTTAATGATATTTTCACAGAAACAGAAAAAAAGAATCCTAAAATTCAAAAGGAGCCGCAAAGACCCTGAATAGCTAACACAATCTTTAACAAAAGAGCAAAGCCAGGGGCATCATATTACCTGACTTAAAAATATGCTACAAAGCTATAGTAATAAAAATAAAATGGTACTGACATAAAAACAGGTATATAGATCAGCAGAACAGAATAGAGGGCCCAGAAACAAGCCCATGCATTTATGGTCAATTGATTTTCAACAAACATGCCAAAAACACACAATAAGCAAAGGACACTTTCTTCATTAGTGGTGTTGGGACAACTGGATCTCCACATGCAGAAAAATGAAGTTAAATCCTTACTTTACATCATAACTAAAATTCAACTCAAAATGGCCTAGAAAATTAAATGTAAATCTTGAGACTGTAAAACTACTAATAGAAAACATGGGGAAAAGCTCCATGACATTGGTCTGGGCAATCTTTTTTTCTGGATATGAACCCAAAAGCACAGGCAGAAAAGCAAAAATGACAACAGGATTAGATCAAGCTAAAAAGCTACTGCACAGCCAAGGAAACATCAATACAGTGAAGAGAAACCTACAGAATAGAAGGAAATATTTGTAAATTATACATCTGATAAGAGGTTAATATCCAAAATATATAAAAAACACAAACAATACAATAGTTAGAAAACAAATAACCTAATTTAAAAAAATGGAGAAAGGAGCTGGATAGACATTTCTTAAAAGAAGATGTACAAATGTCCAACAGGTATATGAAAAAATGATCACTAATCATCTGAGAAATGCAAATTAAAGCTACAATGAGATACCACCTCACACCTTTTGAAGTGACTATTATCAAAAAGACAAAAGACACTAAATGTTGGAAAGGATACGGAGAAAATGGATCCTTTGAGTGCTGTTGGTAGGAATGTAAATTAGTAGAGTCATTATAAAGAATGTATGGAGGTTCCTCAAAAAATGACACATATAACTACCGTATAATCCAGTAATTCCAAAACTGAGTGTATATATTCAAAGAAAATAATTTCAGTATGTTAGCAATATCTGCTCTCCCGTGTTCACTGCAGCATTATTCAAAATAGCAAAGGTATGGAATCAATCAAAGTGTCCATCAATGGATAAATGGATAAAGAAAATATGATATATAAATATTTAAATATGGTATATGCACAACAGAATACTCTTCAGCCTTAAAAAAGAAGAGAATCCTGACAATGTGATGACAACGTGGATGAACCTGAAGTACGTTATTATAAGTGAAATAAGCCAGGCACAGAAAGGCAAATATTGCATGATCTCACTCATGTGTGGAATCTAAAAAAATTGATTTCATAAAAGTAGAGCGTCAAATAGTGGTTACCAGGGGCTGGGGATGGGGTGGTAAGGTAGGAGTTGGGGAAGTGTTGGTCAAAGGACACAAAATTTCAGTTGGACAAGGGGAATACATTTAAGAGATCTATTCTACAACATGATGACATAGTTAAGCAATGTATTATCTTCTTGAAAATTGCTAAGTGAGTAGATTTTAAGAGTTCTCCCCACGAAAAGTGTGTGAAGTTGTGTATAAGTTAATAGCTTGATTTAGCCATTCCACAATGTATTCATATTTCAAAACATGTTATGTATCATAAATATATATACTATTTTGTTTTTTGATATATACACTTTTTTTTTTTTTTTTTTTTGGAGACCGAGTCTTGCTCTGTCACCCAGGCTGGAGTGCAATGGCGCGTTTCTTGGCTTACTGCAATCTCTACCTCCCGGATTCAAGCGATTCTTCCACCTCAGCCTCCTGGGTAGCTGGGACTACAGGCTAATTTTTGTAGTTTTGGTAGAGATGGCGT